>NC_000007.14:158083713-158396778 GCF_000001405.40 Homo sapiens | reverse complement strand
CGGGTCACCGCTGGTGTGTGCAGGTGGAGGCGGCTTGGGGAGATGGTATGCGCACACACACACATGCACACATGTGCACACACAAACATGCACACACACGTGCACACAAAGCACACACAAGCCTACCCTGTGAGAACGGAGCTGCCCCAGTTCCCTGAGTGCCCCCTTCAGAGCTCTGGGTGGCCTCTAACATCCTGGCTGCTTGTCCATCCCCCTGAGCACAGGAAGCGGGCAAGGCACAAAACTCACTCGGCGAGGAGGGGAGCAGCTCGCTCCCTCCACATGTGCATGCATGTGAACAAAATCACATGCATGTACACGCGTGCACACACGTGACACATTCATGCACACACACGTGCACATGTACACACACACACAGACTTCACCTCACGATGCTGTCACCTTTTTGTGTGTCTCTTTAAAGGTCTTTTTGTTTTGATTCCTTTTGCGGGTTTGAAATAGAGATATATGCATTAATCATTTCCCCAGCACTACACTTTTATTGTTTTAAACGGCTTCTTTGTGTGTGTGTGTGAAAATGCTCAAAAGGCCTTTGACAATGACGGTGAGAAAACCAGCCCTGGCTGGGCGCTGTCTCCCGTTAGGGAGTGCCTCCTCAGCCCACGTGGCACTGGCTGCCCGCTGCCCTGTGCGTGTCCCGGCCTTCGCTGCCTCTGCAGCCTGGGAGCTTGGTCTCTGGTTGGGGAGGCCAGGGCCAGCCTGCGATGTGGCTGTTGAGAAGCTGTGCGTGCCTGGGCCAGGGCAGCAGCTCTGCCCCATGGGTCGCGGCGGGACTGGGATGAGGCCCCACTCTCACCTCTGTGACCAGGGGGCAGAGGGAAGTCTGTAGCCCGACCTCACCTGCTGCAGGCTCCGAGCTCCCCCTCCAGGCTGGGCCCTCCATGGCGCTCTGCCCGAATTCGGGGCTGGTGGGATCCAAGGCGGCGCAGGCCGGGAGCCCTCGCCCCTCGCCCCTCGCGCCTCACCCCTCGCCCCTCGCGCCTCACCCCTCGCCCCTCGCGCCTCACCCCTCGCCCCTCTCCCCTCTCCCCTCGCGCCTCGCCCCTCGCCCCTCGCCCCTCGCCCCTCGCGCCTCGCCCCTCGCGCCTCGCCCCTCGCCCCTCTCCCCTCGCGCCTCGCCCCTGGCCCCTCGCCCCTGGCCCCTCGCGCCTCACCCCTCACCCCTCACCCCTGGCCCCTCGCGCCTCGCCCCTCGCCCCTGGCCCCTCGCGCCTCACCCCTCACCCCTCACCCCTGGCCCCTCGCGCCTCGCCCCTCGCCCCGCACCCCTCGCCCCTGGCCCCTCGCCCCTCGCCCCTCGCCCCTGGCCCCTCGCGCCTCACCCCTCGCCCCTCACCCCTCACCCCTCGCGCCTCGCCCCTGGCCCCTCGCCCCTCGCGCCTCCCCCTCGCCCCTCGCCCCTGGCCCCTGGCCCCTCGCGCCTCGCCCCTCGCCCCTCGCCCCTCACCCCTCGCCCCTCACCCCTCACCCCTCACTTGTGCAGGGACAGCCCTGGGCGCAGGTGCCCGCACGGGGGATTCAGGTCGAGACCGCGCCTGCGTGCCATCTAGCGGCCGTGCTCGGGTACTGCAGCCCCTCCACCCCAGACTCCGGAGGCTCCTGGAAGGTGGGTGAACCTTGCAGACCACCCAGGCGAAAACGCGGCTACTTACTCAGGCTGGCGGGAACGAGGGGTCAGTCACTGTCCCTCGTGCTTGGCAAAGACTCAGGCAGGTAGAGGAGCCGAAGTTTTACAGCAGAAAGGGCTGGTTGGCCCAGGTGTCGTGTGGACGGGCAGGGCCTCCTGAGTGCTGGCTGGGGTGCCCCCGGCTTTCTCTGGCTGACGCGTTGCAGAGATGCGGCCTGCACAGCCTGGCCGCTGTCCCACTGTCCCTGTGACGATTCGGTCTCTTTTGGGCACACGGTAAATGCCTCTGGTCAGGGCTGTTTAGGAGGTGAGGGTGTCGGGTCTCCAACACTGAGTCAGGTGGAGGGGCAGCCCCTGCCGCACACCCTCTGTGTTTTTGTGAGTTGCCTACAGTCCTTGTCGCCCCGTCCTGAATGCTGGAAGCTTTGACGCTAGCTCGTCTTCCTTTCTTAGGCCCCCAGCAGCAAAAATCTGCTCCCCTCATCAATGAGTGAGTTTTGTGCCTTGACACTTTCTGCGCCTGGGGGGATGGACGAGCAGCCAGTACTTAGAGACCACCCGGAGCTCTGAAGGGGGTGCTCAGGGAACCAGGGCTGCTCCATTCTCACCAGGTGGGCTTGGACAGCCACGGGGGCTCATCCCCGACCTGCCAACCTGGGTCACTCCTGGTGAGGCAGCAGCATCCCCGTCGCAGGCTGGGACAGCAGTTCCACAGGTGTTCCCTGCACACACCTGTGCCTCTCACACTTCCGTGGCCTCCAATGCCCTCCCTGTGGCCCTGAAAGCAGCCATGGATTTTTGTGCCAAGAAAAATTATACCTGCTCCTTGGTGGGGGAGCCAGAGGGGAGCCAGGCGTCTATGGGGGACAGAGTGGGGCCAGTGGTCCACAGGGAACAGAGAGGTCCAGGCATCTGTGGGGGACATAGGGGAACCACGCATCCGTGGGGGACAGAGGGGGTCCAGGTGTCCGTCGGGGACAGAGGGGTTGAGGTGTCCGTGGGGGACAGAGGGGGTCCAGGTGTCTGTGGGAGAGAAGGGTCCAGGCATCTGTGGGGTACAGAGGGGGGCCACGCATCTGTGAGGGACAGAGGGGGAGCGAGGTGTCCATGGGGGTGGGACATTGTTACCCAGGATGCCAGTGGATGGGCTGATGGCACAGTTTAAGGGGTGAGAGATGAAGGGTGGGGGTCCCAGAGCAGTGGTGTCCTTGGGGTTTGGGTTTGATTGTGTGTTAGGGGACGTGGCCTTGGCTGGGGAGGGAGGTGATGGAAGGTGATATACATTGAACCCAGGCTGCTCACCACGTTTGAGAAGCCCCTGAGTGATGTTCCATCATGAAGACGGTGTGGGCTTCCTTGAAGTGTGTTGCAATCACGTCATGATTCCTTCTTCACCAGTGTTAGGCGATGAGATTATAATGAAAAGCATTAGAGCCATCACACTATTGGGAAGCATCCCCCACTAAGCTGTGAAAAGCTAGAAACTCTGATGAAAATGACGCTGAAAGATGACTTCCACTTCCAAAAGGTGCAGATTCACCAAAGGGAGAAACCCAGAGCTGAGGCCGGTCTGCAGCAGGTGCCGGGCCTGAGACCTTTATGTTGTCTGAGGGAAACACCTCCATCCCCTGTCAGGCTCAGAGTGTCCTTTTTTGTTCTGGGAACCATTTCTGTGTCATTTGTGTGGAGGCTGAAGTTGCCCGGGGTCGTCCTGCAAGGCGTCTCCCAGAGCGAAGTCCCTCCGACGTGCCCCCTGGTGATGATGTTTAAGGAAACCAGGCTGAACTTTAATTTTCCTTCAGTGTTCGTGGCAGAGCGTGTTAAGTACACTTGACCTTTCTAAATTTATCACGCAGCATTTGAGTCTCTTGGATGTTTGCAGGATTTTCAAACCCAGGTTTCGGCCTTTTTAAAGACGCCGTGGGGTGAGGAGGGTGCGTTGGAGGCGCTGTGACCAGGATGGGATGGTTTCCAGCTCCCGTTTTCTTCCTGCCCAGTCTCCTTTCCAGCCAACATCGAGTAAGACCAGGGCCACCTGGGGTGCAGAGGCCCCTGGAAAGGACTCCCCTTCCTTCTCTGCAGCAGGCACAGGGGCCTGGGCAGCTGGGCCTGTGCAGCCCTTTCTCTCTGTGGACTTGCTGTTTTCAGCCTCCCTGGAGGGGCTGGTGGTTCTAGACACTGAGGTTGACAGGCGTGCTCGAGGAGTTCTCATCACCCTGTTCTTCCTTAATGGAAGGAAGTTATTTCTAAAATTCTACCGAGAGGGGCTGCCTGGGGTGAGACATACCTGCAGGTCCGATGAGGCTTTGGGATGTGGACAGATAACCAGAGCAGGATGGTCCTGTCCGCAGGGGATACCGGGAAGCCTGTGGGGTCCTGGCGAGGCTCCGGCTTGGCTTCCAAGGACCCTGCCCCTTGGCTGCTGACTGGACCCAGGGCCCGGCTTTGTGTCTTCGCAGTTGGTGAAACACATTGATCTACAATGTGTTTCTGTAGCACCTTGATGTGGTCAGACCCCGGTGAGTTGACTCCTCCCCCACGGACACAAGGACAGGGCTGCACCCACATGTTCTGCCATCCTCACTGGCTGCTGGGGCCGTGCCCCCACGTGGAGCTCTTGCTGGCCAAGAGAAGCAGCTGTCCTGTGAGGCCCTGCTCCATGCCAGGATGGTTCCCCAGACAACGCTGGGTGTGCAGCAGATCCCCGCCGCCCTCTCCTCGTGTGAGCTGACGCATGGACAGAACACTTGGGGTTGCCCTGTGCCTGCCGCTCAGCCACGGTCTCATGAGTGGACCCATCTTGTGGAACATCCACAGTGCCCAGGAGGCTTGCCTTTGTGTCCACACCCTGTGTCCAGTGCTGGGGTGGTCCCTGACCCAGCCCCTCTCCTCCTCGGGGAGTTTGACCTGCATGGCCACATCAGAGTCCTCACCCTGAGGATGGACAGGAGATGAAGGGAGGGAGAGGGGAGGTCCACCCTCATTCCCTCCCCACGGAAGCCCCAGCCTGGCCATTGTCCCTTGGCCAAAGGTCACCCCCAAAGGCAGCCCAGTCCTCACAATTCCCTCCCCTGGGTATGGCTACTCCCCCCGCACCAGCCCAGTACTGCATCATCCCTGCCCTGCAAACGGTCCCTCCTGAAGCCACCCTGGGGGCCTGGTGGAGGACTCTCGACTCACAGGCGGGCTCCCTGTCTCAAAGGTGCTCATTCCTGAGGGCGTCATCCCAGGTGGCAAATCTGTTTGCTTTTAAATTCTGGTGAGAGCAGTGCTGCTCACTGTTGTGCCCTGTTTGTGGCCTTGTCTGGCTGGGGGTGCAGCTCCTTTCCTCCCCCGCCCCCGGTACTGACCAGGGCCTGGCACTGGGGAAACCTCCTGCCTCCTCCCATCCCCAGGGCTGCAGGGCTGCATCCAGCCTGGGCAGCTGGTCAGGGCTGTGAGGGGCTGGGGTGGGACTCCAGCTGCTCTATGTCCTGGCAGGGGTTGGGCCTGCATCTCAAGGGGCATGTGCAGCATGGGTGCTGGTGGGAAAATGTGGGAAGGCCTCTCCTCCTGCGGGGTAGGTGGGCATTTCTCATCATAAAATGAGACATTTGTATCCTCCTCATGGTGACCTTAAGCCTCAGGAAGAAGCTAGGGGAGGCTGCTGTGGCTGAGAGACCTTCCCAGGACATGGTCTCTTTCCCGACGGGCCTCTGCAGTCAGCGTCCGAAGGAGAGATGGGCCTGTGAGTATAGCTGGGTGTCAGGGCCCGGACCTGGATTTCGGGCCTGGTGCAGCTTGGCCAGGAGAGGGAGCGCGGTTTCAGACAAGGGAGGGTGGCGCCTGGGCTTCCAGGCTTGGAGGGATGGCGTGGGCTCACAGCCCCTTTCTCCTCGGCCATTGGCCCCAGAGGGTCCCTCCAGGGAATGGAAGTCAATGTCTCTCGTGCAGGTTCTTTTTATCTTTAAGGGAGCAGCAGCTGCTGGGTTAGGGTGTTTGGAATAAGAAGTATTTGTTCCTGCAGCTGTACATCTGAACGTGAAACATGGCTGTTGCGTTACAACCGTCGCAAGAGGGAAGAAAATCTAGTCTGTAGTTAGGATGATTTCCACCCCTCGAATTTGGAAGTGGTGAATTAGTGGAGGTGGGGGTGGGTTTCACACCATTTCAGGAGGGCTTGTTCCTGTAGGGCCCTGACAGCGGACAGAGCCTGCCACGTGGACACAGTGCATGTGACGCGGCACCCGTGGGGGATGGGTTTTCATCTGCCCTTCCTGCCCCTCCATTTTTCGTAGCCTCTTTGGGGCATGACATACCCACCTTGAGCTTCGCATTTTGAGAGGACATTTGTAGAGTGGAGCTGACAGTTAAGGGGACGATGCGCGAGAAGAGAAGGCTTGGGAGACATCGGCCAGCTCTCCCGCAAAGTGCGCTGAGAGCTGAGGGGCTGGTGGTTCTGCACCCTCTGGGACGGGGCAAGCCTGGCCGGGCAGTGGACAGCAGTTGGCATGGGACAGGCTCAGCTCCCAGAGCCACAGTGAGCAGCATTGCGGCCACTCGGTGTCCAGATGCCTGTGTTCCCTCCTACCTTGGCCGAGGCCCTCCAGCACGATGGTCCTACTGCGAGGCTGGAGAAGGGATGGGGTCGGGGTGCCTGCTGTGACTGTCCTGGGGCAGAAGGGCCTCCAGCTCAGAGACTCCGCAGGTCTCACCTCATAACTCCGTCTGGCTGCTGATTCCACTTTACGTGTTCTTTGAAGGCAAATGTGTTTCCCATGAAGCAAATTGGTTCGGCTGCGACTTAGTGCCACTCGCTGCATGGGAATAACTTCTTAGTCGAGTTCATTGCTGTTCCAGGTGCCGGCTGCCCCTGGCTGCAAGGAGAGGCCATTTCCACATAGCAGCCACTGAGCTGTGTGACCATGAGAGCCGTGGGAGGACACGGCCCAGGGCGACGGCGCCTCTGAGTTCAAGGGGACATGCCTCTGTGCACACTCAGCAGCCGGGGGATGAGAGGACAGGGTGGTGGGGCGGGGATGGAGCTGGGGCACAAAGAAGATCGGTTTGAATAAACGCAGCTGAGTATCGTGTAGACGTTTGAGAGGCTTCATCCCTCCGTAGGATCCTCCTGTCTTCTGTGGATGTGAACAGCGTCATTACAGAGTCATCCGAGGTGGATGCAGGAGGCCTGGCTGCACCGGAGGACAGCACCTGGGGCTGCCTCACCACGCGTCTTGGGCCAGGGCCCTGCTTTCTGGATGTGTCCATTAACATCCCACAACCTTTGCTGAGGCTCTCACCTCTTTTCTCCAAGAGCCCGTTTGTGAAAACTAAGATGTGGCCAGGAACAAAGGAGAGCAGGAAGGACAGAACTTGCGTTTAGCCCATTTTCTATTCTGGGAATGCGACGCGTGATGATTTATCCGTGCATCTGTGTTGTCATCCGTGTTCTCGCAGGGCCTGGTTCCAGCAGCCAGGCTGGTGGCTGAGTCTAGAATTGCATTTGTGACGGCGGCAGCCGTTATTGCAAATGTACCTTTCTTGTGTATTGATCTTTCGCAGATCCCATTATTTTTAATTTATTTAATAAGGAGGAGTGTTTGTTTCATAACTCAGAATCAAAACCATAATTATTCACTCAGACTCTGGTGTCTGTGCAAGGGAAGCCTGTGGGTTGATGTTTTTCATTCTTCAATGACCAGAGGATTAATTGAGGGGCCACCACAGAAAGAAGGCACAATACATCTCTTTTCTAATGAACTTGCATTTCAGAGCTTAAATCCAAAGTAATTGGATTTCACAGTCAAAGTGCGCTTTCACTTCGTGTGGTCTATGGACACGGCTGCGTGTCCTCCACATGCGTCGCAGCCTGGGCTGATCTTAAAAACAACTTTATGTACAGCAGGTGTGTCGTGTTTCATTCTGTGAGGAATCACTCACTGAAGTGTGGTGTGGCCTCAGTGGCCGCACCTGCCTCCTGCCGAGGGCTTCAGGGCCCAGGTGTGGCCCTTCGGACGCCTGTTTCCCTTCAGCTTCTCTTCGCAGACTTTGAGGCCCAGGCACTGCCCTGCCTGCATCTGGAGCCCTTCTCCTTCCAGGGGCCCGCCTCACGTTGGGTGAAATCAAGCCTCCATGGTTGTAGGTTCTAATCGCCAGTCCGAGCTTAGCCCTTAGGGTTGACCTATTCCTTCAGATCGATCACAGCTGAGCTCAGCACTGAGCATTGGAGGGTGAAAAAGAAGTTTTGTATCATCTGTGTGTGGGTTAATAATAACGTATGTATTTGGAGTTTGTGTCTGGTTCCTGGCTCCTGAGACCCTTGGAGTCTCTGGGGCGATGAGTGTCTTTTGTGTGCTGAGAGGTGGCTGGGAGCCCTGGCTGGCTTCAGGGTGGGGCTGGTGGCCAGAAAGGCCAAGGCACCATTAGATGGTTGGGCCTTTCAGGCCCCCCCAACTCTTGGGGGGTTAATCACCAATGGCCAGTGATTTAATCCATCATGCCTATGTACGTGAAACCTGCATAGAGAACTAAGTGAGAGGTTCATGGAGCTCGCAGGTTGGCAGACACGTGGAGGTGCAGGGAGCCTGGTGCACCCAGGGCAGGTGTGACGTGTGCCCTGCACCCTGCCCCGTGCGTCCCTCAGTTTGGCTCTCCTTGAGCTGTGTCCTTTATAAGAGCTAGTGATGGTGAGTGAAGTGCTTTCCCAAGTTCTGTGTCATCCAAAGAAAAATTGCACCCGAGGAGGTTGTGGGCAGCCGAGTTTGTCGCTGGCTGGGAAGAAATGCAGGTGGCCTGGCTGTCCATCTGCACTGGCCCTCATGGGGGGGTGGTCTTGCGGGACCGAGCCCAGAAGCTGTGAATTCTGGGACCTTGGTGCCGGGATTGACGTGAACCGTGGCTTCCCGTGGAGGATGTGGCCGTGGATCAGGTGATGGCCACTCGGAAGGGTCCAGGGGCTTCTTGTTCAGTGTGGACAGGGGTGCTCCTTGCCGAGACCTGCAGAGTGAAGCCGACACAGGGGAGAGGTGGCTACATCCTGGGGTCGGGGGAATCCTCCGAAAGTATTTTCTGTGGGGAGAAGGCTGCTGTGGAGCTGGGGTTCTCCAGAGAAACAGACTCAGCAGGGGGTTTGTATGTGTGTATAAATAGAGATGTGTGTGTATAAATAGATATATGTGTGTGTAAATAGAGATATATGTGTGTGTACAGACAGAGACAGTATTTCAAGGCATTAGCTCACCGATTGGGGGCCTGGCGGGTCTGACATCTGCAGGGCAGCTGGTGGGCTGGGAATTCAGAGGCGGGTTCCTGCTGCAGCCTCTTGTCCGAATCCCACAGGGCAGCGGCTTGGAGACTTTGACAGCTCTTCATGTTGCCGCCATCTACAGCAGGATTCCATCTCCTTCAGGAAACTTCGCCCTGGCTCTGCAGCCTCCGCCTGGATGAGACCATCCAGCACCATTGCCTTTAAGTCAGCAGATTCAGCAGATGGTGGTGGCCACCGCGTCTTCCCAGGGCCTCACAGCAGCTCTCCGCCTTCAGCTGCATCCCCGGGCCTGGCCGGGCCAAGCTGAGCTGACAGGGATGCCGCAGCCCCCTGGAGTCCAGTCCCCCCAGGACCCAGAGAGTGCTTTCCAACATCGTAACCCGATCGCACTCCACTTGTAAATGCGCCCTTGGCTACCGTCTTACAAAACAAGAGTTGTCTTTGTGGTCACCATCTGCCTTCCAGCTCTCTGGAGCCTGCGGAGACCCCAGCGAAGGCAGTGAGCGTGGTCCTGGCCCCACCTCAGCCCTCCTGTGGTGCAGGATGAGCCCTCCCTGACCTATTTGGCTTGCAGATGTGATTTCAGTGTCTATGTGAATTGGGCATCTGTGTTTACAGTTCTGAAAGTTTCATGGAAAGGTTTCTGGTCTCCCATGTGGTACCAGGAGATCTGTCCGTGTGGGCCCTGAAGCCAGGGCAGCCGCTGGTTGAAGCTGAGGCCACTTAGGGCAGGACTTTCCCAGCCTCCTGGGGATCTGGGTCCCGGTTTGGCCTCAGAGGCATTTGGGCAGAGCCTCCCGTGTTCTAGAACACATGCTGCCACAGAGACGCGTCATCAAAAGAGCCTGGGCAGACGCGATCCCAGAGGGTGAGAAGCCACAGTCCCCCCATCCTCAGCCCACCCCTGTGGCGAGTGCTTAGGTGGGTGATCGGGCCGTGTGGAGTCGTGTTCATCATGGAGGATGTGGAAGCACCTTCCCATTCATCTCCCAGGGTGGCAGATTGCTAACACCTTCCCATTCATCTCCTAGGGTAGCAGATTTGCTAAAACTCTGGAGAGCTGCATTAACACTTGAAACCACCACAGCAAGAGCTGGGAGTCGATGCAGTAGGAGCCTGTGAAGGGCTGGGCTTTCTGTTTTTTGTTGCCTGAACTTGATCGCTGGTAGGTTGTACATCTACATTTGGTGATGGTGGATAAGATTGGGGATTGAAGGATCCATTTTTTTCCAGGTTAAATGTTTGGGCATTTGGATGATCGACAGTGTGTTCAGTTATGCTTTCTCCAGGTTCATGTCCCCACTGGCCCCATCTCCTGCACCCATCCATAGCTATAAGCTCCCCTGACCCCATCAAGCTACCTGGAAAAGTGCATACCCTGGTCCCGAGGGGAATTGGATGAATGAGCCTGGATGAACGGAGGCAGCTCCTGCACCATGGGAGGAGGGACTCGGGGCATGGGAGGAGGGACTCTGGGCATGGGAGGAGGGACTTGGGGCACGGGAGGAGGGACTTGGGGCACGGGAGGAGGGAGGAGGGGTACAGAAGGAGGGACTCGGCACGGGAGGAGGGACTCGGGGCACGGGAGGAGGGACTTGGGGCACGGGAGGAGGGACTCAGGGCATGGGAGGAGGGAGGAGGGGCACAGAAATAGGGACTCAGAGCACAGGAGGAGGGACTCGGGGCACGGGAGGAGGGACTTGGGGCACAGGAGGAGGGACTCAGGGCATGGGAGGAGGGACTTGGGGCATGGGAGGAGGGACTCTGGGCATGGGAGGAGGGACTTGGGGCACGGGAGGAGGGAGGAAGGGTACAGAAGGAGGGACTCGGCACGGGAGGAGGGACTCGGGGCACGGGAGGAGGGACTTGGGGCACGGGAGGAGGGACTCAGGGCATGGGAGGAGGGAGGAGGGGCACAGAAATAGGGACTCAGAGCACAGGAGGAGGGACTCGGGGAATGGGAGGAGGGAGGAGGAGCACGGAAGGAGGGACTCGGGGCATGGGAGGAGGGGCACATCTGCTCATGGAGGGAAACACAGCAGAGCCCTCTTCCTGGAGATGAAATCCATGGTGTTCACCACAGGAGAGACGCACAAGGTCACCAACCCATCTTCTTCCTGGAGACTGTGGAAATTTAGAAACGGACTTGAAACCGTTTTCTGGTATCACGTAGCTCATCAGTAGCAGGCCTGAACTTGTGCTTTTCTGTATGCCAGCATTTGTAAACTTTGAGTAATATCTAAACCCCATTAAAAGGGAAAAATTGTATGGACCTCCTTTGTTGACTTAAGGCATTATTATCATTAATGTAATTGTTTAAATCACTGAAATGAAACAAGGTGTGGAATTTTATGCTGGATTTTAATTAACAAGAATGTTTCATGGATGCCCAAACTTCTGATTTTCCATTTTATCTCAAAACAGCTCTCTTTGCTTGCTATACAGTGAGATTTTAAAGTAGAGGCCAATTCTACTTGGTTGTTGCACTTTCACCCTTAATGTTTCTTCAAATCCTTTCAAAATCTGAAATGTCATCAGAGTACATCTTCATCGGTTCAATTGAAACCTTTTTTTTTCCAGTGGTGTCTTTCTTGCCTTAATTGGTTGGGACTCTTGTCTCTGGAATTGTTCCCAGAATTTTATATTAAAGTAGCTTTTGTTACAGTGGGACTCACATAGTGTGGTATGATTGGTTTACAAAGAAGACATTTAGGTTCTTGTCGATGTTATCAGAAGAGGACAAATGGTTTCGTATTTATTATTCCATGCTTCAGGGGCATTGGTGGGAGTGTGGAACGGAAAATTTAAACATCAGAAACTCCATTAGGGGACGTTGATGCACTGAATGGAAGTCACACCAGCAAATTCTTCTGCGGTGAGGGCGGAAGTCACACCAGCAAATCCTGCTGTGGGGGCGGGCAGGTGATTTTACTGATGCGCAGCAAATACTGCTGTGAGGGCGGGCAGGTGATTTTACTGATGCGCATAGCCCACATGCTGCAGAGGTGCACCCTGACATCTGTGTTTGGTCGGCCCTCTGACTCGTGAAAATGTCTTCTGGCAATTAGTATTTCAGTTTTGGTACCTTTGGTAACTTTTACAAAGAGTGCATGTTTAAGGGTCAAATGTAATCACTTATTAGTAAATGAAATTTTTTATTTTAAACACACAGATGGGTGTTATGCACACAGTTTGCAGTGATTTTTGATGAAGGGAAGGTTCATTCCCTCCCACAAACACCCTTCTGGCTTAATCCCTCCTGTAATACAGGGTTTCTCTACATTATACTCATCTGTCTTGGCTTAAGCAGTAACACCTGTGCCTGTTGAAGCGCCTTCTTCCTAAGTGTCTGGCTTTGTGTACTTTCATTTGCATACAGAGATCTGTAACTGTTAAGGAGCCCCTGCCCTCTCACACTGTGGATACTGTCAGTGCCTACCTTTCACTGAGATCAGCGGGAAAAACCTCTGGAGGTTGGGTGCTGCCCCTGGCATCTTGCATTAATAGTTTACAGCCCGCGGTCCCCACATCCCGGCTGCTTCTGCCCTGTGTTGTGCTCCTGAGAGATGTGTTGGTGTCTGGCCGAAAGGTCCTTTTGGTTTCCAGGGTACCATAAATCCTCAAAATTAATGGGCAATGCAGGCCCTTACCAGCTCCTCCTCCTGTGTGGTGACCTCCAAATGTGGCCACCTGGGTGACAGCAGACAAATAGACATGTGTGCCAAGTACCTTGAGCGAGCCCAGCAGGTTGTGATACAGTTGGTGCACGCAAATCATGAGTGTGTGAGGGACATGGATGACCAGCGATGAGACAGAGGATGCGCGGGATGCTTCAAGCAGAGTTTAAAGTTCTGTCCCTGAAAATGGTCAAGGTTCTCAACAGGAAGTAACCATCCAAACAGTGGCATTTTCAAGCCAAGGACTCAAGTGAAAAGGATTCCTTCAGTGTGATCACGCTTTCCGGAGCATAGTGGCTCTCATATGCCAAAGGGTTTAAAATACTAATGACGTTATTACGTAATTCTGTAAAAAAGTCATTAACATCACAAACTGGCCGTAGTTGTTTGCTGCTACTGTGTGCCTCTCTGAGACATATGTGTGCGTGAAGACACCTGAGCAGGTGGGCTCTAGTTGGGGTTTCCATAAACTCTCACCCTGAGACTCTTCTGCAATTGAACACAAACCCACACCTTTCTTTCCTGACCACTTAAAGTTCTTTTGTCCTTCTGTTTTGATGACTTTAGTTTTATCTTGACTTTTGAACTTCAAATTAAATTTCTGACAGTAAAGCTGGATAATTTTAAAATATCATTTTTTGGGATCCCGGAGGCTATTTAAAGTCTTTGGTTCCATGTAATTAATAAAAAATTGAAAGGGCATTCCATGGCAAAACTCTGCACTTTAAACTGGCAGCCACAAAGGGTGAGGGCAATCTCTCCTTTGGAAGAGTATATTATACTTTGGAATGTTAAGTCCATGCTATTTCCCATTTTGTTTATAGGGATGATATTATGTGCATGATTGCTCTGTTCTGAAGCAAATACTGGCCCTGTGGATTATATCAAATAGATACATTCACTAATAGAAGTGCCTGACCCTGCATGCTGCTTTTGCCTCTGATCACTTTTTTTGAATGAGTTACAAAAATAATTCTTCAAAATAGTTCTTCAAATTCTGTTGAATAAGAGTTCTGCATGAGGTGTGTCTTTTGAACTCTTGTTGGACGTTAGCTCAGGAGGTGGGTCTTCAGGGCCCCTCATGTGTTAATAGGAGCCTTAATGTTCTCCAGGCATCATGTCATGATGAACATTAATGTACTGTGGGATACTGACGGAGTGTGCCATTTATCAATAGGCTGTAAGACAGTGGTCCCCAACCTTTTTGGCACCAGGGACCAGCTTCCTGGAAGACAGTTTTTCCATGGACCATGGTTGGGGGTGTGGTTTTGGAAAGATCCAAGTGCAATATGTTTATTGTGCACTTTTTTCCAACTCATTTGCCACTCTAAAGCCCACTGATAGGGTTTTCATATGTGTCTGCAAGCAATTGATTGATTGTGATCTCTGTGCAGTCAGACCTCTCTGTTCATGTTAATCTGTGTTTGCAGCTGCTCCCCAGCACTCCCATCACTGCCTCAGCTCCACCTTGGATCATGAGGCATTAGATTCTCGTACAGAGTGTGCAGCTTCTGTCCCTCCTGTGCGCAGTTCACAATGGGGTTTGCACTCCTGTAAAATCTAACACCACCGCTGATCTGACAGGCAGCAGAACTCAGGCGGGAATGCTCGCACACCTGCTGCTCACCTCCTGCTGTGTGGCCTGGTTCTTGTACTGGTTCATGGCCCGGGGGTTGGGGACTCCTGCTGTAAGAATAGAATGGGGCTGGAAAAATTGTTTTTGCAGAAGACAGATTTATGCATTTCTTTCCTTCATGGCGACTTTCTGAGGAGAGAAGAGGGGAGTGGGGAGGAGAACAGTCGCATTCATGGGATACTTTGCAAATTCCATGCTGTTTTACCTGTTTTACACCAAAAAGTGGGTGAGGTTGTGTGGCTTACCCAGGACATGGTGGAGGGGTCTTCAGCCCAGGGTGGTGATGCAGTGGCCCCATCCTCCCTGGTCCTGGCCTCCTCCACATCCTGACCCCCGGGGCTGTTCACGGAGGGGAGTTGGAGTCATGAGGCTGTGCTGAGCTGCGTTGCCCAGGTGCCTGCACATGTATGCCCACCAGGGTGGACCTGTAGTGGGTCCTGCCCACCATTTCTCTCCTGGCTGTGGCTCTCAGGGTGCTCTGGTGAGACAATGTAACTGGCACCTGCCTTAGGGCTAGTGATATGGTTTGGCTGTGTCTGTACCCAAATCCCATCTTAAATTGTAGCTCCCACAATTCCCATGTATTGTGGGAGAGACCCAGTGGGAGGCACTTGAATCATGGGAGTGGGTCTTTCTCGTGCTGTTCTCATGGTAGTGAATAAGTCTTACAAGATCTGATGGTTCTATAAGGGGGAGTTTCTCTGCACAAACTCTCTCTTACCTGCTGCCATGTAAGACATCCCTTGGTCTTTCACCATGATTGTGAGGCCTCCCCAGCCATGTGGAACTGTGAGTCAATTAAATCACTTTCCTGTATAAATTACCCAGTCTCGGGTATGTCTTTATCAACAGCATGAAAACAGACTAATACAGTAAATTGGTACCGGTAGAGTGGGGCACTGCTGTAGATAACCAAAAATGTGGAAGCAACTTTGGACCTGGGTAACAGGCAGGGGTTGGAACAGTTTGGAGGGCTCAGCAGAAGACAGGAAAATGTGGGAAAGTTTGGCACTTCCTAGAGGCTTGTTGAATGGCTTTGCCTAAAATGCTGACAGCAATATGGACAATAAAGTCCAGGCTGAGGTGGTCTCAGATGGAAATGAGGAACTTGTTGGGAACCAGAGCAAAAGTGACTCTTGTTATGTTTTAGCAAATAGACTGGCAGCATTTTGCCCCTGTCCTAGACATTTGTGGAACTTTGAACTTGAGCAAGATGATTTAGGGTATGTGGCGGAAGAAATTTCTAAGCAGCAAAGCATTCAAAAGGTGACTTGGGTGCTTGGTTTTGTAGGGGAAGCAGAGCATAAAAGTTCAGAAAATTTGCAGCCTGACAGTGTGATAGAAAATAAAATCCCAATTTCTGACTAGAAATTCAAGCCAGCTGTGGAAATTTGCCTAAGTAACAAGGAGCCAAATGTGAATCCCTGAGACAATAGGGAAAATGTCTCCAGGGCATGTCAGAGGTCTTCACAGCAGCCCCTCCCATCACAGGCCCTGAGGCCCAGGAGGAAAAAGTGGTTTTGTGGGTTGGGCCCAGGGTCCCCATGCTGTGTGCAGCCTAGGGACTTGATGCCCTGCGTCCCAGCTGCTCCAGTTGTGGCTGAAATGAGTCAATGTGGAGCTCAGGCTGTGGCTTCAGAGGGGGGCAAGCCCCAAGCCTTGGCAGCTTCCACATAGTGTTGAGCCTGCAGGTGCACAGAAGTCAAGTACTGGGGTTTGGGAACCTCTGCATAGATTTCAGAAGATGTATGGAAATGCCTGGATGCCCAGGCAGAAGTTGGCTCCAGGGGTGGGGCCCTCATGGAGAACCTCTGCTAGGGCAGTGCAGAAGGGAAATGTGGAGTTGGAACCTGCACACAGAGTCCCTACTGGGGCACTGTCTAGTGGAGCTGTGAGAAGAGGGCCACGGTCCTCCAGACCCCAAAATGGTAGATCTACCAACAACTGGCACTGTGTGCCTGGAAAAGTCTCAGACACTCAATGCCAGCCCGTGAAGGCAGCTGGGAGGGAGGCTTTACTCTGCAAAGCCACAGGGGCAGAGTTGCCCAAGACCATGAGAACCCACCTCTTGCATCACCATGACCCAGATGTTTGACATGGAGTCAAAGGAGATCATTTTGGAGCTTTAAGATTTGACTGCCCTGCTAGATTTCAGACTTGCGTGGGGCCTGTAGCCTCTTTGTTTTGGCCAAGTTCTCCCATTTGGAATGGCTGTATTTAACAAATACCTATGCCTCCATTATGTCTAGGAAACAAGTAACTTGTTTTTGATTTTACAGGCTCATAGGTGGAAGGGACTTGCCTTGTCTCAGATGAGACATTGGACTGTGGGCTTTTGAGTTAATGCTGAAATGAGTTAAGACTTTGGGGGGCTGTTGGGAAGATATGATTGGTTTTAAAATGTGAGGACGTGAGATTTGGGAGAGGCCAGGGGCATAATGATATGGTTTGGCTGTGTCCCCACTGAAATCTGATCTTGAATTGCAGCTCCCATAATTCCCATATGTTGTGGGAGGGACCCGTTGGAAGGTAATCGAATCATAGGGGTGGGTCTTTCCCTTGCTGTTCTCCTGATAGTGACTAAACCTCACAAGATCTGATGGTTTTATAAGGGGGAGTTTCCCCATACAAGCTCTCTTTGCCTGCTGTCATCCATGTGAGATGTGACTTTGCTCCTCTTTGCCTTCCACCATGATTGTGAGGCCCCCCCAGCCATGTGGAATTGTGAGTCCATTAAACCTCTTTCCTGCATAAATTACCCAGTCTCAGGTATGTCTTTATTAGCAGCATGAAAAAGGACTAATACAGCTAGGGGGTCCCCATCCACCTGAACCCCCATGAACCTCTTGTGGGTCTACTGACTTTGGCCTTCTTGGAGTCTTTCTGTTTCATCTGTGCTGTTTCTTAGGAACCCCGCCCCACCTGTGGGCTGTGCTGTGAGTTTGAATGTGGAGTCTTCTCCATCTTTGTCTGTGCTATTTCTTAGGAACCCTGCTCCACCCGTGAGGTGTGAGTTTGAGTTCGGAGTTGTTTTTGTCTTTCGTCTGTACCATTTCTTGGGAGCCCCCCACCTGTGGGCTGTGAGTGTGAGTTTGGCTGCAGTTTCTGAGGATGCAGCTTTTCCTTCCTGTGTAATTAGTGTGGCTCTTTGTCCCACCCTTCCTTCCCTCCCCTCCTCTGTTCCTGTCTTTGCTTTCATCAAACATTTACTGAACAGACACCATCTATGAAGGTGGGTCTTGGCTGCCACTGCTGCAGAGGCGTGTTGCACAGCAGAACCGTATTCCCTACCCCGGTCCTCCTGCCAACCCCAGTCACCCCCACCCTGGGGTCCGCAGCCCCTTCTGCAGGCTGCTGGAGGGAGCATCCTACGTGTGGACACCTGACCTTGCTGTTCTCTGCTCTAGGGGGCAGCCTATGAGCCTTCCCCACTCTGGGGGCTCTCCCACCCCTTCCATGCACACAGGGCCAGGCCTGGCAGGTGCAGCCCCTGTCCTAACCCAGCACTTCTCACCCCGCACCCTGCCTCACCCTGCAGGGAGCTCTTCCCCTCCACAGCTCTGAGAGACAGGAGTGCGTGCAGATGCACTGTCAATAAATACTTATTAATAACAAATTCACAGATGACAGGACTGGGAGCGGGGTCTTCTCCCCATCCCATTAAAGTCCCCTTGATCGTAACAGCCAACCAGCCTTTTCTGGTAAGAATTTTGTCAAGTATTTTATATATAATATCTCAGCTATTACTAATACCAGTGCTGCATGGAAGGAATTATCATTATCTTCAATGTATTGATTAAAACACCTCTTTGACAAATGTGCCTGCCTGAGCCTATAACCAGAAAGCAACTGAGTTGGATGTTGACCCTGGACCCTGGACCCTGGACCCTGGAGTGTGCTGGACTCCAAAGCCCAGGAGTTTTGCACACTTTCTTTGGAAACGTGGTGATATCAAGGCAGAGAACCAAGAGTGGGGTTTTCAGCATAACTGGATGAAGACTGGGCAGCTTGACTCAGGGCATTCGCAATAGAGGGGGCCTGTGGGGAGCAGCTCACTGTGGGGAGAGGACAGGGGGCTGAAGTCATCCTCGGATGCAGGCGTGTGGTCACCATGAGTCACTGGGACCTGCGGTTCCCCCTTCAGAACCATTGCTGTGTTTCTGTGGAAAAGGAGCTTAAGTCCCTAGTGGGTCCAGGGCCCTCCTGCACCAAGAAGGAGGTGCCTGGGGAAGCCTCTGGGCAGCAGGCGGGGCTTGCAGGCCCCTTTAGGAAAACTCATGCCCTGGGGAGCGAATGTCAAGAGCTGAGGGGACAGCCTCCAACCATTATGTAAAAAAGCCATTGTCAAGGTCAAGGGTTGTCCTGAGGCCAATAGCTTTTATTTGCTTTTGTGTCAGGTTTGTTCAGGTTTGTATAATCATATGATTTGTATGCAGTAAAATGCGGTTTCTAAGTGCACAGCTGGAGGAGTCAGGAGGAGGTGTATAGTCCCGGAGCCAGGTCCAGGACCTGCCGTGTCACACCTGGAAAACCCACAGCTGGCATCAGGACTGGCTGTGTTACACCCAGAAAACCCGGAGCTAGCGCCAGGACTGGCTGTGTCACATCTGGACCACACAGAGCTCTTCCTTGCCCTCATGGATCTGGTTCTGTGCTGTGCTTGCTGTGTCTGTGTTGTAGCCACGGGCCCTGTGCTGTGTGGACTGTGGGGGAGGCTTCTGCCTGCACCCTGCCCTTGAGCACCCTCCGTGCAGGGCCGTACCAGCAGCCCGTCCCTTGGTATTACCAGGTAGTGTCCCTGGAATGGGTGTAAGAAAGTCAGCTCTCCAGCTGCGGACATTTGGATTGTTCCACTTTTCAGCTGTCGTGCGTAAAGCTGTGATAAACCACCGATGCCGGTTTCCTGTGAACTCCATTTTCATTCCTCTTGGGTCCATGACAAAGCCTGTGATTGCTGAGTCCCGGGAAAATTGTGTGTGCATTTCCACCCCCAAGCCGAGCCAGCCAGTTGCCTGCCTCCTCCCTAGCACTCTGCATTGCTGGGGTTTCCTCCCCAGCCTGTGGGTTCGTGGTGGTGTCCAAGTGGGGTCCCCTTTTCTTATGCGTGATGATGCTGGCTGTCTCTTCCTGCACTTACTGGCCATCCCTTGCTCTTCTTTGGTGAAGACCGATACATTTTACATTTAACTATTTTTCCATAACACATGGAGATTTTATTAACACACACGCACCTAATTGCTACCAGATTCATGATGAAACAGGAGCATCCCCTGACCCCGCGTGCTTGATGTGTGACAGGGCTGTGGGGGAGTCCCCTGACCCCCCTCTCAGGACGTGTGACAGGGCTGTGGGGGAGTCCCCTGACCCCCCTCTCAGGACGTGTGACAGGGCTGTGGGGGAGTCCCCTGACCCCCCTCTCAGGACGTGTGACAGGGCTGTGGGGGAGTCCCCTGACCCCCCTCTCAGGACGTGTGACAGGGCTGTGGGGGAGTCCCCTGACCCCCCTCTCAGGACGTGTGACAGGGCTGTGGGGGAGTCCCCTGACCCCCGTCTCAGGACATGTGACAGGGCTGTGGGAGAGTCCCCTGACCCCGCGTGCAGGACGTGTGACAGGGCTGTGGGGGAGTCCCCTGACCCCGCGTGCAGGACGTGTGACAGGGCTGTGGGGGAGTCCCCTGACCCCCCTCTCAGGACGTGTGACAGGGCTGTGGGAGAGTCCCCTGACCCCGCGTGCAGGATGTGTGACAGGGATGTGGGAGAGTCCCCTGACCCCCCTCTCAGGACGTGTGACAGGGCTGTAGGGGAGTCCCCTGACCCCCCTCTCAGGACGTGTGACAGGGCTGTGGGAGAGTCCCCTGACCCCGCGTGCAGGACGTGTGACAGGGCTGTGGGGGAGTCCCCTGACCCCGCATGCAGGACGTGTGACAGGGCTGTGGGGGAGTCCCCTGACCCCCCTCTCAGGACGTGTGACAGGGCTGTGGGAGAGTCCCCTGACCCCGCGTGCAGGATGTGTGACAGGGATGTGGGAGAGTCCCCTGACCCCCCTCTCAGGACGTGTGACAGGGCTGTAGGGGAGTCCACTGACCCCCCTCTCAGGACGTGTGACAGGGATGTGGGAGAGTCCCCTGAACCCCTCCCTCAGGACGTATGACAGGGCCATGGGGGAGTCCCCTGACCCCCCCTCGCAGGACGTGTGACAGGACTGTGGGAGAGTCCCCTAACCCCACGTGCAGGACGTGTGACAGGGCCGTGGGGGAGTCCCCTGACCCCCCTCTCAGGACGTGTGACAGGGCTGTGGGGGAGTCCCCTGACCCTGCATGCAGGACGTGTGACGGGTGTGGCTCATCTGTTTGGCTGCTGCGTGCTCAAAGAGCCTTAGGGAAGGGAGAGCACACAGATAGGCAGGTGCAGGAGCCGGGGTGAGTGCTTTTGGGCTCTGGCCCTGCAGTAGCATCCAGGGGTGGGGTGTCTGTGACTCCCAAAGCCGCGGTGGGTGTGCTACAGTGCTCTTTTAGCAGTTGCCACCCACAGATGGCTTAAGTATTAACCAGCTCAGTGCCCTGTTGATACCCAGGTTCTTATCTGGCGTCCAGGAAGAATCAGGTCACAGGGACAAATTGAAGGATGGCAAATGTGGGGGATTTTACTGCTGGATGGAGGTGGCTCTCAGTGGGATGGATGGGGAGCTGGAGAGGGGATGGAGTGGGAAGGGATCTTCCCCTGGAGTTTGGCCGTCCCGCAGCCAATCTCCTTTCTGACTGTCCCCAGCCGAACTCCTCTTGACATTCACACGCTCCTTCTCTTCTCTCCTTCCCTGACACGCCACTCTTCTGTTCCTCCGCTCTTCCACTAGTGGAGCCTGGGGCTTGGCATTTACATGGGTACAGGATAGGCAGGCATGGGAGGCCAAAAGGCAACATTTGGGCACAAAAACAGGAATGCCTGTTCCCATTGAGGGCCACAGGTTTCCAGGCTTGAGGGCGGGGCCTTTGCCGGGGAACTACCCTCTTCTACCCAGAATTTTTCTGCCACCTGCCCATATCAGTGATGCTTTTCTCAGGGAAAACTGTAGTTGCAATGGATTTAATGTTCAGCTGTGCTGTCCCACCACATCCCCGAGATGGCTGGGTTTGGCCACACCAGGAGCTTGAGCCTGGCTGCCTTGCATGCTCTCCTAAAATGTCTGCCCCAAGACACAGCTGCCTTGTCTGCTGCCCTCATTGTGCCTGGACTATGCCTGTGTCCTGGGTACTCTGTAAACATTTGCTGAATGAGGGACTAAATGAGCAGTGAATCACATGACAAGCCCTCTGCTGATGCCCTGTGGGCACTTGCCTGGTATAATTCTGGTGAGTTGGGAGCTGTGGGGAGGCCCAGTGCTGCCAGGTTTAGGCACCTTTCTGACTTCATGCTCTGGCCGGCCACTGCCTCTCATATTTAGGGTCTCACTGCCACGTGAAGCAGCTGAGAGCTGGTTTCCCCCATGAAATACGTCTGCTGCTGAGCCTCGGGGATGTGGAGTTTCTCATCTATCTTTTCCTCTGCGCCTCAGGCCACCATGCTCTGTGTTTTTAAGCAGGAAGGGATTTTAGCCCCACCCTTTATTATTTTCTGTTACATTTTCCCAGTTAAATGTTACATATAGTAGAAATCTGTAGACTTGAAGTATTCAATTCTGTGAGTTTTGGCAAATGCACCCAGCATGCAGCCCCTGCCTGTGCTGTGACTTAGAACATTTACATCACCCAGAAAGTTCCCATGAAACCACATCCCCGCCCCGGAAATGACTTCTCCCATTCCTTTGCACGATATGCTTGGTTTCTCCAGGTCTAAAGCTTGCTGTTCTGGATTTCCGCAGGGCATTCTTTAATTTCTGCCTCCAGCCTCCATCTGTCCACTTGCTGTGTGTGGACGGTTTGTCTCTGTTTTGAGGGGAGTTCCATTGAGTGGATGCGCCATGTTTCAAACCCACTTTCCTGTTGACGGGCTTTGTTCTTTCTTTTTTTCTTTCTTCAGTTTTTGGCGCCTATGAATAAAGTCTCTCTAAACATTCTTGTACAATCCTTTTTACAGATCGTGTTTTGTTTCTCTCGGGCTAGTGTCCAGGAGTGGAGTTTCTGCGCTGTTGATATTGAGGTGTGTGTCTATGAGGAGCTGCAGGGTCTGGTTTCACAGGAGCGAGTGAGTGTGTGGGTGGCTCTGCAGCCTTTTGCCAGTGTGTTCTTGGCCTGCAGCATTGGCCTTTTGAGTTGGTGTTTGTGGAGAGTTCCATTTCCAGTGGTCTGTCCTGGAGGTGGCTCCCTCCTCCTGACAAGGGAGCTTTGTGATTGGATTTTTGGTGTTTGAGACCCAGCTCTTCCCCTTCACTGCTGCTTGGACCCAGAGCAAACCCCTCAGCTCTAGATTCTGTTTCCTCTGTTTGCGGTGGGGATGGTAAGTGCACTTGCCCCAAGGGTCAGAAGGGCCACTGCGAGGGTCAGAAGGGCCCGCTGCCTGAGCCCTGACTCCAGTGCCGGGCGCGTGGGCGTCGTGTTGCCACCGTGGGAACAGTCATCACACTCTGCCCGTTTCCCTCAGGGCCCAGCCCAGCACCCACAGCGTCTCATCTTCTCATCTGTGCATTTGAGAGTTATCCATGCACCAGGTAGGCAGAGACAGAATGCTGGGCTTGGCAAAGGCTGAGACGCAGAGAGACGGGAGGGCCCTCCCCACACTCCCATCCAGAGAGGGCGCCCAGATGCTGCCGGATGAGAGCGTCTCCCTTTCCTGGCCTGCAGGCTGGCTGCTACTCTGCAGGTGCATGGGCTGAAACAGTTGCTATTTATTTGAATATTTCCAATCCTGCTCCTTCTTCAACTTTCATCCGGTGGGAACTGGCCGCACTGCAGTGTAATTCTTCATTTCAAAGATGGATGAATCACATTAATTGCACAGAAAACCATCTCCAAACCTAAAACAACCAAATGTGGGTGCCAGGAGAGACTTCGTTTGCTTCAGTGGCAGCTGGTCTGTTTTTCCTCTGAAGAGATTAAGCAAAGGAACCCTTAGTAACTGTGTGTGATACAAAGATGGTCTGTCAGCCTTTGGGAATACTAGTTTACTAAAAAGAAATATTTCTTTCTTTCAATCAACAGAACTGTACTTGCTGAAGATAAACGTGCTTAAGAACATGCAGCTAACGCTATGAAATTAGCGTTACTCACACTCAGTTGGAATAGAAGTGCCTTCAACCTTTTAGCAAAGGCAAGAGCAAATTATAGCAAAAAACTCATTTCAGAAGTCATCTTTGTGCAGAATAGGCCGGGCCCCGAGGTCAAGGCATCCATTTGGCACTCTATTTCCATAATGCGATTCCGCAGCGTACGGGCGTCAGAGGAAAGCACATCTGCTGTCATATTAGTCTTATAAATGCCGATGTTAACGCTCCTTTACAGACAAAGCCATCTTGGGGGTGTGGCCACAGGAGTTTCCTCTGCCTGGAAGTCCTTGATTTAAGAGGCCGCTGGGTGGAACCTTCGGCCGTGCTGCCCTGTGCAGCGCATCCTCTGGCAGCCTCCCTGTAGTGGCCCTGCTCAGTGTTACCTTCGGTGTTCTAGAGTGGCCAGGTGGCCCCAGATTGCAGGAGGGATGCCCGGAAGCTGTCAGGTCGGGGAGTCTTAGCAGCCCTATGTGGCTGCTTGGACCCTGGGTGCTGAATCACAGCCTGGAGAACTCTGCCTGTCAGGACTATGCATGCCTTTTGATTTGTTTGCTTAATATATATATTTTTTCCTGCACTTAAAGATAATGCAAGCTGTATAAAAAACAGAAATAAAAACCAAAAGGGAGATGCCCATGAAGCTGAATCAGAGGGTGACTAGATGCTGGGGCTGTCTTGGGGCACTCTGGGGATCAGCGTGGTGGAGATCAGCTCCGGGAACCAGCGTGGTGGGGACCAGCTCCGGGGACCAGCGTGGTGGGGACCAGCTCTAGGGACCAGTGTTGGGGGGACCAGCTCCAGGGACCAGCACAGGGGAGACCAGCTCTGGGGACCAGCATGGGGGGACCAGCTCCGGGTACCAGCTCATGGGAGACCAGCTCTGGGGACCAGCATTGGGGGGATCAGCTCCAGGGACCAGCATTGGGGGGACCAGCTTCGGGGACCAGTGTTGGGGGGACCAGCTCTGGGGACCAGCATTGGGGAGGCCAGCTCTGGGGTCCAGCCTGGGGGTGTCCAGCTCCAGGGACCAGCGTTGGGGGGACCAGCTCCGGGGACCAGCGTTGGGGGGACCAGCTCCGGGGACCAGCGTTGGGGGGATCAGCTCTGGGGACCAGCACTGGGGAGGCCAGCTCCGGGGTCCAGCCTGGGGGTGTCCAGCTCCGGGGACCAGCGTTGGGGGTCCAGCTCTGGGGACCAGCACGGGGTGGGCAGGTGAGACTCCACGGGGACCTCTTAGAGCTGCTGGGGCTCGGGGCAAGCCTCCCTCTGTGCCTGCAGTGCTCAGCCAGAGGTGCTCATCCCCGGAAGGTGTGGCCCTGCGAGGGGGTCTTCCGCACACAGCCAGCGCCCAGGAGGGCTGATGGCAGAGGGTGTCTGTGGCGTGACTCACAGAACCTCATCCCCGGGGCCACGACGGACGCTGAGTGCGCTACGTCCAGCTGTGTGAGGTTCATCTCTCCCTTTTAGAAAATTACATCCATGGGTTTATATTCCTTTTCTCAATAAGTACTATATCTTGAGCATGTCACGTTATCTGTTTTATAAATATGATCTTTAATGTGGTGTAATTTAATTATTCACCTACGGTTGGAAATTCCTTTGTTTCTCAATGTCTGATTCTTAGTAAGCACATCTTTGAAAACGAACGGTTTTCCGCATATGAATCATTTCCTTAGAACATTCCCCTAGAAGTGAAATTCCTAGGTCACTTGGTGTGTGCATTTTTGAGAGTTGCTGAATTTTCCTTCCGAGAACTTGCATAAAGTTCCTCTCTCAAGCGTGAGGTGCTTGTTGCGTCACAAGGTCATCAATGTGGATGTTTATTAGTGAAGAATTTTAATTGTGTAGGAAAATATGCCTCCTCGTTTTGGTTTTCATTTCTTATGCTAAGTTTATGTTTTCTTTTATGAATTTTATTGGTAAAATTGTTACAAATGTTAATCAAATAAAACATAAGGATATATTTTATTCTCATGTATTTAAAAATAGAAGGTTAAATCTTCATGAAGTGAAATTAATCTTTTTTTTTTTTGCTTTCCTTTGCTTGTTTAGGAAGTCTCTCTTATTATAGGATCTGATAACTATTCACCTAATTTTTTCCTTCCTTTTTTTCACCTAAATTTTTCCTACCAAAAAAAGGTTTTACTTGAATCCATCTAAGCCATTGGAGATCCATGTTGCTGTCAGGGTCACTTGGCCGTGTTATCCTTGTCCACACTGTGGGCCCGTGTTTCTTCCCTGCGCAGTCACATACCTGGTCAAGTTTGTTCCTAGGTATCTGAAAATTTTTCGTTATGACCGAGTGAGATTATTTTTTCTCATATTTCCCAAATGACAATTGCTGCTACATTTTTTACTTTTTTTCTTATAATGGGCTGCTCTACCAAAACTCTTTCATTGTGATAGTTCGTTTGATTCTTTAGAATTCAAAAACAGTTGTGTGTAAGGGTGTTTTAAAAATTGTTAATTTTGTGTGGTATTTAGTAAACTCTGAATCTTCAGATGAGCATCTTTGGAAGTGGAAGTTTTTTTGTATTCCACTTTTGCATGTTGCTTTCTTTCATTTATTCTGGTTCTCCCAGCCTTTATTGATTGATTGATTTTTAAAAATTTTTTTGAGACAGGAGTCTCGCTCTGTCACCCAGGCTGGAGTGCAGTGGTGCAATCTTGGTTCACTGCAAGCTCCGCCTCCTGGGTTTATGGCATTCTCCTGCTTCAGCCTCCTGAGTAGCTGGGACTACAGGTGCCCACCACCACGCCCAGCTAATTTATTGTATTTTTAGTAGAGACGGGGTTTCACCGTGTTGGCCAGGATGGTCTCAGTCTCCTGACCTCGTGATCCACCCGCCTCGGCCTCCCAAAGTGCTGGGATTACAGGCGTGAGCCACTGCGCCCAGCCCTCCCAGCCTTTATTTATTTTTTCTTTTTATTTTTGAGATGGAGTCTCGCTCTGTCACCCAGGCTGGAGTGCAGTGGTACAATCTCGGCTCACTGCAACCTCTGCCTCCCAGGTTCAAGCAATTCTCCTGCCTCAGCCTCTCGAGTAACTGGGACTACAGGTGTGTCACCATACCTAGCTAATTTTTGTATTTTTAATAGAGATGGGGTTTTGCCGTGTCGGCCAGGCTGCTCTCAAACTCCTGACCTCAGGTGATCGGTGTGCCTCGGCCTCCCTAAGTGTTGAGATTACAGGCATGAGCCACTGCGCTGGCCTCTCCCAGCCTTTAAAAGGCAGTTGTCCTTATGCCAAATCCCCAGTCAGTCACCGCCGTGCACCAGTTTCTCCTGCAGTGTTGATCACCTCGTTCCCATCGTCTGTAGCTAAGCTCCTGTTCACGGTGGCTTTCGTGTGACTGAGGTGACTTCCCGGGACAGTTCTGCCCTCGGTGTTTCTGACTGGGCCTCCTGCCCGCTGAGACCACACTGTCCTCTTCACAGACTTCCTTCTCAGTCTGTCTGCCGCCCAGTCAGGTCGGGGACTTCTGGAGTGCTGTTATCTTGCTTTTTATGGTTGTCATTTTCTTAAATTTGAGAACACAAATCAGATGCTTTTTAGAATTTACATGGGTTTCCAACTGTAATTTTTAAAACCTATTTATTTTCCTGTACCTTCAATGTAGGTTTGCCTTTTCCGTGCTACAGAATCATTTTGTGGCTCTCACATGGTTTTTCTGTTTCAGTGTTCCAGTTTCTCTGTGTATGTTTGTAACTATGTTTTCACGTTTTTATCCTTATAACGGGAAATGTGTAATCAGGGCTGATATTTACCAATAAACAGATTGGTGAATGAGCAGATTCCCCTTGGCCCTTTTACTTTCTCTACTGGACAGTGGGAGGCGTTTCCTCTCGGTTCAGGCAGATGCCATGTGTGGCCTCAAGTCAGCCTGGTGCTGATAGCATCTGCCCAGTGGCCCCAGGTTGGGGGGGTCCTGTTCTGACCCCCGGCACCCTCACCATGTGTTGAGTGATTCACTTTTGGACACTCTGTGTATTAGTCAGGGTTCTCTAGAGGGGCAGATATATATATATCATATTAGTTACATATACGTGTATGTATATAACTTTATAGGTATATATATGTGTGTGTGTGTGTGTGTGTGTATGTGTGTATATATATATAAAGGGGAGTTTACTAAGTATTAACTCACATGATCACAAGGTCCCACAATAGGCTGTCTGCAAGGAGAGCCAGTCCAGGTCCCAAGGCTGAAGAACTTGGAGTCCAATGTTCAAGGGCAAGAAGCATCCAGCATGGGAGAAAGATGTAGGCTGGGAGGCTAGGCCAGTCTAGTCTTGTCACGATATTCTGCCTGCTTTATATTCTGGCCATGCCAGCGACTGATTAGATGGTGCCCACCCAGACTGAGGGTGGGTCTGCCCCTCCCAGTCCACTGACCCAAATGTGAATCTCCTTCGGCAACGCCCTCACAGACACACCCAGGATCAATACTTTCCATCCTTCAATCCAATCAAGTTGACACTCAGTGTTAACCATCACACTCTGGTTCCTCTGGACCCCACACAATTCCTGCCTCTTCACCTCTGTCTGGCAGAGCTCTCGTCCTAAAATTACAGTTTCTGTGTGGCCACAGCAAGGAGGAAGACTTGGGGGGTCGAGGATGGTGGGGCCCAGCTGGGCCTTGGGTCTCTGAGGGACCTGCAGGGGAGGGGGCTGAGTGCTGTCCTTCCTCCCTGGGGAGCCCCCCAGCTGCTCTGTGCCTTGGTCCTTGGACGTCCCTGTGCAGCAAAGCAGTGGCCTCCTGGCTTCCACACCTGTCATTTCTCATTTACTGTGCGGGCGGGCCGGGCCAGGAACTAACAGTTTCATATGAACTTCACCTAAAAGTCCACACTGAGCTTTTCAAAGTGTGGCTGTCGGCTTCCATCATGTATGGAAACCCTACTTCATCTACCTGGTCATCACTGTGATCAGTGCTAGCCCAGCCAGTGATGCTGGTAGGAATACCATTTTTTCTTTTTCAAGAAAGTTTGTAATGAAAGCTTTAGGTAGTCGCTAAGAAAAGTCAAGATTTGCTTCTCTGAAGTCAACACAAGCGGGGGCCTCCCAGGGAAGCTGTGGCAGCTGTTACAGGGTCCCGCTTCTCTCCTGGTAGGGATGTTCCAGTTGGGTTCAGCCTGCTGCCGAATATCCTGGGAGGCCGGTGCAGGAGGCTCTAGAATCAACCTGTACTGTAAACGTTTGCCCTGTTGAAGTTATGGAATTACAGGACAAATTCTCTGACTTAGATATGCAGTGGTGTGGACAGTAAAGCCTCATCAATAAGGTTTGTATTAAAATGCTCGGTGACTTCTGGTGCTGGTCAAATATTGTTCTTTCCTCAGCTCAATTTAAAGGTTTTCCTCCTCTGGGAAACTTGCAGAAGGGAAAGTCAAACTCAGGAATTTGGTGTCTTGAAACAGGAACATGGCCCTAAGTTATGGTGGGAGCAGATGAGCCATTCCCAAATGCTGCTGCCATGGTTGAAATTTGTAAACCGTCTGGAGAAACGGTCCATATAATTGAATCTTTTGAAAATGAACTCATTATGGAGAGAGTTGCATTTTAGAGGGGAATGACTGAGCATCTGATGGGCTCTGGGCCAAGGAGGTCAAACGACTTTTCCTTCATTCTGATAGCCATGGATGGGTTCAAGAGCTTATTTTTTACTCTCTGGAAAAAAACTAACATTAATAGAGCTTATCCCAGACTTCTTGGGGCTATTTCCAAAGGACAGAATGCTGAGGCTCACTTACAACGTAATTTCGTCATCCTTCGCCCGCGGAGAGCTAACCCATGGTGAATTAAGCAGGTGACTGACGTGCTCCCCAGGAGCCAGCCTGACTCCAGCACAGTGTGAGTGCCACCGCCCAGCCTCCCAGTTGGTGCCTCCATCCTGTGAACCACTGCGTCCTCCTGCCCATGATGGCCGTGGCCTTTCCCTTTCCCACCAGTGAGGATATCTGAGTACCACAGAGCTCAGGTGAGGGAAGTCAGCAGTTGTCTAGCATAGCTTCCGTATTTTACAGGTGAGAACACAGGACTTGGAGAATCGGGGGCTCATGGCCACATGGGGAGTGAATGCCTGTGTGTGGACCAGAGGCCTGGCCGTCCACCTGGGGCATCTGTGCCCCCGCCATACTTCCCAATTCAGCTGCCGTAGCAGCAGGAGCATGCTTGTGCCTGGGCCAGATGCTTCCGAGCACTGGGGGCTGGTTGACCGAGGAGAAGTCAGCTCTGTGGGTGTCCCTGCAGCCTGGGGCACGAGTCCTGAGCTTGTCTCTCATTCCAGGTGCTGTTGCCTTTCCTGGCAACTTATCTAGGACTTTTCTGATGCAGAGGTCACTGTTTCTCCCCTGAACCCCTAAGCTATGCTTTTCCAGTCCTGGGTGCACGGGAGCGGCACTGCCCAGCACAGACAGGGTTATGTAGCAGAAACACTCCCTGGAATTGGCAAAGGCACCGCTTTGCTGTTTTAAATCCTATTTGCTTTCCTTGTGACGTCTTCGGTCATTTTCATGGTTTATTTCCATTCACAATACCCCTGGAAACAGAAACCAGCTAAACGACTGCAGCTTTGGATCTCTGGTAACCAGAAGCAAAGACAAAAATTCAGGAATGAGAACCCTGGCCGTCAATGGCGACTGATTTCAGAAATTGAAAATGTCCTTAGGACAAGTCCCAGCAAATGTGGCAGAAGAACCACCCATGGTCCGCAGCACCACGTCCTTCCAGCCGTGTATGTCTCGGTGGATGGAGGGGCTGCCGGGGCTCTGCGTTCGGGGAAACAAGGCGCTGTGGGCTTGTTCCCGGGTTGCCATGGCGATTCCTCATTATCTCCAGTCACAGAGCCGTGTGCAGGGTATTGGCAGCTTACACATGTGCTGCAGCTTCTCCCAGGGATGCTGTGGGTGTGTGGGTGTGTGTGCGTGTGCACGCGTGCATTGGGCTGTGGCTTCTCCCAGGGATGCTGTGGGTGTGTGGGTGTGTGTGCGTTTGCACGCGTGCATTGGGCTGTGGCTTCTCCCGGGGATGCTGTGGGTGTGTGTGTGCATTTGCACACGTGCATTGGGCTGCAGCTTCTCCCAGGGATGCTGTGGGTGTGTGGGTGTGTGTGCATGTGCACGCGTGCATTGGGCTGCAGCTTCTAGGGATGCTGTGTGTGTGTGTGCATTTGCACACGTGCATTGGGCTGCAGCTTCTCCCAGGGATGCTGTGGGTGTGTGGGTGTGTGTGCATGTGCACGCGTGCATTGGGCTGCAGCTTCTAGGGATGCTGTGTGTGTGTGCGTGTGTGTGTGCACGCGTGCATTGGGCTGCAGCTTCTAGGGATGCTGTGTGTGTGTGTATTTGCACACGTGCATTGGGCTGCAGCTTCTCCCAGGGATGCTGTGGGTGTGTGTGCATGTGTGCATGTGCATGTGTGCATTGGGCTGTGGCTTCTCCCAGGGATGCAGTGTGTGTGTGTGTGTGCACGCGTGCATTGGGCTGCGGCTTCTCCCAGGGATGCTGTGTGTGTGTGGGTGTGTGTGTGTGCACGCATGCACTGGTCTGCGGCTTCTCCCAGGGATGCTGTGTGTGTGTGGGTGTGTGTGTGTGTATGCACGTGTGCACTGGGCTTCGGCTTCTCCCAGGGATGCTGTGTGTGTGTGGGTGTGTGTGCGTGTGCATGTGTGCATTGGGCTGCGGCTTCTCCCAGGGATGCTGTGTGTGTGCGTGTGCATTGGGCTGCGGCTTCTCCCAGGGATGCTGTGGGTGTGTGTGCGTGTGCATGCATGCATGGGAGCAGACTCCACGCATGCCAGTTCTAACGGGCTTCAACAACACCTGAGCTCTGCTGGAGCACGTGCTGTTTCCAATGGGAGCGAACGTGTTTCCTGTCACTCCAGCTGATTGATCTGAATATCAGGGAATCGATGTCATGTGATTTCTTTTGTAGGAAGAGAGGGAGGAGAGACAAAGGGAAGAGAAGGGGAAGGGAGGGGTGAGGAAGGGAAGACAGATGGGAAAAATCACACCCTCGTTGGTTGTGAGGAGCACAAAAATTGCCGTTGTCAGAAGTGCCGATGAGGTCTGCCTCCAGCCCCGCTGGCCTCCGGAGCCCTGAGAAATTCCCACGGACCGTCCAACGCGATGGAGACTTTGTGCGGTGACTGTGGCTCACGTGAGGCGCTCGCAAGGACGGTTTCCCACTTGCGTGATTCCTTGTCCTGAGTTATGGGAAACGCTTTCGAGTCTGGGGTTTTTTCAGATTGTGTCTGAAGAGTGAAGGCTATTTATTAAAATAGTGTGGAGTAAACCACCCAATTTGACCATGACTTTAGGGTGAGAACGTGTGTGTCTGTATGAATGTATGTATGTGTTGTGTGTGCACATGCGTGTGTGTGTGTGAATGTGTGTGTTGTGGGTGCACACGCATATGTGCAAGGGTGGTTGTGTGTAGTGAACCTGTTGCTGTTAGCTGCCTGCTCAGGTGTGACCATTCTCATGCCGTTCCGTTATTTCTTTTTTGGTAGAAGTCAAGTGCCTATGACTTTCCAGGCCACAGTCCTTGGCAGGGTGTGTATTTAGAGGTAAACATGCCTGGAGACCTGTGTGTGTGGACAGAGAGAGGGGAGGAGCCCCGGCTATAGACGATGCCCCACAAACACATCCGAGGCTTGGATGACGACTTCCCAGCTGTGTGATCAAAACTCCCGGGATCTGGGGCTGGGACGGAGAATTATGCATGGAGATCCTCACTCTCAGCGTGTCAGCGTGAAGTCTGATGTTTAATTGAACATCTGTCTGCCTTTAATATGAACCTCATTATTAAGCTTACATGTGACTGTCTCTTTGCTTGTATTCTCAGATCTTAGGAGATCTTTAAAAAATTGATTTATAAACCAGAAAAAGAGACATTCTTGGTCACACTTACCTGAATACGAAGTGAGGATGGGGGCTCTGCATACCCTGCTGTGGGAAGCATGGCGAGAGGCAGGTGAAGTGAGGATGGGGGCTCTGCATACCCTGCTGGGGGAAGCATGGCGAGAGGCAGGTGAAGTGAGGATGGGGGCTCTGCAGACCCTGCTGTGGGAAGCATGGCGAGAGGCAGGTGAAGTGAGGATGGGGGCTCTGCAGACCTTGCTGGGGGAAGCATGGCGAGAGGCAGGTGAAGTGAGGATGGGGGTTCTGCAGACCCTGCTGTGGGAAGCATGGCGAGAGGCAGATGAAGTGAGGATGGGGGCTCTGCAGACCCTGCTGGGGGAAGCATGGTGAGAGGCAGGGTTTTTGGTCTTAAGGAATTGATTTGGTTCCCAAAGCCCCATTGGCTAGAAGGTCACTGACTGCCTCATCGTTCGCCTTTCAAAGAGAAGAATGAAACAGCGTCCGGCAGGAGGCGATGTCTGGGGAAGCGTGTGTGTGTCTCCCCATGTGCATGTGTGTCTGTGCATGTGTGTGTGTGGTTGTCTGCCAGCCTGAAGTCCCCTTTTCTGTCATATTCTAGTCCACTGTGATCAACACCAGAGACTCCTCCATCCACTCTCTCCATCGGCCACCTCCTCTCCCTGACCTGCCAGAGGCATCCGTGGAGACCCAGACACTGGGGTTCCTGAGCTGCAGGCCAGCCGCTTCCCAGGCCCGTGCCCCGCCCCCTCCCGACCTCTCCTGGCTCTCTCACCTCAGAGCTCTGGGGGCCGAGCGCCCTGGGACACCCTAAGTGTCTCACCTCGGAGTTCTGGCACCCTGCCTGTCTCACTGTATCAGCATGCGCGGTTCTCTCCTAGGCAGGCACGATTTTATGTTTGTCTGGGAAATGTGACGATCAAGACTGGGTGAGGCCCTTCCAGGTCAGGTGGTCAGGAAAGCGCTCACCAGGAATTGTGTGCAGGCTTCGACGGGGCTGCAGGACCTCTCTGGTCAGAGAATGAATTCAGAGCTGTGGGCTGAGTTTCACTTGTATGTTTTGTTTTTTCCGAAATTGGGCTCGCAGTGGTTCCAGCGTGGGTGTGACTTAGTTCCAGAGGCTCTGGAGGAGGCGGCCTCCCCAAGCAACCGAGCATCCTCCCATAGCTTCTCAGGGCCTCTGCGAGCACCTGAGCGTCCTCCCATAGCCTCTCATGGCCTCCCAAGCATCCTCCTGTAGCCTCTCGTGGCCTCCCGAGCGTCCTCCCGTAGCCTCTCCTGGCCTCCCTAGTGTCCTCCCCTTGCCTCTCTGGTGGAGGCTCAGCGAAGGCTGGCGAGCTGCTGTCCATGGTGCTGGCCATCTGGCCCCAGGGAAAGGGCTTTCGAGAGTGGTGCTCCACGGGTCCTGTCCCCCTCGGCTCATGACGCGCGGTGCATAATCCTGCGGAGACAGCTGGGGCCGCCTCTGTTCCATGGATCATGGGGACCAGGGCCACCTACAACATGGTGGCCTGAATTGCGATTGTGTCTCCAGTGGCGTCGTTTTGAGACTTCTCTTTAATTCTGACTCTTAATTCTGACTCAAGGTCCCCAGAGGGACGGTGACTGAGCCAGTCCCATCTGGGGCTTTGGGGCTACTGCCCCTGGGATGTTTGGGCCCCAGAAGTGAACACTAACCCTTGGAAATCTGCAGGGCTTTCAGACCCCTGCCTTCCTTCTCCACTACCTCTCATCTGGACTCGAGTTCCCTGATTCTCTGCATTTTCACCAGGATGAGCGTGGTTGTGATGGACAAACCTGACTTACGGTTTTATACGCACATCCAGTTATCTCCTTAGAATATATCTTTAGCAGAGAAACTGGGGCTCCTGGGGCTTGGCCATTTTAAAACTTCAGTCAAGTTGCAAATTTGTCCCTTGCAGAGGGGACACCTAATTTGTGCCCAACAAAATGTAGATGAGTCCATGTCATTCACCAGCAACCTGAGTTATCCCACAAAGTCCTTTGCCTTTCTGAGGTCTGATGGGCAGAATTGTCACATTGCCTTAATTAGGCCATCTTTAATTACAAATAAAGTCAAATTTTTCTTCTCTGTGAGTAAATGAGTTGTGGACATTTTTTTCTTCCTGTGCTTTGGGGCCAGGGTGGCCTGAGGAAAGTGCCGGGCACAGGGGCTCTGTCCCTTCATCCTCTTGCCACACAGGACAGTGCTGGCCTTGGGAGACACCAGGCTGAGGCCGGGCGGGCAGGGGCGGCCTCTTCTGCCTCCTCCTCTGGACAGCCCAGAGCTGAGTTAGGAGAGCTGGGGCGATGGAGGTCCAGGAAAGGTGGTGCCTGCTGGTGCAGCTGTGGCTTCTCTGCATTTCTAGTCTGGGCTGGGCTGTTTGTTAATGGAAAAGAGGCCCAGGCTGGGAGGTTGATGGTAGCACAGGTGCAGGGACGGGATGAGTGACAGACAGACGGAGGAAAGATGGAACCCACGATGGGGAAGGGGCTGGGATTCAGGGCCAAGAAACGAAGGGAGGAGAGAAGCGGGGATGAGCTCCATAGGCAGGGTCCAGGCTCAGCGGGAAGAGCTGGGAAGAGGGGGATGAGGGAGAGGCAGGGCTCAGGCAGAGACACAGTGAGGACTGGGCAGTGCCAGCTCAGGTTCTCAGGAGGGCCTGCCCCAGCCAGACCATCTGTGGTGAAGGTGAGCCCACACCTGGCTCCAGGCACTGACCTTCCTGGGGCCCTTGTTGGTATCTGTGTTGGGGGAACACAGATCCATGCCTGCCTAGGATCCCCCAGGAGGGTCCGGGAGTGCCCCCAAGGTCCATGGTGGGCATCTGCTAACAGCCTGTCCTGAGGGCAGGGCTGGCTCCGGGGCTCCAGATCGTCTGTGGCTCAGCTCTCTCTGGAGGGCTGTTTGGGTCTCAGGTCTGAATATTGGAGCCCAGGGCTTCAGTGGAACTGGGCAGTGGGGATTTCTGCCAGGTGTGGATGGCCTGAGCAGCAAGAAAGAGCAAAAGAGGTTTTCACAGCGTCCTTCTCCAGCCAGCTGTGATGGGGTCTGGGCAAGGATGGATGAAGAGTCTGTGGGTTGTCCTGGGGAGGGGTGGACATGGCGTCTGTGGGTCATCCTGGGGGAGGGTGGACGTAGGGTTTGTGAGTCGTCCCAGGTGAGGGTGGACACGGGGTCTGTGGGTTGCCAGGGTGTGGGGTCTGCGCATCATCCTTGGTGAGGGTGGATGCAGGGTCTGTGGGTCACCCCAGGTGAGGGTGGACGCGGGGTCTGTGGGTTGCCAGGGTGTGGGGTCTGCGCATCATCCTGGGTGAGGGTGGATGCAGGGTCTGTGGGTCACCCCGGGTGAGGGTGGACGCGGGGTCTGTGCGTCATCCTGGGTGAGGGTGGATGTGGGGTCTGTGCGTCGTCCTGGGTGTGGGTGGATGTGGGGTCTGTGCGTCGTCCTGGGTGAGGGTGGATGTGGGGTCTGTGCATCGTCCTGGGTGAGGGTGGATGTGGGGTCTGTGCGTCGTCCTGGGTGAGGGTGGATGTGGGGTCTGTGCGTCGTCCTGGGTGAGGGTGGATGCAGGGTCTGTGGGTCACCCCGGGTGAGGGTGGACGCGGGGTCTGTGCGTCGTCCTGGGTGAGGGTGGATGTGGGGTCTGTGCGTCATCCTGGGTGAGGGTGGATGTGGGGTCTGTGCGTCGTCCTGGGTGAGGGTGGATGTGGGGTCTGTGCGTCATCCTGGGTGAGGGTGGATGTGGGGTCTGTGCGTCGTCCTGGGTGAGGGTGGATGTGGGGTCTGTGGGTCATCCTGGGTGTGGGTGGATGTGGGGTCTGTGCGTCATCCTGGGTGAGGGTGGATGTGGGGTCTGTGCGTCATCCTGGGTGTGGGTGGATGTGGGGTCTGTGCGTCGTCCTGGGTGAGGGTGGATGTGGGGTCTGTGCGTCATCCTGGGTGTGGGTGGATGTGGGGTCTGTGCGTCATCCTGGGTGAGGGTGGATGTGGGGTCTGTGCATCGTCCTGGGTGAGGGTGGATGTGGGGTCTGTGCGTCATCCTGGGTGAGGGTGGATGTGGGGTCTGTGCGTCATCCTGGGTGTGGGTGGATGTGGGGTCTGTGCGTCGTCCTGGGTGAGGGTGGATGTGGGGTCTGTGCGTCATCCTGGGTGAGGGTGGATGTGGGGTCTGTGCGTCATCCTGGGTGAGGGTGGATGTGGGGTCTGTGCGTCGTCCTGGGTGAGGGTGGATGTGGGGTCTGTGCGTCGTCCTGGGTGAGGGTGGATGTGGGGTCTGTGCGTCGTCCTGGGTGAGGGTGGATGTGGGGTCTGTGCGTCGTCCTGGGTGAGGGTGGATGTGGGGTCTGTGCGTCGTCCTGGGTGAGGGTGGATGTGGGGTCTGTGCGTCATCCTGGGTGAGGGTGGATGTGGGGTCTGTGCGTCGTCCTGGGTGTGGGTGGACTTGGGATCTGTGGGTTGTCTGGGTGAGGAAGGATGCAGCGTCCGTGTCCCCTTCACACGCTGCTCTTAAGGAGCGCTGTGAGATGTCCCACTGAGGGGCTTGTCTTCTCACTCTCCACAGCTGACATCTCCAGTGTTAGGTCTTGGGCACCAAGGAGGGGCCAAGCTAAGGTGCTGTATATTAAAAACTGTCAGAGGAAGAAGGCCATTCCATCAGGAATGCCTTCTTCAGGCATCTGGGCTCTCGCTTGGGCTGCCATTCTTAATCATGTTTTAATTTTCAAATAAATTGCTTTCATTATCCGTTCATCGACAACACCACGTGTACATTACTGCTCATTAATGTTTGTCAGCTACTGTGCTGAGGCTGGGTTTTTAAATAGCCATGGTCACGGTGCAGTAATTAATGATGACCCATGTTGGTTTTACAGAATTATTATTATGTTTAATCTTTGAAAAAACAACCTAGAGTGTCGCGGTGTTGCTGAAAGTTGTCCTCAGGCTGCAAATCTTTGAAGGCCGCAGGAGTCCTTGGGCAGGCCTTCGTGTTGACCTGGGAGCAGTCCTTTTATGGCTCCAGCTGGGTCCCCCCGGCTGGCCGAGCGGAGTGCCTGGGTGGCACTGAGGACCACCTTTCCTTTGTGACTGTGTGTTGGCCTCGCCAAATGACCTCTTGGCCAATGTGATACCAAATTAAGTTTCTTGAAAAAACATCCATTATTTAAAGCATTCATTTCGTGCTTGAGGTCTGATCCTGTTCAAATCAGAAGCCAAGACATTTTCAACGTTAGTGATGGTCGCCTCTGTAGACTTGTGTCTGGTTAAAGTTGTGAGTATTGATAGCGTCTTCCCACCTGTGCGTGAATCACTTTGGATTTCTGGGGTCTGAGCAGGGACTCGCCGGCCATGGCCTTGCTGATGGGGCCTCCCAGATGCTGCCTGCCTTCCTGTGGTTGGATTAGCTATGCTGGGGCCTTGAGGTCATGCTCATCATCAACCTCATAGTCCAGACTCCTTAGAGTGGGGATGGCGTCCCTCCCATCCAGTTTCTCATTTATTCAGTAAACCTTTTATCACTTCTTAAAGACTTTCAGTAACTTATACATAAGAATGACCATTTTAACCATTTAGGGATATAGTTCAGTGGTATAAAGGATATTCACACTGCTGTGTAGCCATCACCACCATCCACCTGCCAACTTTCTATTCCAAACAGAACCTCTGTGCGCATTAATGCTGACTCCCCCTCCCCAAGGCCCTGGCTGCACTCAGTGTACCTTCTGTGAACCTGACCATCTGGGGGCCACGTATCAGTGCAATCGGAGCATGTGCCCGGCTGCAGCCGAACGCTAAAGGCAGCACCGCGTGCTCAGGGCTGGTGCAGGTGTGGACTGTGTCAGCGTCTCCTTCCTTTCTGAGGCTGAGTCCCATTCTGTCGTGTAAATAGACCACGTTCTGTTTCTCCACCCCTCAGCTGCTGGGCGCCTGGGTTGTTTCTGTGTCTGGCTTCTGTGAATAACATGCTGTGTGCGTGGGGGTACATACACGTATTTCTTTGAGTCATTGCTTTCAAGTCTGGTAAATTTTCATGAAACCATTTCCGTCGGCCGAATATTGTGATAACTGGGCTTTCAGTGTGTCTCTGGAGGCCAGGAAGGGCAGAGCCGCCTGCAGCCCTCCTCCAGCCCATCCTTCTGAGAATGGCTGAGCTTCCAGGCCATGCTCCTGAAAAAGGTGAAGCTGAGGGCAGGAAAGAGGGCCCCCCATGGCTACCTCAGCCCACGCCCCTCCCACCAGTTTAAGACCAGGCCGGAAGAAAGGTGGGCGTAGGGCGTCTCAGGTCTCCCTGTGGTTGGTTTGGGGCAGCCTCCCGAGGCTTGCTGGGCACCCAGTCCCCGCCTGCAGGGGTGAGCCGGGCTGCTGTTCCCACTGTCCTGGGCTGAGTTCATGTATTCGAGTAACTCACAAAGTTGGGCCTTCCATTCTAAGGAGCCACCTTAAGCCTTGTGGGAGGGCCAGAGAGAGAAAAAGAGAGAGACAGAGACAGAAAGAGAGAAACAGAGACATGCACACACAAGGGGAGGGGAGGAGCCCCATGCACCCCTGATTGTAAGTGTGTCCCCTACTTTGCCCTTGGCTTGGCCGGGGCCCTCTAGTTGGTGGTGGGACGGTGAGCCAGAGTTGAGGGCTGGCGGCTGGGTTCTGAGAGCCGCCACTGTCCCAATGGGACACCCCTGCTGGACGCAATGCGCCTCCTGCCTTGTGAGCTTCCTGCCCTGGGACCAGGCCCTTCTTTCTCCCCGGAATGGTCCCTGGAACCTTACGGGACATAAGAGCTGGGTCCCGGTTGCTTGGCAGTGGCTGCTACAGGCTTGCTGATGGCTGACGGCTGCACAGATAAGCTGCCTTCCTCCTCTCCTGCCGCTTTTCTTAGCACCCGCAGCTGACGGTGCCTGTGTGACGCCCTCAGTGATTTGGGTGGGCCTGGGCTGCGCAGCAAATGCAGGTTGCCCAGCACCCTGAAGGCCAGTGTTGGGCCAGCCCCTGGCCTTGTCCGGGGTCTGGCCTTGGGGTGAGCATAGCCTGGCGTCTACCGAGCAAGCCAGGAAGCCACCATTTGTGTCTGTGATGGAGGCACCTCCTGTCACCTCCACAGAAAGAGTCAAAACCACCCCTGAAATCACTGAGGTGCTGCCACAGGGCGTCAACGACAGCCTGGCCCTCGCCTTTGGGTGGTGCCGCTGGGCCAGGGAACCCACAGACCTGCCGCAGAGGCCTGCAAGCCGGGCACCCACTGCCGGGCGTCGTTTTGTCTCCTTTCTCTTTTATGTAATGTGGATGCTTTCCCCCAGTAAACTCTACCTGCAAACAAGCCCCGTGTTCACATCATTCGTCCGGTTCCTCTTCCGTCCTCAAATCTTGGTTTCTATTTTCTGGTTGTTTGCACAGGACCATGGAATTTCGGAATTGGAGATGTTCCTGCCATTGGGTTCCACTCTGTTACTTGCAGAAAAACTAACTCTGCAGTCCAGAGAGGCCTGGTAGCCAGACGGAGGCCGCTCTCCCGGCCAGCACAGAGCCCACCTGACCCTGTGCTGGGGCCCAGGATCTTCCCAGCCACAGTTTCGATGATGATCGTGATGGGTTTTACTTGGTCCCCAGAAGCTTTCTCCCAGTCAGTCCATTTCTCCTGATTTCCCCATAGAAAAGCTAAGAGAAAATTTATCAGAAATTATTTCTACTTTTTTTTTTTTAGCTCTTTTCACCTTTTGCTTTGTTATGTTATGAATTGTGACCTATCTGGCCCCTCAAATAAAATGTGGGCTCCTTGCAGCACAGGCTCTGTCTGGCTGATCTTTGTATTTTCTTTACGCACAGCGCTCAGCATGGTGCCTGGATGGTGGTGCCTGCTCAGCATCAGCCTGTTTATTTAAGAGGTGTGCATGGGGTTCTTATCTGCCGGGTGGGAAGCCCTGTGCTCCACAGATTGCTGGCAGTGTTGGGTGAGGACTTCACCACTGTTGTTTTTGATTATGTTCAACTTTCCTTGTCCAAAAAAACCCAAGGAAGCAACAAAAAGATACTCTATGAGTTGATGAATTTGAAGTGGGAATGTGATAGGGAAGGAAAAAGAAGCAAATGTTCCCACAAGGTCAACAGAGTTCCTGCAACTAAGCCTTAAGGTTGCCTTTGAGCTCCCAGAATTCAGGATGAAAGGGGAAAAAGATAAGTTGAGTGGGGCTTTATAAATAAAAAATGCATGTAGTAGGTTAGACAAAGGGAAATGAGTGACTTGTTGGTTATTTTAGATTCCCGAGGAAATTTTTGTCAACAGTGATGACCAGCTTGTATTGTCTTTATTTTCAGAAATGGCAGTCTTTTACATTGGATGTCCTTTATCCCAACTGTGAAAACTTTAATCATTTACTTAAATACCATAAAGACAGCCAAGAAGACATTTTCCATTGATTTATATGTGTGTGAAAACTCATTGTGAAAAAACTTGTAATTTTCCATAATAATAAAAAAGCTTTGATTGAGGGCTCAATCACTGTGGGCCCATGACGGCTGCTAGGCTGGGTGGTGGCGCCTGGAACCACATTCTGTTTCGAGGGCAGATAAGCAGAGAGGCAGCAGGGTCATCATCAGCCTTTGGCAAGAACAGCCTTCCCGCATCCCCACGTGGAGGATTCGCATCTGCCTGTGAGCGAGGTCTCACCCCATCATCTTGGGGTTCACGCTCACGCTCTTCCCCTGCGTTCCCTGGATGCTTCCTTCAGGCTGGCTCCTGTGCACGCAGATTCTCCCTGTTGCCATCTGGTGGTGAGTACTGGGTTTTGGATGCAGCCAGTGTAGTTCTGCAGAGTCCAGCAAATGAGGGGACTCTGTCCTGGCTCATAAGGACATCCCTCTGCACTGCTGCGGGCTTCTCCACTGCGTGCTTCTGGGGCCCAGCCTGCCTGACTGCTCCTGCCTCTCCTGCCGTTGTTGCTGGTGGCCAGCCCATTGCAGGGCTGCACTGCAGTTGCATTTCCTCAGTTCTCTGTTGACACAAACGGACAGATGACACAGTGTGAGCAGCTGGCAGGAGAGTGAGAGAGAGGCAGGCAATGTTCACAGCTCACAAAAGCTAAATTACAGACACTTATGCTGCAGCACCCTAGCTATCATCATGCAAACACAGAACATTTGATTGGAAAGGATCCTAGAAAATACCGAATTCATTGGTCTCAATTTAGGAAATGGAAGCACAGAGAAGTGAAGTGATTTGCCCAAGTTTGCACAGCAGGCTGGTGGCAAGGTGGAATGAGAATCTGCCCTCTTAGTGCCCCATTCGATGTATTTTTGTTCTTTCTGAATGAAGAGATCTCTTCAGCATTTATTGTAAGGTGGGTTTGGTGGTGATGAATTCTCTCAGCTTTTGTTCGTCTGGGAAAGAATTTATCTCTTCTTTGTATTTGAAGGGTAGCTTTGCTGGATACAGTATTCTTGGGTGACAGATTTTTTTTTTTTTTCCTTTCAAGACTCCGAAAGTATCATCCCATTTTCTCCTGGTCTGTATGTTTTCCATTGAGATGTCTGTTGACAAACAAATTGGAGCTCCTTTAGATGTTATTTGCTTCCTTTGGGGTCTTCTCTTTGCCCTTGAGCTTTGACAGTTTAATTATTAAAAGCCTGAGGTGGTCATATTTGGGTTGAATCTGGTGTTCTCTGACTTTCCCGAATCTGGTTATCTATACCTTTCTCAAGTTTCAGAAAGTTTTCTGTTACTGTTTCTTTGAGTAAGCTTGGTACCTCTTGTTCTCACTCAGCTCCCTCTTGAACACCAGTAATTCTTGGATTTGGTGTTTTGAGGTAATTTTCTCTATCTTGTAGGTTGTCTTTCATTCTTTGTTCTTTTTCCTCCTCTGATTGTGTATTTGAGCTCACTGATTCTTTCCTCTGCTTAAGCCACTCTGCTGTTGGGAGCTTGTCATGAATTTCCTCATTTCGCTAAATGTATTTTTGTTTCAAGACTTCTGTCTGATTTTTAAAAATTATTTCAATCTGTTGTTAACTTTCTGAATTGATTTCCTGGTGTTATCTTGGGGATCACCGAGTTTCCTTAGGGCTGCCATTTTGATTTCTTGATGAGAGCTCACAAATCGCCACTTTGTTGGGCCAGTCACTGGTTCTTGGCTTTGTCCGTTTGGGGAGGCCATGGTCCCGTCTGCTGCTTTCTGGTTTGTTGATGTGTGTCTGTGTCTTGGCACTGAACGGTTATTTATTTATCTCTTCTCTGTCTGGGTGTTTTGGTTTTTCTGGGGTATGTTTGCTTAAAGATTCTTTGTGATTTACCTGTGGAGTGTTTTCTTGCTAGGTTGCAGCCTCCTTTTTGGCACTAGATGGCGCCTTAAGCCCAGGTTCAACTCAGCTCTGGTCACTGATGAAAGTGCTGCCTGTCCCAAAGCAGATGTCCCAAAGGGGATGTCCTGATAACGTGGGAAGGCTGGGAGGGGACCTGGGAGCACAGGTCCTGCAGCGTGGGGCTGCGAGTGGCCACTCTGATTGAGTGCCTCCTTTGGCCGAGTTGCAGAGCAGAGTTTCCAGGGCTGGGGACAGTAGCCCCACCCCCACCTTTGTCTCTGGCCATCCTCAGGGCTGTTTCTCCCTTCAGGCACTCAGGATGCTCCCCATGGGTTGAGGCAGGGAGAGGTCTCCTGCCAGGGCACCCAAGAGCAGGGCAAGCTGTTGTTATCTCACCTTTCTAAGTGTAGAAACTGTGTCAAGGGAAAATCTTTTGTGTACTGGATGCCAGGCAGGTTATGGGGAGGGGCCTTGCAGATGTGGGGGTCTGGTTCTCCTGCTGTCTGTCTGTTCGGGGTTTTTCTGTTCCTGGTGGCCCCAGGACCTGACTCATCCTCACCTCTGGGTTCTCAGATGTTGCTGGTGACCATCTCAGCATCTCAGCACTGCATGTTTGCTTTCAGGTTTCTGCTGGGGTGGTGAGACAGCTTGCTCCTGTCCTGCCGTTTGGAACCAGAAACCCCATTTCAATTGCTGTTTTCTCATTGTCCTTTAATAGAACTCAGAAGACAGCAGATGGTTTTAGGTGTGTATGACAAGTGTGGTCTTAGGCAAATGTAAAGTAAGCTTTCAGCCATAACTTCAACATTGTGCTTAGCAAGTGAATGTCCACTCATAGTTTTAGGACTTGTTTACATGAGTCCTGGATTTTATAAAGCCCCGAGTGATGTGTCATCTTTTGACTCTGACCTTAACTTCTATTGTGTTGTTTTCTATTAAGGAAAACAGTGGGATGCTAGAGTGCCCCATCAGGGCCAAGAGTGAGGACCACATCTGCATCGTGGTATTGGATGATGTGGTGTGAGGCAGGGGGTGCTCCCAGTGGGCAGCACGGCTGTGGAGGACCTCAGTTTTCTTATTTGTAAAATGAAGGGTCCTGAGTGAAATACATGCTGCTGTTCTCTTCAACTTCTGATAAAAATCTTGATTATTCTAAATACTAACAGGGTGTGATCTGTTGGCCTGCTGTTAGGAGACCCGGAATAGGAGCGAGTGTCTGGCCTATTGGCCCAGGGTGGCCTGAATGTAACTGGGTGGCCTGGTGCAGGCCCTGGTGCGGCGAAAGCAGCTGCCATGTTCCAGAAACAGAGTAACAGGCAGAGAGAGCCAGGCAGCTGCAGCTCAGAAAGGTTAATGTCTCCATTCGAAAAATCTATCTCTGCTCTCACCTGAAACATTTAGATTGAAGGGATTGAAAGCTATATTTGGTAATTCTAAGAGAGAGTTTTCTTTGCAGGGAAGGGCTAAGAGCTTTGAGGCTCAGGTGTGATTCGTTTTTGTCAATCAATATTGTACTCAGGATTACCAATACCAGCCTACCCCAATTACGCCTCTCTGAAATGTGTGGGGCCCAGAGCCTTCTATTCCTAGCTGCACGATGCTTCTGCTGCCTGACCTCACCTTCAGGGGGCAATAAGAAGTTTAATCCAGCCACGAATCGGCTGCAGCACGGGAGGGGCCTGACCCACCTCAGGGTCCAGGCATCATCACAGGAGGGTGAAGCAGCCATTCTAATGCACTTCTGGAAAATGCCTATCGAAGCTGATCCTTGGGTCCTGCTGTGTGCTTGTGTAAGTTTGCTCCAGAGTAGCTGGCCAGGGAGGGGAGTGGTCAGGAGGGGAGCGGACAGGAGGGGAGCGGTCAGGAGGGTAGCTGGCAGGGAGGGGAGCAGTCAAGAGGGGAGCAGACAGGAGGGGAGTGGACAGGAGGGGAGCAGTCAGGAGGGGAGCGGACAGGAGGGGAGCGGACAGGAGGGGAGCAGTCAGGAGGGGAGCAGTCAGGAGGGGAGCGGACAGGAGGGGAGCGGTCAGGAGGGGAGCAGTCAGGAGGGGAGCGGACAGGAGGGGAGCGGACAGGAGGGGAGCGGTCAGGAGGGGAGCGGACAGGAGGGGAGCGGACAGGAGGGGAGCGGACAGGAGGGGAGCGGTCAGGAGGGGAGCGGACAGGAGGGGAGCGGTCAGGAGGGGAGCGGACAGGAGGGGAGCGGACAGGAGGGGAGCGGTCAGGAGGGGAGCGGACAGGAGGGGAGCGGTCAGGAGGGGAGCGGACAGGAGGGGAGCGGACAGGAGGGGAGCGGACAGGAGGCGAGCAGACAGGAGGGGAGCTGGGCTGGGAGTGGGTGGTCAGAAAGGTGCACTTTCTTCTCAGTACTTCCTGTTCTGCTACCTTTGTAGTAACCAGCTCTTCTGATGGCCAGAGTTCAAGCCCCCCTGAATGAAAATGATATCTGTCACTCAGAAGGCTCCTCCCGTGGGGCCGTGACTGGCTGTGGACTGGCCCGGCTGCCTGCATGCCAGGGCAGGTGTTCACATGGAGTTGTTGAGTTGCACTCTCTTGCCCTTGAGAAGGATGAGGCGTTAATAAGGTCATTCCTTCTGCCATTTCACTCGTAGGTAACCATGTTTCGTGTAGTAAGAAACGCGGGGCTAAAGTGCCCGTAATGTTTTAGCATTCTTTAAAAGGCCACTTACTTTCACAAATGGGAGTTTTGAGTGACTGTGTCGGCTGCTGTGTGAGCAACGAAGGAAAGCAGGTACAGTGTACGAGTCGCCCCAGACAGCTGCAGGCCTGCAGGGAGCCCTGGGCTTAGACTGTGCCCAACAATTAGGAACCCAAAAGGGACTCAGGGATGGGGCCCAACTGAGGGTGGCTCATGGGGTGCAGTAGGAGGGAGCTGGGGAATAGTGTGCAGTGGCCAATGGTGCCAGCGGGTGAGTCCCCCTCCTGGACCCTCCTTCTGAAGGGGCAGAACCCCTGGGGGTGGGTGGAGGTGGTAGCACGAGTTCCTCCTGCACCTCACCCGTGCCCTCGAGGTGGCGAGAGATGCCGTCGGTGAGGTCCTTCTGCCTCCCGCATAACAGTTTGATGCTGACACATCAACACAGCATTCCCCAAAGCAGCTTTTCATTTCGTAATGGGATAACTGTGGGCTCTGGAAGAGGCTCAGGTGTGCCGTTGTTCTCTGCAGGGATTTCCAGGCAGTTGACGGAACTGGCACCTGAATGGGCCACAGGTGTGCCGGGTGGGATTTGGAAACGCTGGGGGAGAGAATGAGCTTTGGTAAACAGCAGACAAATTGATTTGTATTCCAACATTTTTTTCCCTTTTGGAAAATCAGGGTTTTTTCTGCCTTTGGCATTTTGTTGATAGCCTAGAATCCAGCTACTTGCTCCTTCTGGGTCTGTTTCCTCATCTGAACTGTGAGGCTGGGTGAGGTGAGGCGAGGCACTGGCCTGGCCGGTGATGAGCGACTGATCCACTGGGCGTGGATCCAGTGGCCGGCAGGAGGCAGGGGCTCTCCTGTCCCTAGGGCACCTTAGGCAGCAGCTCTGGCACCTTCCTTCCTGCACAGCCTGGCTCACAGGCAGCCCTGAGATCCAATGGGGTGATGGGGACAAATGTGTTATGGGACTCTAAGTCACTATTTGTCTCCAGCTCCCTCACCCCCAGGAGTTTCAAAATCATTGAAGACAAAATTGACAGGCAGATTCTGGGTGCAGACGGCAGTCAGACACCAGAAGCAGGCCCGCAGTCAGCATCTTCTGAGCAGCCTCTCCATCCTTCTGAGGTTTCATTCCAACCTCCCTGCACTTCCTGGGTGAAGCAGGTACCCTGTACATGTTTCCTGGGAACACGGCAACCAGCCAGTCCTGCCCCTGCTTGGGAAAGAGCCGCCTGTTTCAGTGGAGTTTGTTCCTGCCAGAGGGAGCGGAGATGGAAGTGCCGGCTGATGTTGAGCATCTCTCCTCGGGCAGCAACTCTTAGGGCCTCAGGGTCAATGCTCAATGGAGCCTCCATCTGTGGGGCTTTTGAGTAACAATCAGGTGAACATGCCAGGGCCTTCTTTTTACCCATGTCTTGGTACAGATCCCATACATCTTGGTGCAGCCATTCTGTTTGAGGATGTTTTAGGGGAGACACAGGATGCTGCAATCCACTTTACTGAGCACCTTTTGCCGGAAGGAATCCGTGCTGTATCCTGTGACCTAGTCTGCAAAGGGGAACACGTGAGCGCTAGTAACGCCCTTGTTCTTGGACATCAGGAAGGGGGTGGGCCTCATGTGGCCCGGGGGGCCCTCAGGGACCACCCAGGGAGCACAGTGACGTGGGCCATCCTCAGCACTGCCCTCAGGGGCCACCCAGGGGTGCAGTGATGTGGGCCACCCTCAGCACTGCCCTCAGGGACCACCCAGGGGTGCAGTGACGTGGGCCACCCTCAGCACTGCCCTCAGGGACCACCCAGGGAGCACAGTGACGTGGGCCATCCTCAGCACTGCCCTCAGGGGCCACCCAGGGGTGCAGTGACGTGGGCCACCCTCAGCACTGCCCTCAGGGACCACCCAGGGGTGCAGTGACGTGGGCCACCCTCAGCACTGCCCTCAGGGACCACCCAGGGGTGCAGTGACGTGGGCCACCCTCAGCACTGCCCTCAGGGACCACCCAGGGGTGCAGTGACGTGGGCCACCCTCAGCACTGCCCTCAGGGACCACCCAGGGGTGCAGTGACGTGGGCCACCCTCAGCACTGCCCTCAGGGACCACCCAGGGGTGCAGTGACGTGGGCCACCCTCAGCACTGCCCTCAGGGACCACCCAGGGGTGCAGTGACGTGGGCCACCCTCAGCAGTGCCCTCAGGGACCACCCAGGGGTGCAGTGATGTGGGCCACCCTCAGCACTGCCCTCAGGGACCACCCAGGGGTGCAGTGACGTGGGCCACCCTCAGCACTGCCCTCAGGGACCACCCAGGGAGCACAGTGACGTGGGCCATCCTCAGCACTGCCCTCAGGGGCCACCCAGGGGTGCAGTGACGTGGGCCACCCTCAGCACTGCCCTCAGGGACCACCCAGGGGTGCAGTGACGTGGGCCACCCTCAGCACTGCCCTCAGGGACCACCCAGGGGTGCAGTGACGTGGGCCACCCTCAGCACTGCCCTCAGGGACCACCCAGGGGTGCAGTGACGTGGGCCACCCTCAGCACTGCCCTCAGGGACCACCCAGGGGTGCAGTGACGTGGGCCACCCTCAGCACTGCCCTCAGGGACCACCCAGGGGTGCAGTGACGTGGGCCACCCTCAGCAGTGCCCTCAGGGACCACCCAGGGGTGCAGTGACGTGGGCCACCCTCAGCACTGCCTCCTCCTGAGGGAGGGTAATGATGGAATCTGTCCAGGAGGCTCCAGGATGGGGATGGAATGAGTGAGTGGGGATTAGCATCCCAGAACTGTTCACCTTGTTGGGGCAGGAGACACAGTGACGGTCTCTTTGAGAAGTCCTGTGCTGTGGTGGTTAGGATTCGGGCCTGTGGCCATCACCATACCTCACAACTGAGCATGAAAACTCTGTGAGGGAGGGAAGGACCTCAGGTGTTGGGGGCCTGGCCCAGCTCAGCACTCAGGACTGCAAGTGACAGAAGCCAACACAGACTCACGTGGGGCATACTGGACTGTGAATGGGGACCCCAGGGTGGCTCTGGGGCTGTGAATGGGGACCCCAGGGTGGCTCTGGGGCTGTGAATGGGGACCCCAGGGTGGCTCTGGGGCTGTGAATGGGGACCCCAGGGTGGCTCTGGGGCTGTGAATGGGGACCCCAGGGTGGCTCTGGGGCTGTGAATGGGGACCCCAGGGTGGCTCTGGGGCTGTGAATGGGGACCCCAGGGTGGCTCTGGGGCTGTGAATGGGGAACCCAGGGTGGCTCTGGGGCTGTGAATGGCGAACCCAGGGTGGCTCTGGCACAGTGGCCGGGATCTGCAGCATCTCCCCGCTGCTTTTGTCTCCAGTTTCTCTCTCTTTGTGTGGTGTTGGGATGGCTGCTTGTCCACCTGTTCACTCCTGTTCACAGGGCTTAGCAACCAATCTGCATGAAAAGAGAGAATCTTCCACCAGAGAAAAGCATGTAGGAGGGGGCCGTGGTTTGGAATGGGTCAGGGCCTGCACCTGACCAGTGACTGGGCAGGGAATGAGATGTTCTTGTGGCTCCTGGGCCGCAAGGGAGCAAGTTTAGGGATTGACAGCCATCCTAGGATACCACAACAGCAGAGGGGGCACCCCCAGGAATGCAAGGCCCTTGACAAGCAAATGCCACAACCTCCATGGTTCACTCAAGAAGGTGAGTGCTGCCACTAAAAAAATGTGTGACTGCAATAGATAGGAATTAATTTAACCCAGACGGTGAGACCTGTACACTGAAAACTATGAGATGGTGAAAGAAATGGAAGACAAGGCAAATAAATAGAAGGTATCCCATGTTCATTGATTGAAAGAATTAATATTGTTAAAATGTCCGTACTACCTAGAGCAATCTATAGTTTCAGTGCAACCCCTATCAAAATTCCAATGGCATTTTTTTTACAGAAATAGAAAAGCAATCCTAAAATTCATATGGAACCACATAAAACCCTGAATAGCCAAGGCAATCAGGAGCCAAAGGAACAAAGCTGGATGCATCACACCACCTGATTTCAAAATATACTATGAAACTATAATAACCAAAACAACGTGGTACTGGCAACAACAAAACAAAATAGACACATCAACTAATGGAACAGAATAGAGAGCCAGGAAATGAATCCATGCATTTATGCTCAATTCATTTTCAGCAAAAGTGGCAAGAACACATAATGGGAAAAGGACAGTGTCTTCAATAAATGGTGCCAGAAAAACTGGATATCCACATGCAGAAGAATGAAATTAGAACTTATCTCTCACCACATACAAAAACTCAAAAGGGATTAAAGACTTAAATTTAAGACCTGAAACTGTAAAACTACTAGAAGAAATCACAGGGCAAAATGACATAACATTATCCTGGGCAACAATTTTTTTTATTTGATCCCCAAAGCACAGGCAACAAAATCAAAAATAAACAAATGGGATTATATCAAATACAAAGCTCTACACAGCAAACAAAACAGTTAGCAGAGTGCACAGACAACCTAAGGATGGGGAGAAAATATTTGCAAGCTGTACATCCAATAAGGGCTTAATATCCAAAATATATAATAAGCTCAAACAACTCAATAGCATGAAAATGAAAAACCCAATTAAAAGACAGGTAAAGAATCTGAGTAGATATTTCTCAAAAGAAGACATAAAAATGGCCAACATGTATGTGAAAAGATGCTCAACTGTGCTAATCATTAGGGAAATGCAAATCAAAACCACAATGGGATATCATATCACACCTGTTAGAATGGCTATTATTAAAAAGACAGCAAGTGTTGGTGAGGAAGTGGTGAAAAGGGAAATCTTGTGCACTATTGGGAATCTAAATCGGTACAGTCATTATGGAGAACTGTATGGAGGCCTCTCAAACAACAAACTACCATATCATCTAGCAATCCCACTATGAGGTATTTATCCAAAGGAAGTAAAATCAGCATGTTGAAGAGAGATCTGCACCCTCATGTTTACTGCAGCACTGTCCACAATGGCCATGACATAGAATCAACCTAAATGTCCATCGACAGATGGATGGATAAAGACACAGTGGGATACTATTCAGTCTTAAAAAGGAAGGAATTCTGTGATTTCCAGCATCATGGATGGAATTGGAAAGCATTACGCTGAGTGAAATAAGCCAGGCACAGAAAGACAAATACCGCATGATCTTACTCATATGTGGAACTGAAAACAATTGAACTCACAGTAGCAGAGAGTAGAACTGAGGTCGCCAGAGGCCAGGGGTGGAGGGAATGGGGAGATAACAGGTGGAGGGCACAAATCTCAGGGGCAATTTTTTGAGTTCGATTGTACAGTGTGATGAAGATAACAGTAGACGGTTATACATCTCAAAACTGCTGAGAGAACAAATTCCAAATGTTTTTGCCACAAAAATGTTAAGTATTTGAAGTGATGGATATGTTAACTAGCTTGATTTAATTATTCCACATTGTATTCATAAATCATAGCATTGCCTTGTACCCATTGATATGGTTTGGCTCTGTGTCCCCACCCACATCTCACCTTGAGTTGTAATCCCCAGCGTTGGGGAGGGACCTGGTGGGAGGTGACTGGATCATGCGGGTGGTTTCCACCACGCTGTTCTCGTGATAGTGAGGGAGTTCTCATGAGAGCTGATGGTTTAAAAGTGTAGCACTCCCCCCACCCCCACTCCTTCTGCCGCCTCAGGAAGAAGGTGCTTGCTTCTCCTTCGCCTTTTGCCATGACTAGTTTCTTGAGGCCTCCCCAGCCCTGTGGAACTGTGAGTCAATTAAATCTCTTTTCTTCAAAAATTACTTAGTCTTGGGTAGTTCTTTATAGCTGTGTGAAAATGGACACCCATATATATATACAATTGTAAATTATAAAATGTGTGTGACCAAGTCATTTTGCTTCCTCAGCCTCAGTTTCCCCACCTGGGATGAGTGGACGGCATTGGAAAGCTCTGGGTGACCACTGCTGCCACACCAGCTTTGGCCCCAGCTTGTAGCTTCAGGAGGTTTTTCCACGGGGGTGGAAGACCCTGTCTCCTTCTACCTGGGGCTTCCAAAACCGGTGGCCTTTGTCTTTGTTCTTTCTCTTGCTCCACCCTGCTCAAAAATACAAGTCCTCCTGAGCCTCCGAAGCTTACTCTTCATAAAACCCTCTGTGGCCTCCTATAAGAACACGCTGTCTCCAGACAAAGCTCTGGTTACCAGAGTAGCCCACAAAAAACCCAAATTAAGACAAAACCCAAAGTAAGACAAAAAACCTGTCTTCCCGTTGGCCAGGAGACAGGCAGTTAGGTTTTCTCTCCTTGTTAACGTCTAGTCACTCAGATGACTTCTTTAGTTTCAAGGCTCTGCTGGGAGGGGTGTTTATGCCATCATAGTTGAGCAGACATAGGCCTAGACCATCAGTCACGTGGACTGTGGGGGTCCTGCCAGGACTGCTCCCAGGCAGCAGGGTCCACCCTCAGAGATGGAGCACTGGGGCCCAACATTTTATCCTCCAGAATTTCTCCCGCCCACTGCGGTCCCAGGTGTCCGCACCATACTTTCCCTCCATGGCCTAACTGAGGCCTTGGGTCCAAGCTGTCTTCTGCCTAAAGCTCTGTTTTGGGTATCGTCCATCAGCTTCTGGGTTCTCACCTCACAGGGCTGACAGGACATGTGCAAACCAACAGGGAAGCAGTGATTTCCAGGGAAACAGATGCACAAGCTGGTGCCTGATTTCTCATCAGAGGAGTGCCAGGGTCCCCTGGGCCCCTCTCCTAAACCCACCGATGAAAGGTGCTGGGGTCTGTTCCTGCACATTGCAAATCGTGCACCGTCAGAGCGTCATTTCTGTCAGGACTGAGCTTGGGGAGAGCGACCACCTCCAGCAACACAGCCTCACTTGTTCTTTCTTGGTGGGTTACGTGTGGGACCTCTTTGATTTTTACATCTCACTCATTCTTGGGCTAGAAAAGTCTGGTTTTCCACGTTTTATGCGATTCCAGATTCCTGTGTGGCATTTCAGCCCAGACTCCAGGGTGTCTTGTATTAAATGCCGGCGAGTATAATTAGCATTCAAGACCTGGGTGCAAGGCGTTGCAAGTGTTAATTTAACAGGAAATTATGTGTCTTCAGTTTGGTCGAGGAGCTGCCTCTTCTGGAGGCCTAAACTTGAAACAGCCTCCCTTGCCTGCGACTGGGGCCAATGCTCCCCACTGGACGGAGCTCCTGATGATGGCTCAGCCCCATCCCATATTGCTTCTAGTTACTAAACTGCCTTGTTCCTGCTGAAGACAGCTCTTCCCGAGCCTGGTCTGGCTGGTGGCTTCTTGGGGCCTGTGTGGGGTTGCTGGAGCTTCCCCCGTCTGTGCTGTCCTGGGTATCTCTTGGGTGAGGCCCTGCGCTTTGCTGCTCGTTGTCACGGCTTCTAAGGGCCCAGGTGCTGGCTCCTCGGCAGGGGGACATTTTGTGTTTTTGGAAGGTGCTGGGGTCTGACACTCTCGTATGGGGGTCTGGGTGGCATGTAAGAGGGGCTGTCTTTCCCTGAATGTGAGTTTCTGGGTCTTATCTTGGGGTGTGGCAGTGTGAAGTGTATGTTCATTGGTGTGTTCACTGGTCTTCTTTGGGAGCTGAATTTAAACTCATCCTGGTGCCTGGAAATGCAGTCTAGACCCTCCATGGAAGCCTTTACCTGAGCTCGATTGTAGCTGTGATTCCACTGGGAGCAGCCGCGACAGCCCACGTGCCACGAGCATGGCTGCCTGAGCCTCTGCGCGAGCCCTGCTTGCAGGTGTTGGGTGTAAAATCAGAAAGGGGGCTGATTCCACCGGGAGCAGCCGCGACAGCCCACGTGCCACGAGCATGGCTGCCTGAGCCTCTGCGCGAGCTCTGCTTGCAGGTGTTGGGTGTAAAATCAGAAATGGGGCTGATTCCACCGGGAGCAGTCGCGACAGCCCATGTGCCACCAGCATGGCTGCCTGAGCCTCTGCGCGAGCCCTGCTTGCAGGTATTGGGTGTAAAATCAAATGGGGCTGTCGGATCATCTGCTACTTCCACATTGAACTTTTCCCGTGTGCTTTCCACGGCGACTGCATCAGGTTACGTTCCTGCCCGCGGAGCACAGGGCCCTATTTTCTCCATGTTCTCACCCACACGCGTTATTTTCGGTTTTGCTTCGTTTCGTTTTTTGATAGCAGATGTCCTGCTGAGCGGGCAGTAGGTCTCACTGTGGTTTTGATTTGCGTTGCCTTGACGCTGGTGATGCTGGGCGCCTTCCCTGTGCTTTCAGCTGTTTGTACATCTTCTCTGGAGAAAAGTCTACTCAGGTCCTTTACCCGTTTTTAATCAGGTTTTTTGTTGTTGTTGTCGAGTTGTGGTTCTTTATGTATTTTGGATACAAATCCCTTATCAGATAGATGAGGGCAAATATTTCCCCACTCCCTGGCTGCCTTTTCCTGCTGCTAATAGTGTCCTTTGATGCACAGAAGTTTTAATTTTGATGGTTACATTCTTTCTTTTTGAGATGAAGTTTCACTCTTGTTGCCCAGGCTGGAGTGCAATGGCGCAATCTCAGCTCACTGCAACGCAGAGCTGGTCATCGGCATGTGCTGGCTGAAAAGAACCCAGCACTTGTCCACCCTGCCGTTCTCCTTCGCTTTTGAAGCCCCTAAGGACTTAATATTTCCTGGATCTTGGCTCAAGTGAGCACGATGATGAGGTTTCCTGAGCTCCCGGTGGTCTGGAATGGTTGATCCTGTTTCCGTACCTCCCTCATGGGTGCTAAGTGTCAGTCAGACTTTCCTGCCGCTGCCCATTCCTCTATGGGCTCCAGCAAGGCACCCAACCTCTCTGGGCTCTAGTTTCTGAATATGGAATGGGGACCATGACAGTTTATGCCACTAAGGGTTATCATAAGGACTGACTGAGTTGACTGTGTGAGTGATGTCTGTAGATGTCAGCTCTTATGGTGAGAGTGTGGGTGTGAGCGACGTCTGCAGGTGTCAGCTCTTATGGTGAGAGTGTGGGTGTGAGTGACGTCTGCAGGTGTCAGCTCTTATGGTGAGAGTGTGGGTTTGAGTGACGTCTGCAGGTGTCAGCTCTTATGGTGAGAGTGTGGGTGTGAGTGACGTCTGCAGGTGTCAGCTCTTATGGTGAGAGTGTGGGTGTGAGTGACGTCTGCAGATGTCAGCTCTTATGGTGAGAGTGTGGGTGTGAGTGACGTCTGCAGGTGTCAGCTCTTATGGTGAGAGTGTGGGTGTGAGTGACGTCTGCGGGTGTCAGCTCTATGGTGAGAGTGTGGGTGTGAGTGACGTCTGCGGGCGTCAGCTCTTATGGTGAGAGTGTGAGTGTGAGTGACGTGTGTGGGTGTGAGTGACGTCTGTGGGCGTCGGCTCTTATGGTGAGAGTGTGGGTGTGAGTGACCTCTGCGGGCGACAGCTCTTATGGTGAGAGTGTGGGTGTGAGTGACGTCTGCAGGTGACACCCCTTCTGGTGAGAGTGTGGATGTGAGTAACGTCTGCGGGTGTCAGCTCTTATGGTGAGAGTGTGGGTGTGAGTGACGTCTGCAGGTGTCACCTCTTATGGTGAGAGTGTGGGTGTGAGTGACGTCTGCGGGCGACAGCTCTTATGGTGAGAATGTGGGTGTGAGTGACGTCTGCAGGTGTCAGCTCATATGGTGAGTGTGGGTGTGAGTGACGCCTGCGGGGCACACTCTTATGGTGAGAGTGTGGGTGTGAGTGACGTCTGCTGGTGTCACCTCTTACGGTGAGAGTGTGGGTGTGAGTGACGTCTGCAGGTGTCAGCTCTTATGGTGAGAGTGTCGGTGTGAGTGACGTCTGCGGGCGTCAGCTCTATGGTGAGAGTGTGGGTGTGAGTGACCTCTGCGGGCGACAGCTCTTATGGTGAGAGTGTGGGTGTGAGTGACGTCTGCATGTGTTACCTCTTATGGTGAGAGTGTGGGTGTGAGTGATGTCTGCGGGTGTCACCTCTTATGGTGAGAGTGTGGGTGTGAGTGACGTCTGCAGATGTCACCTCTTATGGTGAGAGTGTGGGTGTGAGTGACGTCTGCACGTGTCACCAATTATGGTGAGAGTGTGGGTGTGAATGACGTCTGAAGGTGTTACCTCTTATGGTGAGAGTGTGGGTGTGAGTGACCTCTGCGGGCGACAGCTCTTATGGTGAGAGTGTGGGTGTGAGTGACGTCTGCATGTGTTACCTCTTATGGTGAGAGTGTGGGTGTGAGTGACGTGTGTGGGTGTGAGTGACGTCTATGGGCGTCGGCTCTTATGGTGAGAGTGTGGGTGTGAATGACGTCTGCAGGTGTCACCAATTATGGTGAGAGTGTGGGTGTGAATGACGTCTGCAGGTGTTACCTCTTATGGTGAGAGTGTGGGTGTGAGTGACGTCTGCGGGCGTCAGCTCTTATGGTGAGACTGTGGGTGTGAGTGACGTGTGGGTGTGAGTGACGTCTGCAGGTGTCACCAATTATGGTGAGAGTGTGGGTGTGAATGACGTCTGCAGGTGTCACCTCATGGTGAGTGTGGGTGTGAGTGACGTCTGCAGGTTTCACCTCTTATGGTGAGAGTGTGGGTGTGAGTGACATCTGCGGGCGTCAGCTCTTATGGTGAGAGTGTGAGTGTGATTGACGTGTGTGGGTGTGACTGACTTCGGGTGTCAGCTCTTATGGTGAGAGTGTGGGTGTGAGTGACGTCTGCATGTGTCAGCTCTTATGGTGAGAGTGTGGGTGTGAGTGACATGTGTGGGTGTGAGTGACGTCTGCAGGTGTCACCAATTATGGTGAGAGTGTGGGTGTGTGTGACGTCTGCATGTGTCACCTCTTATGGTGAGTGTGGGTGTGAGTGACGTCTGCAGGTTTCACCTCTTATGGTGAGAGTGTGGGTGTGAGTGACGTCTGCGGGCGTCAGCTCTTATGGCTAGAGTGTGAGTGTGAGTGACGTGTGTGGGTGTGAGTGATGTCTGCGGGCGTCGGCTCTTATGGTGAGATTGTGGGTGTGAGTGACCTCTGCGGGCGACAGCTCTTATGGTGAGAATGTGGGTGTGAGTGACGTCTGCAGGTGTCACCTATTATGGTGAGAGTGTGGATGTGAGTGACGTCTGCGGGTGTCAGCTCTTACGGTGAGAGTGTGTGTGTGAGTGACGTCTGCGGGTGTCAGCTCTTATGGTGAGAGTATGGGTGTGAGTGACCTCTGTGGGCCTCAGCTCTTATGGTGACAGTGTGGGTGTGAGTGATGTCTGTGGGTGTCAGCTCCTATGGTGAGAATGTGGGTGTGAGTGATGTCTGTAGGTGTCACCTCTTATAGTGAGAGTGTGGGTGTGAGTGACGTGTGCCGGCATCAGCTCTTATGGTGAGAGTGTGGGTGTGAGTGACGTCTGCGAGTGTCAGGTCTTATGGTGAGAGTGTGGGTGTGAGTGACGTCTCCAGGTGTCACCTCTTATGGTGCGAGTGTGGGTGTGAGTGACGTCTGCAGGTGTCACCTCTTATGGTGACAGTGTGGGTGTGAGTGACGTCTGCATATGTCACCTCTTATAGTGAGAGTGTGGGTGTGAGTGACTTCTGCGGGCGACAGCTCTTATGGGGAGAGTGTGGGTGTGAGTCACGTCTGCGGGCGACAGCTCTTATGGTGAGAGTGTGGGTGTGAGTGACGTCTGCAGGTGTCACCTCTTATGGTGAGACTGTGGGTGTGAGTGATGTCTGCAGGTGTCACTTCTTATGGTGAGAGTGTGGGTGTGAGTGACATTTGCAGGTGTCACTTCTTATGGTGAGAGTGTGGGTGTGAGTGACGTCTGCAGGTGTCAGCTCTTATGGTGAGAGTGTGGGTGTGAGTGACGTCTGCAGGTGTCACCTCTTATGGTGAGACTGTGGGTGTGAGTGATGTCTGCAGGTGTCACTTCTTATGGTGAGAGTGTGGGTGTGAGTGACGTTTGCAGGTGTCACTTCTTATGGTGAGAGTGTGGGCGTGAGTGACGTTTGCATGTGTCACCTCTTATGGTGAGAAGTGTGTACGTGAGTGACGTCTGCAGGCATCAGCTTTTATGGTGAGAGTATGGGTGTGAGTGTCCTCTGTGGGCCTCAGCTCTTATCGTGAGAGTGTGGGTGTAAGTGACATCTGCAGGTGTCAACTCTTATGGTGAGAGTGTGGGTGTGAGTGACGTCTGCAGGCATCAGCTCTTATGGTGACAGCGTGGGTGTGAGTGACATCTGCATGTGTCACCTCTTATGGTTGAGAGTGTGGGTGTGAGTGACGTATGCAGGTGTCAGCTCTTATGGTGAGAGTATGGGTGTGAGTGACATCTGCAGGTGTCACCTCTTATGGTGCGAGTGTGGGTGTGAGTGACGTCTGCAGGTGTCACCTCTTATGGTGACAGTGTGGGTGTGAGTGACGTCTGCATATGTCACCTCTTATAGTGAGAGTGTGGGTGTGAGTGACTTCTGCGGGCGACAGCTCTTATGGGGAGAGTGTGGGTGTGAGTCACGTCTGCGGGCGACAGCTCTTATGGTGAGAGTGTGGGTGTGAGTGACGTCTGCAGGTGTCACCTCTTATGGTGAGACTGTGGGTGTGAGTGATGTCTGCAGGTGTCAGTTCTTATGGTGAGAGTGTGGGTGTGAGTGACATTTGCAGGTGTCACTTCTTATGGTGAGAGTGTGGGTGTGAGTGACGTCTGCAGGTGTCAGCTCTTATGGTGAGAGTGTGGGTGTGAGTGACGTCTGCAGGTGTCACCTCTTATGGTGAGACTGTGGGTGTGAGTGATGTCTGCAGGTGTCACTTCTTATGGTGAGAGTGTGGGTGTGAGTGACGTTTGCAGGTGTCACTTCTTATGGTGAGAATGTGGGTGTGAGTGACGTTTGCATGTGTCACCTCTTATGGTGAGAACTGTGTACGTGAGTGACGTCTGCAGGCATCAGCTTTTATGGTGAGAGTATGGGTGTGAGTGTCCTCTGTGGGCCTCAGCTCTTATGGTGAGAGTGTGGGTGTGAGTGACGTCTGCAGGTGTCACCTCTTATGGTGAGAGTGTGGGTGTGAGTGACGTCTGCAGGCATCAGCTCTTATGGTGACAGTGTGGGTGTGAGTGACATCTGCATGTGTCACCTCTTATGGTCAGAGTGTGGGTGTGAGTGTCCTCTGTGGGCCTCAGCTCTTATGGTGAGAGTGTGGGTGTGAGTGACGTCTGCAGGTGTCACCTCTTATGGTGAGAGTGTGGATGTGAGTGACGTCTGCGGGTGTCAGCTCTTATGGTGACAGTGTGGGTGTGAGTGACGTCAGCAGGTGTCAGCGCTTATGGTGAGAGTGTGGGTGTGAGTGACGCCTCCGGACGACAGCTATTATGGTGAGAGTGTGGGTGTGAGTGACGTCTGCAGGTGTCACCTCTTATGGTGAGAGTGTGGGTGTGAGTAACGTCTGCGGGCGTCAGCTCTATGGTGAGAGTGTGGGTGTGAGTGATGTCTGCGGGCATCACCTCTTATGGTGAGAGTGTGGGTGTGACGTCTGCAGGTGTCACCTCTTATGGTGAGAGTGTGGGTGTGAGTGACGTCTGCAGGTGTCACCAATTATGGTGAGAGTGTGGGTGTGAGTGACGTCTGCGGGCGTCAGCTCTTATGGTGAGAGTGTGGGTGTGAGTGACCTCTGCGGGCGAGACTCATTATGGTGAGAGTGTGGGTGTGAGTGACGTCTGCAGGTGTCACACTCTTATGGTGAGAGTGTGAGTGTGAGTGACGTGTGTGGGTGTGAGTGACGTCTATGGGCGTCACCTCTTATGGTGAGAGTGTGGGTGTGAGTGACGTTTGCAGGTGTCACCTCTTATGGTGAGAGTGTGGTTGTGAGTGACGTCTGCGGGCGTCAGCTCTTATGGTGAGAGTGTGGGTGTGAGTGACGTCTGCAGGTGTCACCAATTATGGTGAGAGTGTGGGTGTGAATGACGTCTGCAGGTGTCTCCTCTTATGGTGAGAGTGTGGGTGTGAGTGACGTCTGCAGGTGTCACCAATTATGGTGAGAGTGTGGGTGTGAATGACGTCTGCAGGTGTCACCTCTTATGGTGAGAGTGTGGGTGCGAGTGACGTCTGCAGGTGTCACCTCTTATGGTGAGAGTGTGGGTTTGAGTGACGTCTGTGGGTGTCACCTCTTATGGTGAGAGTGTGGGTGTGAGGGACGTCTGCAGGTGTTACCTCTTATGGTGAGAGTGTGGGTGTGAGGGACGTCTGCAGGTGTCACCTCTTAGGGTGACAGTGTGGGTGTGAATGATGTCTGTGCGTGACAGCTCTTATGGTGAGAGTGTGAGTTTGAGTGACGTCTGCAGGTGTCAGCTCTTATGGTGAGAATGTGGGTGTTAGTGACGTCTGCAAGTGTCACCTCTTATGGTGAGAGTGTCGGTGTGAGTGACGTCTGCAGGTGTCACCTCTTATGGTGAGAGTATGGCTGTAAGTGACCTCTGTGGGCCTCAGCTCTTATGGTGAGAGTGTGGGTGTGAGTGACGTCTGCGGGTGTCAGCTCTTATGGTGACAGTGTGGGTGTGAGTGATGTCTGTGGGTGACAGCTCTTATGGTGAGAGTGTGGGTGTGAGTGACGTCTGCGGGCATCAGCTCTTATGGTGAGAGTGTGAGTGTGAGTGACGAGTGTGGGTGTGAGTGACGTCTGCGGGCGTCGGATCTTATGGTGAGAGTGTGGGTGTGAGTGACCTGTGCGGGCGACAGCTCTTATGGTGAGAGTGTGGGTGAGTGACGTCTGCAGGTGTCACTTCTTATGGTGAGAGTGTGGATGTGAGTGACGTCTGCAGGTGTCACCTCTTATGGTGAGACTGTGGGTGTGAGTGACGTCTGCGGGCGTCAGCTCTTTTGGTGAGAGTGTGGGTGTGAGTGACGTCTGCGGGCGTCAGCTCTTATGGTGAGAGTGTGGGTGTGAGTGACGTGTGGGTGTGAGTGACGTCTGCATGTGTCACCAATTATGGTGAGAGTGTGGGTGTGAATGACGTCTGCAGGTGTCAACTCTTATGGTGAGTGTGGGTGTGAGTGACGTCGGCAGGTTTCACCTCTTATGGTGAGAGTGTGGGTGTGAGTGACATCTGCGGGCGTCAGCTCTTATGGTGAGAGTGTGGGTGTGAGTGACATGTGTGGGTGTGAGTGACGTCTGCAGGTGTCACCAATTATTGTGAGAGTGTGGGTGTGAGTGACGTCTGCATGTGTCAGCTCTTATGGTGAGAGTGTGGGTGTGAGTGACGTCTGCAGGTGTCACCTCTTATGGTGAGAGTGTGGGTGTGAGTGACGTCTGCGGGCGTCAGCTCTTATGGCTAGAGTGTGAGTGCGAGTGACGTGTGTGGGTGTGAGTGATGTCTGCGGGCGTCGGCTCTTATGGTGAGATTGTGGGTGTGAGTGACCTCTGCGGGCGACAGCTCTTATGGTGAGAATGTGGGTGTGAGTGACGTCTGCACGTGTCACCTCTTATGGTGAGACTGTGGGTGTGAGTGATGTCTGCAGTTGTCACTTCTTATGGTGAGAGTGTGGGTGTGAGTGACATTTGCAGGTGTCACTTCTTATGGTGAGAGTGTGGGTGTGAGTGACGTCTGCAGGTGTCACCTCTTATGGTGAGACTGTGGGTGTGAGTGATGTCTGCAGGTGTCACTTCTTATGGTGATAGTGTGGGTGTGAGTGACATTTGCAGGTGTCACTTATGGTGAGAGTGTGGGTGTGAGTGACGTCTGCAGGTGTCAGCTCTTATGGTGAGAGTGTGGGTGTGAGTGACGTCTGCAGGTGTCACCTCTTATGGTGAGACTGTGGGTGTGAGTGATGTCTGCAGGTTTCACTTCTTATGGTGAGAGTGTGGGTGTGAGTGACGTTTGCAGGTGTCACTTCTTATGGTGAGAGTGTGGGTGTGAGTGACGTTTGCATGTGTCACCTCTTATGGTGAGAAGTGTGTACGTGAGTGACGTCTGCAGGCATCAGCTTTTATGGTGAGAGTATGGGTGTGAGTGTCCTCTGTGGGCCTCAGCTCTTATGGTGAGAGTGTGGGTGTGAGTGACATCTGCAGGTGTCAACTCTTATGGTGAGAGTGTGGGTGTGAGTGACGTCTGCAGGCATCAGCTCTTATGGTGACAGCGTGGGTGTGAGTGACATCTGCATGTGTCACCTCTTATGGTTGAGAGTGTGGGTGTGAGTGACGTCTGCAGGTGTCAGCTCTTATGGTGAGAGTATGGGTGTGAGTGATATCTGCAGGTGTCACCTCTTATGGTGAGAGTATGGGTGTGAGTGTCCTCTGTGGGCCTCAGCTCTTATGGTGACAGTGTGGGTGTGAGTGACGTCTGCAGGTGTCACCTCTTATGGTGAGAGTGTGGGTGTGAGTGACGTCTGCAGGCATCAGCTCTTATGGTGACAGTGTGGGTGTGAGTGACATCTGCATGTGTCACCTCTTATGGTCAGAGTGTGGGTGTGAGTGTCCTCTGTGGGCCTCAGCTCTTATGGTGAGAGTGTGGGTGTGAGTGACGTCTGCAGGTGTCACCTCTTATGGTGAGAGTGTGGATGTGAGTGACGTCTGCGGGTGTCAGCTCTTATGGTGACAGTGTGGGTGTGAGTGACGTCAGCAGGTGTCAGCGCTTATGGTGAGAGTGTGGGTGTGAGTGACGCCTCCGGACGACAGCGCTTATGGTGAGAGTGTGGGTGTGAGTGACGCCTCCGGACGACAGCTATTATGGTGAGAGTGTGGGTGTGAGTGACGTCTGCAGGTGTCACCTCTTATGGTGAGAGTGTGGGTGTGAGTAACGTCTGCGGGCGTCAGCTCTATGGTGAGAGTGTGGGTGTGAGTGATGTCTGCGGGCGTCACCTCTTATGGTGAGAGTGTGGGTGTGACGTCTGCAGGTGTCACCTCTTATGGTGAGAGTGTGGGTGTGAGTGACGTCTGCAGGTGTCACCAATTATGGTGAGAGTGTGGGTGTGAGTGACGTCTGCGGGCGTCGGCTCTTATGGTGAGAGTGTGGGTGTGAGTGACCTCTGTGGGCGAGAGCTCTTATGGTGAGAGTGTGGGTGTGAGTGACGTCTGCAGGTGTCACCTCTTATGGTGAGAGTGTGGGTGTGAGTGACGTGTGTGGGTGTGAGTGACGTCTATGGGCGTCACCTCTTATGGTGAGAGTGTGGGTGTGAGTGACGTCTGCAGGTTTCACCTCTTATGGTGAGAGTGTGGGTGTGAGTGACATCTGCGGGCGTCAGCTCTTATGGTGAGAGTGTGGGTGTGAGTGACGTGTGGGTGTGAGTGACGTCTGCAGGTGTCAGCTCTTATGGTGAGAGTGTGGGTGTGAGTGACGTCTGCATGTGTCAGCTCTTATGGTGAGAGTGTGGGTGTGAGTGACATGTGTGGGTGTGAGTTCCGTCTGCAGGTGTCACCAATTATGGTGAGAGTGTGGGTGTGTGTGACGTCTGCATGTGTCACCTCTTATGGTGAGAGTGTGGGTGTGAGTGACGTCTGCAGGTGTCACCTCTTATGGTGAGAGTGTGGGTGTGAGTGACGTCTGCGGGCGTCAGCTCTTATGGCTAGAGTGTGAGTGTGAGTGACGCGTGTGTGTGTGAGTGATGTCTGCGGGTGTCGGCTCTTATGGTGAGATTGTGGGTGTGAGTGACCTCTGCGGGCGACAGCTCTTATGGTGAGAGTGTGGGTGTGAGTGACGTCTGCGGGTGTCAGCTCTTATGGTGAGAGTGTGGGTGTGAGTGACGTCTGCGGGTGTCAGCTCTATGGTGAGAGTGTGGGTGTGAGTGACCTCTGTGGGCCTCAGCTCTTATGGTGAGAGTGTGTGTGTGAGTGATGTCTGCGGGTGTCAGCTCTTATGGTGAGAGTATGTGTGTGAGTGACCTCTGTGGGCCTCAGCTCTTATGGTGACAGTGTGGGTGTGAGTGATGTCTGTGGGTGTCAGCTCTTATGGTGAGAATGTGGGTGTGAGTGATGTCTGTAGGTGTCACCTCTTATAGTGAGAGTGTGGGTGTGTGTGACGTGTGCCGGCATCAGCTCTTATGGTGAGAGTGTGGGTGTGAGTGACGTCTGCGAGTGTCAGGTCTTATGGTGAGAGTGTGGGTGTGAGTGACGTCTCCAGGTGTCACCTCTTATGGAGAGAGTGTGGGTGTGAGAGACGTCTGCAGGTGTCACCTCTTATGGTGACAGTGTGGGTGTGAGTGACGTCTGCAGGTGTCACCTCTTATGGTGCGAGTGTGGGTGTGAGTGACGTCTGCAGGTGTCACCTCTTATGGTGACAGTGTGGGTGTGAGTGACGTCTGCAGATGTCACCTCTTATGGTGAGAGTGTGGGTGTGAGTGACTCCTGCGGGCGACAGCTCTTTTGGGGAGAGTGTGGGTGTGAGTCACGTCTGCGGGCGACAGCTCTTATGGTGAGAGTGTGGGTTTGAGTGACGTCTGCAGGTGTCACCTCTTATGGTGAGACTGTGGGTGTGAGTGATGTCTGCAGGTGTCACTTCTTATGGTGAGAGCGTGGGTGTGAGTGACATTTGCAGGTGTCACTTCTTATGGTGAGAGTGTGGGTGTGAGTGACGTCTGCAGGTTTCAGCTCTTATGGTGAGAGTGTGGGTGTGAGTGACGTCTGCAGGTGTCACCTCTTATGGTGAGACTGTGGGTGTGAGTGATGTCTGCAGGTGTCACTTCTTATGGTGAGAGTGTGGGTGTGAGTGACGTTTGCAGGTGTCACTTCTTATGGTGAGAGTGTGGGTGTGAGTGACGTTTGCATGTGTCACCTCTTATGGTGAGAAGTGTGTACGTGAGTGACGTCTGCAGGCATCAGCTCTTATGGTGAGAGTATGGGTGTGAGTGTCCTCTGTGGGCCTCAGCTCTTATGGTGAGAGTGTGGGTGTAAGTGACATCTGCAGGTGTCAACTCTTATGGTTAGAGTGTGGGTGTGAGTGATGTCTGCAGGCATCAGCTCTTATGGTGACAGTGTGGGTGTGAGTGACATCTGCAGGTGTCACTTCTTATGGTGAGAGTGTGGGTGTGAGTGACGTCTGCAGGTGTCACCTCTTATGGTGAGAGTATGGATGTGAGTGACCTCTTTGTGCCTCAGCTCTTATGGTGAGAGTGTGGGTGTGAGTGCCGTCTGTAGATGTCACCTCTTATGGTGAGAGTGTGGGTGTGAGTGACGTCTGCAGGTGTCAGCTCTTATGTTGAGAGTATGGGTGTGAGTGACATCTGCAGGTGTCACCTCTTATGGTGAGAGTGTGGGTGTGAGTGTCCTCTGTGGGCCTCAGCTCTTATGGTGAGAGTGTGGGTGTGAGTGACGTCTGCAGATGTCACCTCTTATCGTGAGAGTGTGGGTGTCAGTGACGTCTGCGGGTGTCAGCTCTTATGGACAGAGTGTGGATGTGAGTGATGTCTGCAGGTGTCACATCTTATGGTGAGAGTGTGGATGTGAGTGACATCTGCAGGTGTCGGCTCTTATGGTGGGAGTATGGGTGTGAGTGACCTCTGTGGGCCTCAGCTCTTATGGTGAGAGTGTGGGTGTGAGTGTCGTCTGCAGATGTCACCTCTTATCGTTAGAGTGTGGGTGTCAGTGACGTTTGCGGTTGTCAGCTCTTATGGAGAGAGTGTGGATGTGAGTGACGTCTTCAGTTGTCAGCTCTTATCGTGGGAGTGTGAGTGTGAGTGACATCTGCGGGCGTCAGCTCTTATGGTGAGAGTGTGGGTGTGAGTGACGTCTGCGGGTGTCAGCTCTTATGGTGAGAATCTGGTTGTTAGTGTCGTCTGCGGGTGTCACCTCTTAGGGTGACAGTGTGGGTGTGAGTGATGTCTGTGCGTGACAGCTCTTATGGTGAGAGTGTGAGTTTGAGTGACGTCTGCAGGTGTCAGCTCTTATGGTGAGAATGTGGGTGTTAGTGACGTCTGCAAGTGTCACCTCTTATGGTGAGAGTGTCGGCGTGAGTGACGTCTGCAGGTGTCACCTCTTATGGTGAGAGTATGGCTGTAAGTGACCTCTGTGGTCCTCAGCTCTTATGGTGAGAGTGTGGGTGTGAGTGACGTCTGCGGGTGTCAGCTCTTATGGTGACAGTGTGGGTGTGAGTGATGTCTGTGGGTGACAGCTCGTATGGTGAGAGTGTGGGTGTGAGTGACGTCTGCGGGTGTCAGCTCTTATGGTGAGAGTATGGGTGTGAGTGACCTCTGTGGGCCTCAGCTCTTATGGTGAGAGTGTGGGTGTGAGTGACTTCTGCGGGTGTCAGCTCTTATGGTGAGAGTATGGGTGTGAGTGACCTCTGTGGGCCTCAGCTCTTATGGTGAGAGTGTGGGTGTGAGTGACGTCTGCGGGTGTCAGCTCTTATGGTGAGAGTGTGGGTGTGAGTGACGTCTGCGGGCGTCAGCTCTTATGGTGAGAGTGTGGGTGTGAGTGACGTCTGCGTGTGACAGCTCTTCTGGTGAGAGTGTGGGTGTGAGTGACGTCTGCGGGCGTCAGCTCTTATGGTGAGAGTGTGGGTGTGAGTGACGTCTGCGGGCATCAGCTCTTATGGTGAGAGTGTGGGTGTGAGTGACGTCTGCAGGTGTCACCTCTTATGGTGAGAGTGTGGATGTGAGTGACGTCTGCGGGTGTCAGCTCTTATGGTGAGAGTGTGGGTGTGAGTGTCGTCTGCGTGTGACAGCTCTTATCGTGAGAGTGTGGGTGTGAGTGACGTCTGCAGGTGTCAGCTCTTATGGTGAGAGTTTGGGTGTGAATGACGTCTGCGGGCATCAGCTCTTATGGTGAGAATGTGGATGTGAGTGACGTCTGCGGGTGTCAGCTCTTATGGTGAGAGTGTGGGTGTGAGTGACGTCTGCGGGTGTCAGCTCTTATGGTGAGAGTGTGGGTGTGAGTGACGTCTGCACGTGTCGGCTCTTATGGTGAGAGTATGGATGTGAGTGACCTCTTTGTGCCTCAGCTCTTATTGTGAGAGTGTGGGTGTGAGTGACGTCTGCAGATGTCACCTCTTATGGTGAGAGTGTGGGTGTGAGTGACGTCTGCAGATGTCACCTCTTAGGGTGAGAGTGTGGGTGTGAGTGACGTCTGCGGGTGTCAGCTCTTATGGTGAGAGTGTGGGTGTGAGTGACGTCTGCAGATGTCACCTCTTAGGGTGAGAGTGTGGGTGTGAGTGACGTCTGCGGGTGTCAGCTCTTATGGTGAGAGTGTTGGTGTGAGTGACGTCTGCAGGTGTCAGCTCTTATGGTGAGAGTGTGGGTGTGAGTGACGTCTGCAGATGTCACCTCAGGGTGAGAGTGTGGGTGTGAGTGACGTCTGCGGGTGTCAGCTCTTATGGTGAGAGTGTGGGTGTGAGTGACGTCTGCGGGTGTCAGCTCTTATGGTGAGAGTGTGGGTGTGAGTGACGTCTGCAGGTGTCAGCTCTTATGGTGAGAGTGTGGGTGTGAGTGACGTCTGCGGGTGTCACCTCTTAGGGTGAGAGTGTGGGTGTGAGTGACGTCTGCGGGTGTCAGCTCTTATGGTGAGAGTGTGGGTGTGAGTGACGTCTGCAGGTGTCAGCTCTTATGGTGAGAGTGTGGGTGTGAGTGACGTCTGCAGATGTCACCTCTTATGGTGAGAGTGTGGGTGTGAGTGTCGTCTGCGGGCGTGAGCTCTTATGGTGAGAGTCGCCATACAAGACCTGAGGATTTTGTGAGTTGGTTGCAGAATAGGACACTCTGCCAGTCACTCCATGTAGCTATGGTGACCGCATTTTCTCAGTCAGACGCTGGCATCTACAGTCTAAAGTGAAAGTGAGTCTCCGTAGAGGACACAGCCTCGAGCGGTGAAGTGGGACCATGTGGACAGATCTTGGGTTGCGACTCCCAGGCCAACTCTGAGCAAGTTCCTTAACCTCCCTGTGCCTTAATTTCCACATGGCGTCAATGGGATAATAATACGCAGTGTCTTAGTCCATGAAGGCTGCTCAAAGTACCACCTATTGCGGGGCTTAGAAACAGCAGACATTGATTTCTCAGTTCTGAAGGCTGGAAGCCAAGGTCACCGCCCTGGCAGGGTTGACGTCTGGTGTCTGGCGAGTCCCCTCCTGGCTCATCGACGGTGCCTCCTCACGTGTCCTCATGTGGCTGGAGCGTGAGCCGTCCTTGGGGCCTGTGTAAGGAAGGCCCCACCTCCTCGCCTCTCAGCCGTCCGCCTGCTAACAGCAGCACCCGGGGCTGGTTTCGGCACACAGCCTGTTGCATGGAGGAGGAGCCTCATGGGCTTGGGGTGGGGGTTTAAGGCATCCTTAAAGGTAAAAGGCTGGGAAGTGCTGGGCGCGCTGGTGCTCCGTGAGGGAGGCATGACTGGCTGTGTTCTCGGCACTGTCTTCACTGTCCTCCCCTCCTAGCCTGCTCCTCACCTCCCAGAAGGGCCTCCCACCCGCCACGCTTCCCCCTGCCCCGCCTGGCCGGTGTCTGCTGGGCTCCTCAGTACTGCCGGCTCACACCCTCAAGCTGTGGCTTCTGTCGTGCGCCTCCCTCGGTGCAGTGGGCTGTGCGCCGCTGGATTTGCCATCCCAGGCCTCACTGGGATCCCTGGGTGGCGGGAGGAATGGAGGCCCCACTCATAGTGACTTGCAGATGTCACTCACACCCACAATCTCATCATAAGACCTGATGCTTGCAGACATCACTCACACTCACAAGGGAAGCTGGCCTCTCCTGGATTTACCGTCCCAGGCCTCACTGGGATCCCTGGGTGGCGAGAGGAACAGAGGTCCCGCTTGTCGCTCAGGGAAGCTGGGATCTCCTGGATTTACTGTCCCAGGCCTCCCTGGGATCCCTGGGTGGCGGGGGGGGGGGAATGGAGGCCCCGCTCCTAGTGACTTGCAGATGTCACTGACACCCACACTCTCACCATAAGACCTGACACCTGCAGACGTCACTCACACTCACAAGGGAAGCTGGCCTCTCCTGGATATACCATCCCAGGCCTCACTGGGATCTGGGTGGTGGGAGGAATGGGGGCCCTGCTCCTCACACAAGGGAAGCTGGCCTCTCCGGACAGTGAGGCTCCCGCTGTGGGTGCAGGTGCTGCCCGGACGTGGGGCTCCTCCCCAGTCAGAGCCTCACGCTGCTCTGCAGATGCATAGGCTGTGCTGGCCGCTCCCAGGCACTGTCACTCTGTCCCCTGCCTTCTGCTGCCTGTCAGTGGCTGCTCTGAACTGTAACGAAATCCTTGAAAATAAAGGAATTTCCAGCGATATAGGGTCTCGGCTTATCTTCAGGTTTCATTACGAACTAAGCTGCTCAGACTTCACAGCAGTCCTGCCTTGGACGCAGCCCACGGATCCAACGGCTCCTTAAATCTGACCTGGGTGTGTGGTGAGCCAGTGCCTGCTTCCTTGGGCCTCAGAAGCCATTGCTGTCTCTCAGGATTCACCTTTGGCCTCCTGGAATTTTTGCAGCAGTTATGACTGGATGCCATGACAGCAGTTTCTACTCCCTGAGAATGGGAGCACTTTTACAGCTTCCTTGCAGAATGGGAGCACTTTTACAGCTTCCTTGCAGAAATGTGCATGGCAGGTGCTTGATCAGTTCAGATAAAGGGCTTTTTCTCCCTCTGGAGAATTCCTTTCAACAGGGCAGTGATTCTGAGCTGTAATTACTTTTCCCTCCTCCAAAAATAGCTGGGGAGATTTTTTTCTTGTTGCTGCACCCCTGGGGACCCTGATGGAGCAGTGGGCTCCTCCGTCTGTGGTGCTGCTTTGAGAAGCCCCATGGGACCGAGGGAACCCTGGCAACGCTGCCAGCTCCCTGCAGGGAGGGGACTTCAGAGGCAGCTCCAGTGTCCCAGGGCACCGGGATTTACAGATTGAAGGTACTTTGGCAAGGCAGCCTCCACCAGGAGGGGGCAGTGGGAGAGAGGCAGGGTCCTGAGGGACCCCAGCAGGGGAGGCAGGAAAGAATGAAAGGGTGACCTAGCCTGGTACAGCAGGACACCTGGAGCATGGCGGTCCCAGGCTGGTGAGGGCTCCTTCTGCTATTCTGAGTGTGAGTAGTGAGTGTGTACATGAGAACATGTACATGTGTGAGCATGTGAGAACAGATAGTGTGTACATGTGCATGTGTGTGAGAATGTTCATGTGTGTGAGAACTTGTGCATGTGAGAATGTATGTGTGAGAACGTGTACATGTGTGAGCAGGTGTGTGCATGTGAGAATGTGTGTGAGAACGTGTACATGTGTGAGCATGTGTGAGCATGTGTGTGCATGTGATAATGTGTGTGTGACAATGTGTACATGTGTGAGCATGTGTGAGCACGTGTGTGCATGTGAGAATGTGTATGTGTGAGAATGTGTACATGTGTGAGCATGTGTGAGCACGTGTGTGCATGTGAGAATGTGTGCATGTATGTGGATATGAGAATGTTTACGTGTGTGTTTGAGAATGTGTGCATGTGTGAGAATGTGAGCATGTGTGTGTGCATGTGAGAATGTGTGCACGTGTGTGGATATGAGTGTGTATGTGTGTGCTTGTGTGAGAATGTGCATGGGTGAGAATGAGTGCATGTGAGAATGTGTGCATGTATGTGCAGATGAGAATGTGTACATGTGCATGTGTGAGAATGTGTATATATGTGAGAATGCATGTGTGTGCATCTGAGAATGTGTATGTGCATGTGAATGTGTGCGTGTGTGCATGTGTGAAAATGTGTATGTGTGCATGTGAGAACGTGTGAGCATGTGCATGTGTGAGAATGTGTGCATGTGTGAGAACGTGTGCATGCGAGAATGAGCATGTGTGTGAGAATGCATGTGAGAGCATGTGTGAGGATGTGTGCATGTGTGAGAATGTGCATGTGTGTGCATGTGAGTGTGTGAGCATGTGTGAAACGTGCATGTGAGAATGTGCATGTGTGTGAGAATGTATGCATGTGAGAGCATGTGTGAGGATGTGTGCATGTGTGAGACTGTGCATGTGTGTGCATGTGAGAGTGTGAGCATGTGTGAAAACGTGTGCATGTGAGAATGTGCATGTGTGTGAGAACGTGTGCCTGTGAGAGCATGTGTGAGGACGTGTATGTGAGAATGTGCATGCATTATGTGGTTGTGTGTCTGCATATGTGCATGTGTCTGCATACATTGTGTGTGCATGCTGTGAATGTCTGTGTATGTGGTTGCTTGTGTATTGTGCACACGTGTACAAGTGTGCATTAATTCTCCTGCTGTACTGGGCAGCAGTGTCTCGTCTCCTGGCCCCTCACACTGGCCGACTGAGTCTGCCACTGGCATCTTCAGGCCTGAGCCAGAGCAGGGCTCCTGAGCGATGTCTCGGATGAAGAACTGGCACTGCAGGGAGGCAGCCACGAGGGGTCACTGGTGCTGCTTGGTGCTCACTGGCCACCTGGGTGACCGCAGCCTCTGGGCCTTGCCTTGTTTGGATGCAGGGAGGGAGTGAGTGACAGACCAGCTTGAAGAAGCACAGCAGGGTGCCATTGTTTCATGAGAGGCGGCTGTGCTCCCTCCCTGGCTGCCAGACTCAAGACCTGCGGCGGGTATGGCCTGTGGGGCCCTGGATGTGGTCCCATTCTCTCTGGAAAGTGCGCCCTGAGCCCTGCAACGTTGCTGTTTCTAGGCTCTGGGTTCAGTGCCTGGGACACCCCCAGGAGGCCGCGTTCCCCTCCTGGGCTTCCCAGGTGTGTTCCCAGGGAGCTGCTGTGAGACTGACTGCCCGTTCCTTTTGTCTGGGCAGGGTCAGCTGGCAGCCGCAAGAGCGGATGCATTTGGTGTTTACTGTAGACAGTATTCTGCAAACCTGAGTGTCTGTCTCAGCGATGGCTTTGTGACGATTCTAGAAATGGTCGCAGTCCCTGCCCAGCCCTGGAACGTGCTAGTGCTTGCTCCGCCGGGGTTCTGCCTGCCCGGTGGTTTGCCGGGTGTCTCTCGCCTGCCCTTCTTGTCGGAATACAGCCTCCCACGCCTCTCATCTGCAAAGGCTTCGTAATTGGGGTGCCTTTTCTGCCCATCCCTTCTTGCTCACAATTCAAGAACTTTGTTCTGATAGTTTCCAGGCAGCTGAGATAAATCAGTTTTCACGTGCATACCATTTACCTTAATATGCTGTTTACACAAATGATTGAATAGGTATGCGCATTGTGGTTATTTCAAACAATGCCCTAAGCTAATTGCCTCACTTTGAAATACTAAATTAAGTGATCATATTGTATTCATTAATTCCCAAGTCCTGTTATATTTCCATAAATAAATAAGAAATGTTAAAAAAAAAAAGACATATAAGTAAAAGTAGGTAAAGATATTAGAAAAAGGGGAAAAGCAGATGGTTAGTTCACTGGAATCTGTGCCACAGGCGCCTGTAAGCAGGAGGTGTCCCTGCCCAGGAGCTGGTCGTGTTCACGGCGTTTGGTGGAAGGAAGATGCTCCTGGCTGGGGGACCCCCTGTGGATCTCTGTGGAGATTGTGGGGCCTGGGGGACCCCCTTGGATCTCTGTGGAGAATTGTGGGGACTGGAGGACCCCCTGTGGATCTCTGGGGAGAATTGTGGGGCCTGGGGGACCCCCTGTGGATCTCTGTGGATAATTGTGGGGACTGGGGGACCCCCTGTGGATCTCTGTGGAGAATTGTGGGGTAACGCAGTGAGTGACGTTTCTCAGCAGATGCACAGTTAGCGTCTCTGGGCCATTTCTCCTAGGATATCCTCTAGGGCAGGCCTGGACGTGTCACTCGGGATGTCGTTTAGTGCAGGCCTGGGCGTATCACCTAAGCAAAGTGTGGCAAGAGTACTTTCCTCACAGGGTATCAAAGCCACCTTGTTCGGTCCACAGCTTTCCGGTGCTCCAATTGGATGGTTCTGGGTCAGTGCTATGGGTGTCACAGAGAGTGGAGGCTCAGTATCTCCAAGCAACAGGACCCTCTGGGGGCACCCTGGGCAGCAGAGCCCCACCCTTACTCTGAAGAACAGAGGTCCACTAGGATCACCTGCTTCACTTATGGAGCTGGGGATAGAAATGCTGGGGGTCAATCGGCCCTCTGAGCCCAAGCAGAGAGACAGTACGGGATGGGGTGGAGGCGCATGGCCACCTGAGAACTTGCGAGACTCATGCCAGCCCCTCCTAGGGTGCCCCCACCACCAGCCTTTTTGGTCCCCAGTGAGTCTTTCATCCAAGTGGGTCACTGCCAGGGGTGAGGACTTGTAAATCTATGTGAGATTTCAACAAATGAGGCTTCTAGCTGATGGTCTTAAACACTTCCACGGACATCTCCATTTTCTTTTAGACAAATGGGAAAATACCAGTTATAGTCATTCACTAACATCCTTTTAGTCCACACCGGGGGCAAGGCACTGTACCAGATGCTGTGGGGGCGTGAAGAGGCTGTAGCTGTGATCCCTGCCTTCCAGGAACTCACGGTGTCACCGGGGAGAGGGTGGTCCTGCAGGGCGGTAGAGGCGAGGTGCCGTCTTGTCTATGCGGAGACTGTGTGTGAGCGTACGCGTGTGGGCGTGTGAGTTTGTGCATGTGCGCTTGTGTGCACCTGTATATGAGTTAGTGTGTCTGGGTGTGTGTGTGTGTGTGTGCACGTTTGCAAATGTGTGTGTACGTGCTCCTGTGTGTGTGTCTGCATAATCAAGTGCATGCAAATGAGTGTGTGCACACTTGTGTGTGTGTACATGTGTTGGAATGTTCACGTGGGTGCGTGTGAGTGTGTGTATGTGTGAGTGTCCCGTGCATGGGAGAAGTGTGTGAAAATGTGTGTGTTGGTTCATGCAGGTATGAATGTGCATACATGCACCGTGTACACACGTGTGGTGTAAGGTTGGAGGGAGGTATGCAGCCCCACAGACTATATGAGAATAGAAGTGGGCTGGAAGCTTGGTCCTGGAGGAGGCCTGTGTTTGTGTTTTGGGGACAGTGACGCTTGCGAATGAAATTACTTTGGCCTGTGGGAACAGTGCTCTAAGGACCACTGTTTAAAACAAATTACCAAGATAAATGAGCTCTTTTTCTTATTTCTCCAAAAATCCAACCACAGAAAATGCTCAATATTTTCTTTCAAATGAAAGAAACTGACCACCCAATTCTAGATTACTGTTAATAAAAGTGTCTCTAAGCAAACCTTTTGCTCCTCAAAGCTTTTGTGTCCATTGTCCTGGGCCCTGTTCATCCGCTGCTCTGCATCCTGGGCATTCCTTCTCTCACTGTCTTTAGCACTGTCCATTCCGGTCCCAGAGGCAGTGGGGTCCAGCCTTCTGTCTGCACAGTGAAGGGGTTGCGTCCTAGAACTCTGAAATGTGGGGCCCCCTGGTTCACTGAGTCCCTGAGATTGGAGTTCTGTGGGGTCCAGCCTTCTGTCTGCACAGTGAAGGGGGTTGCATCCCAGAACTCTGGGGGTGTGAGGCCCCCCAGTTCGTTGAGTCCCTGATATCGGAGTTCCAGGCCAGGCAGAATTCTTGTCGGGGGACGCCTTCCATGTCTCGCCTCTCCCAGCCAGGGCAGCAAGAAGCCTGCCTTCCTTCCTGTTTTGGAAAAAGACTCATTCTACAGAACGTCTCCCAGAATATTCCCCTCCCCCACAAGCCTGTCTGTGCATGGGCTGGGTAGCATGTGGAAAGGCCTGGTTGCTGCTGCCGGCAGAGGGATGTGTGTTGTCCTAAGGTTCACCTTGCAGATGGCTCCAGTCTATCCAGGTCTCTGGTCTCCATGACCACCATCCTCACTTAGCCACCATCCCCTGGTTGGGGCTGCTCTGTTTACCCGCCATGGGCTCCTGGCAATCTCCAGCCCTTGCCAGGGAGATCTGTTTTAAAACGCAGACCCATTCAAGAGCCTGCCCTGCCTGGAACACCACCCAAGTGGAGGTGGCCTCCTCTAGCTCCTGGGATGAAGGCCACTGCCTCTGATTCCCGCAGGCTCTGCACAATCTGCTTGAGTGGCTTGACCAGCTTGGTGTCCTCTCCTGCCTGATCCAGAACTGCAAGGCCTTGTCCCCACTGCCCACTGGGGCTGACCAGGGCCAGGTGCTGCCATGCACGGAGCTGCTCCCTCCCCGTTGCCCACTGGGGCCAGGTGCTGCCATGCACGGAGCTGCTCCCTCCTGGCCGCCCACTGGGGCCAGGTGTTGCCATGCACGGAACTGCTCCCTCCCCGTCGCCCACCGGGGCTGGATGCTGCCATGCACGGAGCTGCTCCCTTAGCCTGGAGTGTCCTCGATGTCCTCAGGTCGGCCGCTGTTCGTTCTCTGACCGCTGGGTGAGGTCAGTGCCCTCTGTCAGGTGCTCTCGTGCCCTTTTTTGCAGCCTGTCCACAATTATAACCGAACCATCAGTGGTGAACATCTGTTGCCCCAGGATCCTGGAAGCTCTGGAGCATGGAGCCTGCAGTGTCTGCTTTTTCTGTGTGCGTGTCTCCCGGCTGTCCTGGCCTGGCCATGCAAGCAGGATGCAGGGCAGAGCTGTGGCTTCCCTGGGACGAGGGTGTGGGGCGGAGGCAGCCAAGCAGCAGGCATAGCACTGACCTGCTCCCAGAACAGGAAGGGGCTTTGCAAGGCTCAGGCAATGCTGGGGACAGAGATGATGAGCCTCGTTGATGAGAGCACCCAACGCTGCAGGGAAGACAGAGGGAGAAGGCACGAAGCCGTCATCGAGGAGCACCTGGGGGTTAGGCTTCCGCGCAGAGGCACGGGCAGTGTCTGTTTGCCGGAAGGGTTTATGATGTTGGATTGGCGGCATCCTTGGGCACGCACAGTAAGTTTGGCAGTTAAACACGTTAGCGGCTGTGCTTATGTGCGTGTATGAGTTAGCAGCTGTGCACGTGTTTCTGTATAAGGATTGACACGTACACATATATTTGCACACATGAGTGTTTTGATGGTGACAGTAGCCAAGGACGGGTGGACAGGGAGCCCACAGTTTTCATAGGCAAACCTGTTCTCATCTCCCATGATTTTCAGACAGCCCCCAATTTGAACTCAGTTGCCAGCAGTGAGACTTGGAATTAAGGTTGCGCATGGAATGCCCGTTCTGGACGAAGAGCAGGACCCTGGTTCTGAAAGTCTCGTGGATGGGCTCCATCACCCAAGGCCTCCTGCCTCCACTGCGGTGCGGTGATGCACTTCCAGCTGGGAGCTCAGCATGGCCCGCAGGGCTGCAGAGCTGGACGGGTCAGTCCGGGCTTCGACGATAGGGTCATGTCGACAGGCTGCAGGGCCATGGCACAGGAAACAGAGTCCGAAGTAGAAGAGAGTTCATGAGGAAACCCCAAGCAAGCTCAGATCCCAGGTGGGGTCCTGGCTGTGTCCCAAGAACACGAAGGCAGGAGTCCCGCAGAGGAGGGGCCTGAGGGTTACGGGCTCTGGGTGGTTTCTAGGGTGATTAAATGGTCGGCGGTGAGGCGACTTCAGTGTGCCACTTCCCGGGATTGTTTCAGAGGCCGCACTGCACGTCTGAGACGGTGGAGCTCAGCCTGGACTGGTGGGAGCTTTGGTTCTCTGGCTCCGGCACCCCTGCTGTGTAGATCACCCCTGGCGTCCCGACTCCGGAGTCTCATCGCACCTGATGCTTTCCTGATTGAGATTTGACTTTCCAGTCCTTTTCTCTAGTATGTTCATAGAGACCTTTTGGGGTCCTGCCTATTAGCCAAGTGACCCGGAAGAACAAAGCAATAGTTTCAAAATTCTGGCCACATAAAAATCAATTCTACCAGATGTATTTAGAAATTTCCTTAATTTTCTATTTCACTGCTAGGCACGTATCCATATTTGGGGGAATCCAGTATCCCCTTAAAATCAAGCAGGTAGCAGCGAACCTGGGCATGATCTGTGGGAGCTTCTGGGCTCCTTCCTTCTGGTCACAATCATCTTCAACAAGCCTTATTGCTGAGTATTTACTAGAATAAAGGACACCCACATCATGAAGTCCTTTAAATACGGAGATAAGGATGAATATCATTGTTGAAAAATGCATTGGATAAAAAATCATGAGATACCGATACACACCTATGACAGCAGCCAAACGCTGGAACATGGACGCCTCCAAGTGTCACCCAGCGCTGCCGAGGACGTGGGAACACGGACGCCACCCGGCGCTGCCGAGGACGCGGGAACACGGACGCCACCTGGCGCTGCTGAGGATGCGGGCGATGGGGGCGCCATCACAGCTGCTCGGAGTGAAAAATGGCACGGCCACCGTTAGGCTGATTGTCACTGTGGTGAGGACATGGGCGATGGGGGTGCCATCGCAGCTGCTGGGAGTGAAAAATGGCACGGCCACTGTTAGTCTGATTGTCACCATGGAGGACAGTTTGGCGGTTTCCTACAAAACTAAGCATACTCTTACCATATGAGCCAGCAGTCACTCGTGTTGGTCTTTACCCAAAAAAGTGGAAAATTAATATCTGCAAATACCCTGTGAGGGAGGCTGTGTGTGTGTGTGAGGGAGGCTGTGTGTGTACGAGGGAGGCTGTGTGTGTACGAGGGAGGCTGTGTGTGTACAAGGGAGGCTGTGTGTGTGAGGGAGGCTGTGTGTGTGTGTGAGGGAGACTATGTGAGTGTGTGTGAGGGAGGCTGTGTGTGTGTGTGAGGGAGACTGTGAGTGTGTGTGAGGGAGGCTGTGTGTGTGTATGAGGGAGGCTGTGTGAGTGTGTGTGAGGGAGGCTGTGTGTGTGTGAGGGAGGCTGTGTGTGTGTGAGGGAGGCTGTGTGTGTGTGTGAGGGAGGCTGTGTGTGTGTGAGGGAGGCTGTGTGTGTACGAGGGAGGCTGTGTACGAGGGAGGCTGTGTGTGTGAGGGAGGCTGTGTGTGTGTGTGAGGGAGACTGAGTGTGTGTGAGGGAGGCTGTGTGTGTACGAGGGAGGCTGTGTACAAGGGAGGCTGTGTGTGTGAGGGAGGCTGTGTGTGTGAGGGAGACTGTGAGTGTGTGTGAGGGAGGCTGTGTGTATGAGGGAGGCTGTGTGAGAGAGGCTGTGTGTGTGAGGGAGGCTGTGTGTGTGTGTGAGGGAGGCTGTGTGTGTGTGAGGGAGGCTGTGTGTGTACAAGGGAGGCTGTGTGCGTGTGTGAGGGAGGCTGTGTGCGTGTGTGAGGGAGACCGTGTGTGTGTGAGGGAGGCTGTGTGTGTGAGGGAGGCTGTGTGTGTGGGGGGAGGCTGTGTGAGTGTGAGGGAGGCTGTGCTTGTGTGTGAGGGAGGCTGTGTGCGTGTGTGAGGGAGGCTGTGTGTGTGTGTGTGTGGGAGGCTGTGTGTGTGTGTGGGAGGCTGTGTGTGTGTGTGCATGTGTGAGGATGCATGGAAAATATCCCTACTTTCCACTCAAGTTTGCAGTAATCTAAACTGCTCTAAAAATAAAGTCTATTAACAATGCACTGGGGATGGTGTCTGTGTCCACTGCATTCAGCACAGGGATAGTCTAAGGCAAAGAGAATCAATGGTTAGTTTATTTCAACTGTCAAGTAGCTAAAATTATTAGCTAAAACTGATTTTAAAAGCACAAACTATATTATGCATTATATTGTATATATTCTAAATAAATGTTTAAAAGAAAGTTTTCAAGAAAGTCTAATATAATTTTAAAATATATTTATGACATTGTATGCAAGAAACAAAATTTAAAGAATGAGGCTGTTATGCTTGAGAAATGCTTTGCTTGGAACGTTCCAAAATTGATAGGAATTGTCCTGGGCCATTTTTCTTTATGAAAAGCTGAATGATTTGATGAGGTTGCCTGGGAAGGGGATCCTCAGCTGCATGTTGCGAAGCGTTGGCTACTCACAGATGTGCTTCTCTTATATTTGGCACCAAATCACCAAGCCCTGTGTGCAGACACCCGGAGTGGCCGAGTGGGGCCCGGACCAGCCAGGCTCTGCCATGCCCTGAGCTGGCCACGCACGTCCACCCCGGGGGTGCATTTTCCAATGTGCGCAAGAGGCCGGGGAGCTGCAGGCAGCCGGCACCGTCACTGCTCTGGGGCCGGCCGAGAGCGCCTTCCTTCTGAGGGTGGGGAGTGCAGCTCGCGGGCTCTGCGGCTGAGTGGAGCCCTGGGCTTCTGAGCCTCCCTGGCCTCAGGGATCGGAAGAGGCCGCCGGCCCTGGCCTAGGATTAGGTGGTCACTGACTTGGGCCCCGCTTGGGGGTCCAGGAACCTGGCTTTTGGTTCTTCCTGGCCCGTGGCTCACTCCCTCCTCTGGGGCCCCAGGCCTTGGTCCTGAGGCCTAGGATTGTTCTGCATTGTGAGCACGGGAGCTGGGCCGTCTCGACGTGCTGCCCAGTTCCTGCTTGTTGCCTTTCTATTTTCAAGATATTTTCATTCGAAAAGCAGAGTAGGAACACTGGGTATGTTTGAAGTCGCTCCTTATTTTCCCTCTTTGCCCCTTTCTCCCTCCTCCCCCCTTTCCCACTCCTGCTTGCACTGAATGGTGCGTGTCTGAGGAAGGCAAAGGAGCGGGCACATCTGCCTGTGTTCCCGCCTGTGGTGCGGCCTGTCCATCACGGACGGTGGGGGGCGCCGGGCTCTGCAGACGCGTCCCCGAGAGCCCTCCGCCTTTGTGTGGCCTCGCAGGCATCTCGGGCCGGCTCTCGGACAGGAGGCGGCGCGGCCGGGCTGCACGGAGGGAAACGGCGCGGGCCTGGCGTCTCCTCCTTGCCATTGTCCGCCCGCCCGCGCAGCTGCCAGGCTGCCTCCCGGATTCCCTGGGCTTTGCAAAGTCCCATAGAAACCCGCAGGACGCTTGCAATACTCGAGGTTATTTTCTGCTAATCACCCGGCCCCGTCGTCGTGAGCATATATGCAATATCAGACCAGCAATTACCGTCAGCCTGGCCCTGGGCAAATGTGTTTCTGCTAATTACACTTGTTGCATTTGAATGGCTTTCTTCAGCCAAGCTGCACGGCGAAACCTAGTGAACAATAAAAGAGACCATTTCCCCTTCCGCCCCGCCCGAAGCTGCAGATGGCCGCCCTGTGTGGAAGCAGTAGCGCCTGAATTAACCTTTTGTGTGCACCAAAGAAGGTAATTTGAATGTTTGAAACCCCACAGGAAGCTTGTCTCAAAGTGAACAATTCGCCGAATAAAGACTAATTGGGGACTAAATTAATTAGAAGGTGTGGTTGGAAAGGATGTTGATGAGCAGAGTCTGCCATTTCAGACAAATGGAATCGAGCTAAATAAATTAGTCCCCATTAGTCCCACACCGTTCGCCAGCCCCGCGCCTCTCCTGCGCCGCCGGAAAGGAGCCCGGGAAGCCGTGCTTGCCTCCCACGCAGCCCAGGGAGAGGCGTCTCCGCCGATCCTTGTAGCTCCTGCAAAGTAATATTTATATTTCCTGGGTGTTCTGTTTTTCATCTGGAAAACTGGCCTGGAATGTTATTGACTTTGTTTTTTTGTTGTCACTGAGTTGTCAGAGGCAAGTTTTACATAAAAAATGTGAAATTACATAAAAGGAGGGCTCGGGGGGTATGGAGGAAAGTGGAGTGACAACATTGCAGCCACACTGGACTTTCTCTCCACCTTGGCATTTGTGTTTTCCGTGATGCTCGGTTTTTATCTCACAAACCAGCATCCTCCGGGTGCTCCCGGGTCCTAACAGCCCTCTGGTGACGCCGTGCTCCAAAACCTCACGGCGGCACATGATCAGAACGCATTGCAAGGACGTGTGTGACACCTTCCTGCTCTCTGAAAATGAAACGTCTCGTTCTGTCTTATCTCCTTCCCTTCTCACAGATGGAGTGTTTGGAAGGTGCCAGAAGGTTCCGGCAATGGACTTTTACCGCTACGAGGTGTCGCCCGTGGCCCTGCAGCGCCTGCGCGTGGCGTTGCAGAAGCTTTCCGGCACAGGTAGGGCGGGCGTGGGCCGAGGCTCGGCGGCTGCCGCACTGAGCGACCGCACGGGCTTGGCTTCTCCTCCTGGGCGGTGAGGAGCTGGGACGGACTGAATCCACGAGTGTGGTGGTGGAAGGGGCAGGTGGGAGCCGGGCGCTGGGCTCATGGGTGCTTCCTACTGGGATCGTCCGTTCCTGGGTTTGGAGGAGCCCAGGCCTGCTGCCTCCTGTGTCTGAGGGAGGAGATGCCAGGAGGCTGCAGTGGCCCGCAGCTGGGCCTGGCACAAAGTAGGCAGGCGTCGGCTGCTTATCTGGGCCTGGCTGGGTCCAGTGCAGGCGTGGCTCGGCCTGGAGAGAATCAGCCTCTGCCTGTCACTGTTGTGAAATTTTTGTTGCAGGTGGTCCCTGCAGGGGTGATGAGAAGATAATTTTTAAAATTATGATAATTTAAAAATTATATATGGCAACATGGTAGGACCAGGGAATTCCCACAGCACCGGCCCACTGCTGCGCTTCTTTGACTGTGAAGTGAGGGCTCTTGGTCAGAAGCAGTGCTGTGTGGACACCATGGTGATGGATAAGGCGTTCTGACTCCACGGAGGGTAGTTCTGGCAGGAGCACTGTGCGTAGGGAAGGGAAATCCACATCTGGAGTAAGCGTCTAGTCCAGCAAGGACCATTCCCCACCCCTTCCACAGGGGAAGCTGCCTGCGGAACCACCTGCCCCCCGGCGGCTGGCTGATCACCTCGGGGAATGATGTCATGTTGGGGACTCAGGGATGGTCTTTGTGGTGGCTGACTGGGGACTCAAGGGTGGCCACAGCAGGGCTGGCCTTGTTGAGTGGGAGCCCAGGCATCACCTCCAACTCTGCCACCGCGACCACCTTGTTCATGGGCCCATGGGGCAACGGCAGGGTGGCTGGGGAAAGAGGCTGACTGGTGTCCACAGAACAGGTCACCCTATCCACTTGGTTATTAAAATCCTCCTCTGCTGAGGTCACTCTTTGGAGAACATTCACACGGGACATTCATATCTTAGTACTTCATACCACTTCATAGACGTCTATCTAATATGTCTCTTCCCCAGTTGCCCTTGTCAACAATGTTTCCAACCATATTCTCTCCGAGTCCCTGGCCCTCCAGCCAAACCACTGGCCACAGCCCATTAATTCATAAGTAATCACACATCTGGCCGTTTCTCCTTCCAGGCGGAATCACCAGCCAGGTGCACTGCTGGAGATTCTGCTCACAGGAGGGTTTCCAATCACCTCTGTTCTTCAGGGGTCCCGGGTTCACCTCTGTCCTTCAGGGGTCCCGGGTTCACCTCTGTCCTTGAGGGCGTCCCGGGTTCACCTCTATCCTTCAGGGAGTCCTGGGTTCACCTCTGTCCTTCATGGGGTCCTGGGTTCACCTCTGTCCTTGAGGGCGTCCTGGGTTCACCTCTGTCCTTCAAGGGGTCCCGGGTTCACCTCTGTCCTTGAGGGCGTCCCGGGTTCACCTCTGTCCTTCAGGGGGTCCCGGGTTCACCTCTGTCCTTCAGGGGGTCCCGGGTTCACCTCTGTCCTTCAGGGGGTCCCGGGTTCACCTCTGTCCTTTAGGGGGTCCCGGGTTCACCTCTGTCCTTGAGGGCGTCCCGGGTTCACCTCTGTCCTTCAGGGGGTCCCGGGTTCACCTCTGTCCTTCAGGGGGTCCCGGGTTCACCTCTGTCCTTCAGGGGGTCCCGGGTTCACCTCTGTCCTTTAGGGGGTCCCGGGTTCACCTCTGTCCTTGAGGGCGTCCCGGGTTCACCTCTGTCCTTGAGGGCGTCCCGGGTTCACCTCTGTCCTTCAGGGGGTCCCGGGTTCACCTCTGTCCTTCAGGGGGTCCCGGGTTCACCTCTGTCCTTTAGGGGGTCCCGGGTTCACCTCTGTCCTTGAGGGCGTCCCGGGTTCACCTCTGTCCTTAAGGGGGTCCCGGGTTCACCTCTGTCCTACAGGGGTTCCGGGTTCACCTCTGTCCTTCAGGGGGTCCCAGCATGGGTGGTGTGTAGTGCTACACGTGTCTGCTTTTGGGTGGTGCCTGTGCATTACACAGAACCACCCACAAACAAAGCCCAAGTCACCTGAGCCCAAAGTCCATGGGGAACCCTCCACAAAGCCAAACTGCGGGTTGAGAGAAACGCGTGTGGCGGTGTGGGCCAGGGCGCCGGGCAGCTCCCTGATGCACACTCCAGGCCACACTGGACTCCTGAGCCCTTTCCCCACGGGAGCCTCCAGGGCGGCTTGGGCCCAGCTCCTGCTCCATATGTGCCACTGTCGTTTGGCGATGGGGTGCTGTGCGCAGGCCAGTGCCAGGCTTGGCAGGGCACGTAGATATGGGTATCAATGTAGATGACACAGACGGAATGCTGCCCACGCAGGGACAAACATGGAGCGAGCCATATTGAAGGAAGGTTGTGTAAATATTCAACTGTGTCACATTTTCTGAGTTTGCTTGTCTTGTGAGCCTTACTCTGTGTTTCACCCTTCACTTTATTATCTTGAGAAGAGGGAAAAGCCTCATTTAAGGAGCAAACAGATGAGCTTTTGCCACTCTGATGGCTGGACGTGCGAGTGGAGGCCAGGGGTCTTTCAATGAGAATGGGCGTGACTCTTTCAGAACTTCCCCTGAGCGTAATTTCAGCCCGGCTCTAGGTATGTATGTAGCTATCACCATGTGCTGGCAACTGGCACTGAACATCATCACGTTTCTGTGCTATCCTGTGCTGAGATGTGGCGGGGGCAGGGTGCCGGAGTTCACCTGAGCTCCCTTGTCATGGGAGCTAGTGCCACAAGGGCTCCGGGGCCCTGCCTGGGTGGGCGTCCTGGGATGAAATGAAACCAGAGAATGCACAAGACTCTCAGCCTGACAAACTAGAAAAAAACCAAGAAATTTAAGGTGAGTTTCAAAAGGAGGGATAGAAAAATATCTAGTGGCCCCGAATTCCCCAACAGAGATGAGTTTTCTCACCTATGATTTTAAAGCAATAGCTTTTTCTAGTTTGTCTCATATATCCATGAATTTAAATTACATGACAATAATCTAACCAAATAATGGCAAAAGGTAACTCCTAAGGAAAACCATCTCAGAGAAAATTAATATTGTGCCGAGTGTCAGGCTATGTCCACATTCCTGGCACCTGTTCTTGAGGATAAGAGCATCTTTATGGAGACGGAGTCCCAGGCAGCCCCACATGGGGATAGGGGGGTCCCAGGCAGCCCCATGTGGAGATGGGGGGTCGTAGGTATCCTTGCATAGAGACAGAGGTCCCAGGCAGCCCTGCATCTCCAGTCTTGCTCAGGCCCTGGCTGAGCGTCTGCCCAGGTGTATCAGAACTGCCCATGGCCTGGGCAGCTGGAGCCCTCTGCCCAGCTCCATCCCCAGGGACTGTGTGTCCTGGGCTGTTGGACTCTCTAGACAGTGAAAAGTCATCTTCTGCATTGTGGGGACACAGAATTGCTGACACCTTCCCAGCTGGTTCTGACACAGCTGTGGGGTGTGTCCTGGGGTGGGCATTTCCAGCAAACCCTGGGGATGACCCCGTGGCAGGAGGACGACCCTGTGGCAGGAGGCCTCTTTGGTTGCCAGGGCCATTGGTGTGTCTAGTCCAGGATGCAGGCTTCTGGAAGGTGGGCATGCTGCGAAGGCACACGTACCTGCACATGCATTCACATGCTCACGTGTAGACACAGACACATTTGCACACACACTTGCACACTCATACACATGCTCACATGTAGATACCCACACGCAGACAAACCTGCACACACATTCACGTGCTCATGTGTAGATACCCACACACGCACACACCTGCACACTCACCTGCACACACACATGCTCACATGTAGACATGCACACACGCACACACCCCTGCACACTCATTGACATGCTGACATGTAGACATCCCCACACATGCATGCACACCTGCACACACACATGCTCATGTGTAGACATCCACACACATGCACACACACCCATGCTCACGTGTAGGGGATATCTACACGTGAGCACGTGAATGAGTGTGCAGGTGTGTGTGCGTGTGTGGGTATCTACACATGAGCACGTGAATGAGTGTGCAGGTGTGTGTGTGTGGGTATCTATATGTGAGCACGTGAATGAGTGTGCAGGTGTGCATGCATGTGTGCAGGCAGGCACACATGCATGCACACTTGAAGGAAAGAATCTCAAATCCTGGTGTCTTCCTGAGTTTTGTCAGCCTCACATGGGGGGAGTGTTTGAGTAGGGAGGTTTTGCGTGTGGGTGTCTACACTGGAGCACATGTGTGTGCAGGTGTCTGTGCGTGTGTGTGGGTGTCTACACGTGAGCACGTGTGTGTACATGTGTGGGTATCCACGTGAGCATGTGAATGAGTGCGCAGGGGTGTGTGCATGTGTGTGTATGTCTACATGTGAGCATGTGAGTGCATGTACAGGTATGTGTGCATGTGTGCATGTGTGTGTGTCTACACCTGAGCACGTGAGTGCATGTGCAGATGTGTGTGGGTGTCTGTGTGAGCACATGTGTGTGCATGTGTGCGTGTCTACATGTGAGCACGTGAGTGCGTGTGCAGGTGTGTGTGCATGTGTGTGGGTGTCTGTGAGCACGTGTGTGTGCATGTGAGTGTCTACACATGAGCATGTGAGTGCATGTGCAGGTGTGTGTGCATGTGTGGCTGTCTACACGTGAGCACGTGTGTTTGCCTTGTGTGGGCGTCTACATGTGAGCATGTGAATGAGTGCACGTGTGTGTGTCTACATGTGAGCACGTGTGTGCATGTGTGTGTCTCTACACGTGAGCATGTGAATGTGCAGGTGTGTGTGCATGTGTGTGGGTGTCTACATGTGAGCACGTGAGTGCATGTACAGGTATGTGGGTGTCTACACGTGAGCACATGTGTGTGCAGGTGTGTGCGTGTGTGGGTGTCTACACGTGCAGGTGTGTGGGTGTCTACACATGAGCATGTGAGTGTGTGTGCAGGTGTGTGTGCATGTGTGTGGGTGTCTACACGTGAGCATGTTCATATGCAGGTTTTTCAGGATTCCAGAAATGATTCTGTCTTGGTAACTGCGCTTGAAACAGAGTTGATCCTGTGCTTCTGCCTGTCGTCTTCATCCAGGCCACTTCTTGCAGGTGCAGTTGTCAGATTCATTGACAGACAGCTGCTTGCGCGGCCTTCAGAGTCTTCTGCACGAAGAGGAGGGTAAATGGGAGTTAATTTCACAACCTTCTTCCTCCAGGTAGATGTGTACATCACAGAACAAAATACGTTCACTGTGTTTTTACCATTCTTGTCTACTACAGGCAGCATTATTTCATGGGCAGACACACTGCTCTCTCATGTATGATTTTTTTTTAAATACATTTCACTTTTTCTGACAAGCCATTAAAATTCAGCATTTAAATGTCACTCGTTGGCATGCAATTTGCTGTCATGAAAACGACTGTGGATTCATTTCCTGGTAAGAATCTTCTGACTTATTGAGCTGCATGTCAGAAGCAAAAAGCAAAAAAACCAAATATGTACATAAAACAGTGTTATCATTCCTTAAAAGAGAAGGAAAATAAATCCCTAAATAATGTGGACTGGAACACAGAAATCCAAGGCTGGCCGCACGGGTCCTGGCTGGGATGGCATCCGGGGAGCTGCTGCTGGGGACGTGCTTGCCGGCACAGGTCAGGGGAGCCGGGTTCTGCCTCCTCCTTGCCCACTCTATTTGCGCCCTCCCTGTGCTCGCCTGTCTTGTTTTACCTCCCATCCTGGGCCCTTGGAGCTTGGAGGCTTTCCTTCTTGCTGAGAGGAGCTGAGATCCACCCCCTACCCGACCTCCAGGCAGATGTGTGGTGTGGGGTTGGGGAGGGAGAACGTCTGGCTCACGTCTGGTGAGCACAGGTGGGTGTGTTGGAGTCACGCGTGGTGCTCACCCTCCGTGTGACTCGCGCTCTGTCAGGCTCAGGGCTCGCCCTCCGTGGGATTTGCGCTCTGTCCGGCTCAGGGCTCGCCCTCCGTGGGACTTGCGCTCTGTCCGGCTCAGGGCTCGCCCTCCGTGGGACTTGCGCTCTGTCCGGCTCAGGGCTTGCCCTCCGTGGGACTTGCGCTCTGTCCGGCTCAGGGCTCGCCCTCCGTGGGACTTGCGCTCTGTCCGGCTCAGGGCTCGCCCTCCGTGGGATTTGCGCTCTGTCTGGCTCAGGCTGCGCAGGGCAATGGAGGAACCTCCCGAGCAGGCCCAGTGGCTCCTTCCACCCAGCCCCCATCTCCGGCCGGCCATTTGTGAGGCCCTCTGCCACTGAGGTGCACTGTTTCCAATTCCTCATTCACAAGCTCTACCTTCCACAGGAGCCCAGAGCATGAACGCATTCGGCCATGGTCCTCACCACTCTGCGAGGAGCACAGCCTCTTCTCCACCGTCCGATAGTGTGTTCCTCCTTTCCCAGGCCTCACAGAATGCTCTGTCTGCATCCTCCCAGCATTCCATTCATGATGGCCGAGCTGTTCTCTAAGAGATACTGCTTTGTCTTCCTTTTGATCTCTCAACACAAGCACTTTTAAAAATTCATCCATGGCGAAGGAGGCTTGTTCCAGCACACACCTCAAGACTCAGCCTCAACAAGTTTCCCAGACCCAAAGTTGCTTCTGCATTTTTAGGAATTTGTCACAGCCGTGCTGCTACTTCCCGGTGCCAATTTTTCTCTTGTTCGAGTTGCTGTCACAAAAATCACATGGCGTGGGTGGCTGAAACAGCAAACATTGATTTCTCAGAGCTCTGGAGGCTCCCCCATATTTGGTGTCTGGTGGTGGGTGGCTTCCTGGTTCATGGGTGGCATCTTCCCCCCGTGTCCTCATGTGGCAGACGGGGCAAGGGAGCGCTCTGGGATCTCTTTCGTATGGACACTAATCCCACCTGCATGGGCGCCGTCTTCATGACCTAATTACCCCCAAAGCCTTCACCTCCTAATGCTGTCACACTGGGGATCAGAATTCCAGCACGTACGTTTGGGGAGGATGTCAACATTCAGTCTGTATCATAGCATGTGTATTCTATGACCATAGTGTATCTCATTGGTTAGTTTTTATATTTGAACTAATCTTATATTCCTGGGATAAGTCTTACTTGACCATGCTGTATAATTCTTTTTATATGTTTCTGGATTTAGTATCTTAGTGTTTCGTTGAGAATTTTTATGTCCGTATTTATAAAGGATATCTCTTAATCTTTTGATATCTTTGGTTTTGGTATTATAGTAATACATAACTTGTCAAATGCATTAGTCAGGGTTCTCTAGAAGGACAGAACTAATAGGATAGATGTGTATATAAAGGGGAGTATTTTAAGGAGTATTGACTCACGATCACAGGGTGAGGTCCCATAATAGGCCCTGAGGAGCAAGGAAGCCAGTCTGAGTCCTAAAGCTGAATAACTTGAGGTCCGAGGTTCGAAGGCAGGAAGCATCCCGCAGGGGAGTAGCGTGTAGGCTGGAAGACTAAACTACTTTTGTGTTCTTCTGCCTGCTTTTATTCTGGCCATGCTGGAAGCTGATTAGATGGTGCCCACCCAGACTGAGGGTGGGTCTGCCTCTCCCAGTCCACTGACTCAAATGTGAATCTCCTTTGGAAATGCCCTCACAGACACACCCAGGATCAATACTTTGCATCCTTCAATCCCATCAGGTTGACACTCAATATTAACCATCACATCAAGTTAATTGAAGAGTATTCTTTCTTTATTTTTTTTGGAAGACTGTGAAAGAATGATGTTAATTCTTCCTTAAACATTTGAAGTGAAGCTATTGCAAATGGAAGCCATCTGACCATGGGCTTTTCTTTATGAGGTTTTAAATTACTCATTGAATTTCCTTAATTATTATAGGCATATTCAAATTTTCTATTTCTTCTTGAGTCAGCTTCAGTAGTTCATGTCTTCATAGGAATTTGTCAATTTCACCTAGATTATCTAGTTTGTTGGCATATGATTACTTATAGTATTTCTGTATAGTCCTTGTAATTTTTATGTCTGTAAGATCAGTAATAATGTCTTTTCATTCCTGATTATTTTTTGAGTTGCTTTCTTAGTGTTTGCTAGAAGATTAATATTATTTAATTTTATTAACACCAAGTTAATATTAATTTAATTATTAATTCAAATTAACATTAAGATCTTTATAATAATCTAGTTGAATTAATACCAACTTAATTTTCAAACACTCTCTGTCATTTTTTCTCTTTCCCTCCTTTGTGCTGTTATTGTCATGAAAATTATATCTTTATAGATTGTATGTTTATCAACATGGATTTATAATTATTGCTTTATGCAGGTTTTTTAAAGAAAATTAGGAGAAAATAAATGTTACATACTCAAATATTTGTTCTGTCTTTCATATTTACTAAATAATGACCTTTACTGGTGCTGTTTATTTCTTCATCTGGATACAACTCACTGTCTAATGTCCTTTCATTTTTGCCTAAAGTACTCCATTTAGAACTTGCTAGGGAAGGGTTGTTGGAAAAAATTCTCTTTGTTTTTTGTTTGGGAATGTATTGATTTCTCCTTTAGTTTTGAAGGATCGATTTTCTGAATATAGAATTCTTGGTTGATAGACTTTTTTCTTTTAGGACTTTGAATATATCATTCCACTGCCTCTTGGCCTTCATAGTCTCAGATGAGAAATTAGTTGTTAATATTATTGAGGATCATTGCCTATTTTCTGTTGCTTATCACAGAATATCTGAAACTGGGTAATTTATAAAGAAAAGGAATTTATTTATTACAGGTATCTGGGCTGAGAAGTTCAAGGTTGAGGGGCAGAATCAGGTAAGGGTCTTCTTGCTGTTGGGGACTCTCTGCAGAGTCCTGAGGTGGCACAGGGTATCACATGATGAGGAGGCTGAGCATGCTAGTGTGCTAGCTCAGGTCTCCCTTCCTCTTCTTAGAAAGTCACCAGGTCCCCTCTTGTGATAACCCACATGAATTAATTCATTAATTCATGAGTGGATTAATCCATTCATGAGGGCAGAGCCCTCATGACCCAGTTTCCTCCTCCCTCCTGATACTCCCAAATTAGGGATTAAACTTCAACATGAGTTTTGGAGGGGACAAATATCTAGTCCATAACATGTGTGACAAGTTGCTTCTCTCTTACTGCTTTCATTAGATTTACTTTGTCTTTGGGTTTTGAAGGTCTGATTTTGATGTATCTAGGTGTGGCTGTCTTAGAGTTTATTCTACTTGGAGTTCATTGAGTGTCTTAGATATGTAGATTCATGTTTTCCATCTAGTTTTGGGAATTTTGGGTCATTATTTCTTCAAATATTCTTTCTACCTCATTCTTCCTCTCCTACATCTGGGACTTCCTTTACGTGTATCTCAGTACATTGGATGGTCTCTCACAGGTTTCTAATTTTTTATTATTCTTTTTTTTTCTGTTCCTCAGACTGGATAATTTCAGTTGACCTATCCTGAAGTTTGCTGATTCTTTCTTCTGCTGCTAAGATCTGCTGTTGAGCTGCTGTACTGAATTTTTCAATTATTTTTGAAATATAATTTCTATCTTTTTATTCATATTCTCTATTTGATGAGACACTATTTTCCTACTTTTATTTAGCTCTTTAGACATTGTTCTTACAGTTTTTGGAGCACATTAAAAATAGCTCATTTAGTCTGGGCACAGTGGCTCATGCCTATAATCCCAGCACTTTGGGAGGCCGAGGCGGGTGGATCACTTGAGGTCAGGAGTTCAAGACTAGTCTGCCCAACATGGTGAAACCCCGTCTCTACTAAAAATACAAAAATTAGCTGGGCATGGTGGTGCATGCCTGTAATCCCAGTTACTTGGGAGGCTGAGGCAGGGGAATCAATTGAACTTGGGAGGCAGAAGTTGCAGTAGGCTGGGATCACACCACTGCACTCCAGCCTGGATGACAGAGCAAGACTCTGTCTAAAAAAAAAAAAAAAAAAAAAAAAAAAAAACAAAAAACAGCTCATTTAAAGTCTTTGTCTTGTAAGCCATTTGGCTTCCCCAAGAACAGCTTCTATTGTTTTCCTGTGGAAGAGGCACATTTGCATGTTTCTTTGAATGCCTCAAAAATTTTTAGTAAAACTCAATATTTTAAATAACATAGTGTGGCAACTTTGAAAACCAGAATTTCCCTCTCCTTAGGTGTTGTTGTTGTTGTTGTTGCTGTTTATTGTTGTTTGCTTGCTTAGTGACTATTCTGAACTAATTCTGTAAAGTTTGTGTTTTTTCATCATGTGTGGCCACCAAGTCTCTGCTCAGTTTGGTTAGTGGTCAGATGACCAGACAGATTGCCTTAAATGCCTAGAAACAAGCCTCAGTCTCTGCTGAGGGTTCTGTGTGAGTGTGGGGCATACCTTCAGCCATCAGACAGGCAGTTCACAGCTCTGTTGTAGCCTTCACTTCATGCTGGCCCAGAGCCTCTACATCAGCCAGTGGTGAGAGCTTAGAGCCTCATGTCTTCCCTGAGTGTGCACAGCCTGGGCAGGCACACAGCCCTCCATGTGTTGTGGCCATCCATATTCCAAGGATCGTGTCAGAGCTTTGCAAAGCACCTGTGCACATCTCATTTTCCAGCTTTTCCTTCAAGCTTTCTGGTTAGCCTATTGTTTGTCCCAACCATTATCCTCTACCTCAGGTGGCTGGTAAGTAAAACATTGTCTCTAAATGTTTTCAACAAATGCCCCCAGGGAAAGACTTTTCACATATGTGAGCTTTGAGTTGGATGAAATAAAGACAGCCTTTCCAGTGGGTCCTCCAGGGAACAACCAGACAGGTCAAGTAGTGACAATTCTCTGGGAATGGGGCTTTGAAGGCACTCTAACCCCACCCTGTGCTTTCTGGTGGCTTCCAGGCTGTTGGTTTTTACTGCCATTGTGGGCTGCTCATTTTCAAGCCTGTGGCAGAGCTGAGGAGAGGGAGCTGGAAATAGGGTGAGTTAAGATGCCAGGAAGTTCGCTGTTCTTGCTGAGATTCAGCCATTTCTTTCTTTTTCTTTCTTTCTTTTTTTTTTTTTTTGAGTAAATTGCTCTGATTTCTGCTAGCCTTTAGTTAATTTCCAGAGTTCTGTAAAAGTTGATTCTGATATTTTTGGGTGGTTTTCTCATTGCTTTTATGAAGGAGGGAATGTTTAAGGTTCTTTGCCATTTTCACTGATGTCTACAGCTACTTCCTAAGGCTGCTTTTCTCTGGTCCTCTCCTCAACGTTCATCTGGACATCGCCTTGGGGATCACTAGCTGGGGACAGCTTCACTTCAGTTTGATTTAAGTGTGATCTTGGTTTGTTGATTTCCTTGTCTAGTTGCTCCGTCTGTTTTATGTGGGAATTGGGGAATACCCAAAAACAATGCTGCCATGGCCACATCCATCTTTTTTTCTCTTTCTCTCTCCACCTCCCTCCACCACTGTCTCCCTCCCTCCCTCTCTCCCTCTATCTTTAGCTCTATGTTTTGTCTAATATAAAAATGAATCCCTATTTTTTCTGTTGTCCTTTCCTTGTTAAAAATATCCGTTGGATTCCTCTGCACTGAAGGAAAGAAGCCACTCTTGGCTTTAGAGTATAAACCAAAAATAAAATTCTAAGTCCCCCAGCCAGCTGAATGGACCCTTCCTCTTGGCCAAGGGCACTCTAAAGTAAACCTGAAACACTAGTTCAGGCCATGATGGGAAGGGGTGTTTGGACACACCTTATCCTACCCTCCTCCCTTGGTGTCCAGGCACAGCTGACCAGCGTTAACATTGGAACAGAGGCGTGAAGACAGACAAAGCAGACCTTTTGCAGCTATAAGGTACCAACATGGCAGATTGCAGGCCCTGAAAGAAATGGAAGTATTTTACCCCAAAATATATTTCTGCGATATATTTAAATGGCTTGCAAAGCTGTCTCTCCTGGGAAATGTCTACATTCTGTAGAGAATCCCTTTTCCTTTCCAGGTCTTTTCCCTGATCCAAGAGGGAATTAATTAAGAGTCTGGCACCTTTTCAAGTCTGATAAACATTGACCATCTATTCTCTCTGAAGCCTGCAACCTGGAGGCTTCATCTGCATAATAAAAACCTTGGTCTCCACAGTCCCTTATCTTAACCCAGACACTCTTTCTACCGATTCCCAGTCCTTAGATAAACTCAACCAATTGCCATTCAGAAATCTTTGAATTCACCTATGCCCTGGAAGACCCTGCTTAGTGTTTTCCCATCTTTCTGGACCAAGCCTGTGTACATCTTAGGGTATTGATGGGTGTCTTATGCCTCTCTAGCATGTAGAAATCCAAGCCTGTGTACGTCTTAGCCTATTGACGGGTGTCTTATGCCTCCCTAGAATGTAGAAATCCAAGCCTGTGTACATCTTAGTGTATTGACGGGTGTCTTATGCCTCCCTAGCATGTAGAAATCCAAGCCTGTGTACGTCTTAGCATATTGACGGATGTCTTATGCCTCCCTAGAATGTAGAAATCCAAGCCTGTGTACATCTTAGCATATTGACGGGTGTCTGATGCCTCCCTAGCATGTAGAAATCCAAGCCTGTGTACATCTTAGTGTATTGACGGGTGTTTTATGCCTCCCTAGCATGTAGAAATCCAAGCCTGTGTACGTCTTATGTGTATTGATGGATGTCTTATGCCTCCCTAGCATGTAGAAATCCAAGCCTGTGTACATCTTATGTGTATTGATGGATGTCTTATGCCTCCCTAGCATGTAGAAATCCAAGCCTGTGTACATCTTATGTGTATTGATGGGTGTCTTATGCCTCCCTAGCATGTAGAAATCCAAGCCTGTGCACATCTTAGTGTATTGTTGGATGTCTTATGCCTCCCTAGTGTGTAGAAATCCAAGCTGAAGCCCATCCACCTTGGGCACATGATCTTAGGCTCTCCTGGGGCTGTGGCCTGGGCCATTGGTCACCCACATGTGGCTCAGAATACATTTCTTCAAATAGTTTTCAGAGTTTGACCCTCTTCATCAACAGGAGCAGTAGTTGTCAGCCCTGACGTTATATTAAAATAACTTGGGAGCCTCGGAAACCATGGTGTCTGGGGCTTACCCTTCAAAGATTCTGAATTGATTTGTCTCATATGAGGCCTGCCATCAGCATCTCCTAAAAATTCTCCAGGTGATTTCAGTGTCTTCATATTTATTTTCTTCCATGAATAAAATGGGACTAACACTCTCTGAAGCTTGTTTTATATACCAACAATATGAATGGCTTTCTTCTTATTCCTGTCTTAAATTTTTATCCAGCTGTTTTAAGGTTTACACATTGCAAGCTTAATGACATTTTAATCCTGTATGGTAAATTAGTATAATGCATTTTGTTAAAATTTTCATAGAATAATGGAGAAGGGAATACTGGATATAGTATAGAGCAGTAAAATTTTAACAGTAGTTTTAACTTACAGAATTCTACTGGTGCTTTCCTTTTGCTGTAGGGAAGTTACATCTCTTTATTTAGCAGATTAAAGAGACGGAATCACAGAGGGATTACAGGGTGTTCCTGGGGTCCTTCGGCTGGTGTGGAATGGAGAGCGGAATTCCAAACTCCCAGCAGCAGAGTGCAGAGCCGTGATTTTTAAAATGTTGTTCTCAGGATCACATCCTATTATTGAAAATTACTGAAGACTCCAAAGAATTTTTTTTTTTTTTTTTGGTGGGTTAGTGCTATCCACATTTGTTACCTTAGAAATTAAAATTGCCAACACTTTAGAAAAGCTGTTTATTAATTCACTTTAAAATAAATCATAAAATTATTTCATTATAAACACAGTAGCTATATTTTCCAAAACATAAAAAAGTGCTAAGTGTGACATTTTTGTTTTACATTTTTACATTCTTGTTTCACGCTTTTGCATATCTCATTGTTTCATTTAACAGAAAACACTTGGATTCTCATCTCTGCCTCCCACTCATTCTGTGTCATTTCCTGCCACATAGCCTCTGGACTGTTCCAAGTTCTCTCATAAAAGAGTACACGTGAGAAAGGCAAAGTATGTCTTAGTATTTTATGAAAATAGTTTTGGCCTCATGGACCACTTGAAAGAGCTTAGGGGCCTCTTACAGTTGCAGGCTGTGCTCTGAGCATTGATTGTGGAGAGACAACAGGGTGGCCTTGGAGTCCGGATGGAGTTTAAGTTCCAGCTGCGGCACGTGTGAGTCGTGCCATCTTACGCACATCACGTAACTGCCCTGTTTTGGTTGTTTATCGTGAAACGAGGGTGGTCCTACATGCCCTAGGTTGAATGTGCTGGGACCAAACTCTGAGACAGAGATTTGCATGCAGTCGGTGACTGGGGGTGATCTGGGGTAACCCCCGTACAGGTGAGGGAAGCTGAATTGGGCAGAGGGAGAAGGTGAGCTGGAATGCAGTTTAAGAGGACCGAGCTGATCCTGTGAGGTGCTCTGCAGCCGGAGCTGGGGTTCCCCTTCAGGGTTGACCCAACCAAGGCTGGGGGCTAGGCCTTTGTGTCCCACATGAGGGATCACTGATGGTGGTTCACCTCCAGGGAGCAAGAGACTGTAACTTAGGGAGTGGCTGTTCCCTTGGGCTCAGGTGGTGATGGGGAGGGATTCAGCGGCTAACCCCTAGCCCTCAACAGCTGGTGTCTGGGGAGAGGATGCAGAGTCCCCAGGAAGCAGCAGTGTGGCTGTCACAGTACCCACCACCCTGAATGTCATCATTTCTCAGGTGTGTATTGTTTTCCCATCACTGAAATTAGGAGGCATCTTTTATAAATAGCACATCATAGTTTAACTGCCAGCGGGTTTGTTTTTCCTTAGCAGTACTAGAGTAATGGTCTGTCTTGCAATCAATAGCTTCCTAGATTGGAGGAGGTCATACCATCTCATGGGACAGGGGATTGCTTTTTTTGAGACAGGCTCTTACTCTATTGCCCAGGCTGGAATACAGCGGCACAATCTCGGCTTACTGCAACCTCTGCCTCCTGGACTCAAGTGATCCTCCCACCTCAGCCTCCCAAGTAGTTGAAACTACAGGTGCAAACCACCATGCCCAGCTAATTTTCGTATTTTTTGGCAGAGATGGGGTTTTGCCATGTTGCCCAGGCTGGTCTCAAACTCCTGGGCTCAAGCAATGCACCTGCCTTGGCCTCCCAAAGTTCTGGGATTATAGGAATGGGCCACCACGCCCAGCAAATGGGATTGTTCTTAAGATTAATTTAGATGGTGCCACTCATTAAATCCTCAGGAAGTGTGAATGCACTTTGCTTATCAGTACTAAGTGTGGTAGAAGCTTCCCTAATGATGTTGAAGGTTCACATAACTCAAACCAGCAAGAGCTGGGGAGTGGTGTGTAGGTTAACCGGGAAGCTGATAAATACAGAGCATTCTGCTAAGCACCTCGGGAGCTAAGACGATGACTCAGAATTGGGAGTTCTAGTTAGCTGCTTGGGAATTCTGAATAAATACATCTGTTCAGCTTCTTACAATTGAGCGCATATTAATGCAAACAGATCAGAACAGGGAGGAGGGGAGTGTGTCAGGAGCCGTTAACACAGAGCCTCGGGACAGCTGAGTTGGTCGTGGTTCGTCTGTGTTCATGCCCTGCAATGCTGTCTGTTTAATTTGCACGGCCCGTGCAAAGTGCAAATACAGGTCCTTAGTTCAGAAATCAAGGAAAAGTGCCCCTAAAGGAACTAGTTATAGTATAAGATGTTTCCTTTCACAATCTCCGTCTTGACTTGTCATGGGATTTTTATTTGCTATTCAGCATCATTCTAAAAACATTAAGATTTTTGAATTATTAACATGAAGGTTACCATTCATCTGTATATCGTGCGTTGCTGGTTTCAAATGCAAATGAAAGAACATTTAATTCACATGCAGAATCTGAACAACTACATAGTTCATCTGTCACAGCTCAAACATGCATATGTATTTCATTCTCATTACAGCGGTGGAAATGCTGTGTGAAACTCACTCGGCTGTGTTTATTTCCCTTCATGAAACAGCCCCTGTCCACCGAGATTCTCCACCTTTGCTCACACATGAGAAGGACTGTGGGCTGCCCACCTCCCCTCCCTCCACACGGCCACGTTCAGCATAAATGGTGGCTTATGTGGGAAAGCAATGTGAGTGGGAGAGAGGGTGGGACCCTTGGTCGTTTGTGTTTCTTAGAACACTGTTGCACTTTGTGGTTTGCAGCAAGCTCTGGGTAAGCAGAGGAGTGGCCTCTTAGGGCCACATGAGCACAGACAGACACGTGGGGGGCGAGGCGCTGCGGGACTGGGTGGCGGGCGAGGCGCTGTGGGCGTGCAGATTGGGGTGTCTTCTCTGCAGGTGCGCGCACCACGTCGCCTCATGGGATGTCTCACACAAAATATAGGTTGGGAGATAAAATCTTTGAGAATTTCAAGACAGCAACAGCAGCGTGTCAAAGCAAATGAGAAATTTTTCTGCACACAGGCCCCTGGCGACTACCTAGGTCCATGCTCCCGTGAGGCTGCCCACCTTCCAACCCTAGCCGTCGGATCAGACGATACGAGGGGACCTTTGGCCGTTTGCTTTATGGCCTTGACTCCAAGGGCTAGGGGTAGAGCCTGACTGTCACCATTGGGAAATGCCACAGTGGGCCCATCCCTCATAATTACAATCATTTCCGCATTTGTTTCTATGAAATGGACTTCAGTTAAGAAACTTTGCTTCTTCATTGACCCATATCATCATTTCAGAGGCATTCTCTGTGGTTCAAAGTGACATAAATTGCTTGCTGCCAAAACATCCTAGGTTTCTACAAAGTAAACAAATATTTTCAACTGTCAGACAGTGGGAAAAATGTGTTTCTTGGGAGGAAATGGTGCTCGTTTTGCCTGCTCTGACCCCATGAACCATTCAGTGGTGTTAACCGGAAAAGGCCTTTCCAGAACCTGCCCCTGAGCTGCTAATACTGTCCAAGGGCCTTTCAGGGACGTTCTCCTCCCAGACCAAGGTGCTCATTTTGCTGGGTTCTGGGGTAAAGACCCAACCCCAGCAAGCACCTGCCAGGGCTTCCCTGGGGGGCCTGGGAACCGCCAACTGCTCTGCCACTTCCTGAGGGAGGTGAGGGAGCTCTGTGGCAGTGAAGGATGAATGCAGCCAGCAGCTCTAGGACTGAGGAATCCATGTCTGCTGAAAACTGTCAGAGAGGTGAGAAGCTCATTTACAGCTCTCAGAAGGCCCTGGCTATCTGTCTTTGCCATGTTAATGAGCTAAAAAAAATTGCTTCCTGGTCAGGCGTGGTGGCTCACACATGTAATCCCAGCACTCTGGGAGGCTGAGGCCAGCGGATCAAGAGGTCAGGAGTTTACGACCAGCCTGGCCAACATGGTGAAACCCCATCTCTACTAAAAATACAAAAATTAGCCGGATGTGGTGGCATGCACCTGTAGTCCCAGCTACTCCTGAGGCTGAGGCAGGAGAATTGCTTGAACCTGGGAGGCAGAGGTTGCAGTGAGCCAAGACCATGCCATTGCACTCCAGCCTGGGCAACAGAGTGAGACTCCATCTCAAAAAAAAAAAAAAATTGCTTCCTGAGAGCCCTGCGTGCATCTGCAGAAAGGTGGGAAGGACAGACTTGCATGGCAGTTTCCCCAGGGCAGCCCAGGTCTGCAAGCTATTCAGTAACCACTGAGATTTGTCTCGGGAATATGCCAGTCTTGGGTGGGATAAAAAGCATTGATTAGTGTCAAAACTTCCCCTCCAGTTTGAATTTAATAATGCACTGACATCATCGCTCACCAGACTGCTGTGACGTTCTGTCCATTAGTGTCTGCAGGGAGGTCATGAACATCCTGCTGGATTTGAAAACGGGCTGAGCTGCACCCTCCTTCCTGTGCGGTTCCCTGAAGGCCCCTCCCAGGACAATCGGCAGTGGCTGTCAGGGCCACAGAGGCATCGTGTTCCTGTGGCTCAGGAGGTATTTGGGTGCTGGCCCAGGAAGAAGTGATGACATGAATTTTACCCCTGGGTCTGGGCTGTGCTGTTTTTACTTTTTTGAAGGTGGGAGGTCCTTGGACCCAGGGGCTCAGCAGGAAGAGGAGAGAGGACAGGCAACCCCAGGAGGTGCTTGGAGGTGACATTGTGGGGCCTGATTTCCTCCTGATGTGCCCGAGCACAACTTTGGCACATCCTGCTGGGCCCTTGCGCCCTCCTCCAATCTGAAGCCTCACAGCTTTTTCACTTGGGAAGTTTCTCGGCCATTCCTTCAGAGGTGGCCTCCCCCGCAAGCTCTTCATTCTTTTCTTCCAGATTCACGGCACATAAACTTTGTTATGTGCACAAAATTATTAAAAATTACATAACATTACCTTCAGGCCTTCTATATAAGGTATAAGGAAACACAAGTAATTTCATGTTTCGACTTGGGTCCTGTCCCCAAGATATTTCATTATGTACATGCAAATATTCCAGAATAAATCCAAACATATCTGAAATCCAAAGCACTTCTAGTCCCAAACATTTCAGATGAGGGATATTCAACCTGTGTCATATTATTTTATTCCTTTTTGTGTGCCTGAAACGTTTCATAATAAGAATAAAAGGACGAACAAAGCAAGCAAAAGACATTAAAAAGAAGAAAATAATGAAGACAAGAGCAGAAAATACTGAAATAGGTACGAAGAAATGAGGGCAAGCATCAAGAACACAAACAGCAGAAATATCTCTGGGTCTTTGAAAAGACTTACAGAGCTCTTTTTACCGACAATGACAAAAAAGGGCATAAGTACACAATTAATGAGAGGAAAAAGGGAATTCCACCATAGGTAAATTGAATTCAAGAATCGTAGGAAAACACTACTAATGACTTTGTTCTAAGAAATTTGAAAAGGCAATTAGAAAAAAAACCTGTAAGTTGATAAAAGTGACTCAAAAAGTAAAGAAAACTTGAGTTAGTCTATATTCATTAAAACATGCATTCCTTAAATTTTCAGTCAACTTGTTTTGTAACTTCAGTAAGAGTAGTCCACATTCACAATAGGAAATTCATTCTGTCCACAAACCATCCTATTGTGATATTCTCCAAAATATATGTGGAGAGGTGAGGGAACAGCATAACTGGGGTATGTGGTTAGGTAGGATGGGGGTTAGTTATTTTAAACATAGGCACGTGTGGTGTGCACCTGTAGCACTCTTAACCTCTAAACATTGGCCATTCTCTGTTTTACAAGAAACCTGATTATATTTTTTACTAAGTCCATATTTCTTTGGGACCTGTCCTTAATGACTCTGAAAGACCCCTCCTTACTGCTGGGTTTTGTAGTCAAAGGAGAAATGAGGGCTGTACGTGAAGACCCTTCCCAAGACAAGATGCTTCTGTGTCTGATGAAGAATGAAGCCTCAAGTCAAGCTCACCAGGTCATGGGCTGAGGGTTGCTGAACCACAAGGAGATACCGTATCACAAATGAACGGACTTTGCAGTGTCATCACTGTGGCTCCAGGGGCGTCTTCCCTTCCCAAAGGGTTTCTGGCAGATCCCTTTGAACAGAGAGTTTCTCTGGTACATTTCAGAATAGGTTCCCAGATTGTTAACACCAGGACAGAACGGCTGAAAGCCAGAGAGTTAGCAGCTCTCTCTGAATGATGATCAATCTGAAATGAAGAGAAAGTCATTCTGTAGCTAGGAAACATGATCAGTTTTTAAAAGCTTATGCCCAGCCATTGGCAGAAGCTGTATATGTGCTGTGCTGGTCCCTCCGGGACTGGATCCTGAGAGCTCCCAGGATTTTCACCGTTACCGCTTCAGAAGCAGAGGAACTAGTAAGGCGCACGTTTGTGTTTGGATGGAATGCTATCCATGGACATTCCAAATGTTGCCCCCGGCCACATCTGCTGGTCTCTCCTGCCCCACCACCCCAACTGCTCCACCACCCAAGCTCCACCTCCCTTAGAGTTCCCTGAGTGCCGGGCGTGTCCACCTGTGGTCTTCCCATGGTCTTCCTGTGGGCCAGGTGGCCATGTGCCTCTGTGACCACAGCCTACATGCTTGGCTCCATCTGCTGCCTCAGAAAGGCCAACTGCCACCCAGAAGAGAGTGGGTCAGGAGGGTTGAGATGAAGTGAAACAGGAAAAGTTCCCTTATTCCCCTCACAGGGCGTGCGATGGAGGAGTGGGTTGCTTCTTCAGTGCCCCACTGCTCCCACCTGCAGGGGAGCATACAGACGGGCAGGCTGTGGGCTCAGACCCCACGGCCGTGTCTAGGGGTGAATGCTTACAGCTCCTAAAGCCCCAGTGGGCGTGTGTTACAGGGTGCTTTTTTAGTTTCGCCGTCTGTGGGCGGCTTGTGTTAACCAGCTCAATTAGACCCTCTGCCTTATTGCAAGGACAGGGGGCTTTCTGTGTCCTGGAGTTTCTTGCCTTGGTGTACTGGAAGAATCAGATCGCACATGGGCTTGGAGAATGAGCGCAAGGTTTTATAGAGTGGAAGTAACTCTCAGCAGGAGCCAGAGGGAGATGGACTGGGAAGGCAGTTTTCCCCTGGAGTCGGGCCGCTCAGCAGCCAGGCTCTCCTCCAACTACCTAGTCTGCTGGTGCCTGTCAGTGAGTTCTTCTGCCGGTGTGCTCCTCTTGACATCCAGCCCTTGTGTCTTTGCCCACTAGGGTCTTGGGGAGCTGCTTGTGTCTCTGCCTGCTAGGGTCTCAGGGTTTTTATAGGCACAGGATAGAGGCATGGTGGACCAGGGTGGTCTTGGGAAATGCAACATTTGGGCACAAAAACAAAAATGCCTGTCCTCGCCTAGGCCCATGGGAAAGGTCCAGGGGTAGAGCCCTTGCCAGAGACCCGCCCTTCTCCACCCAGCACTTCCCTGCCCATCTCCCATATCAGAAGCAATCCAAACTCATCTTTCTGTTTATTTAACTAAGCAACCATCTCAGACAAGGTGCCTGATGATGTGAAAATGAAAAGTGAGAAAATGAGGATTCGACAGCTCACCTCAGCTGCTAGTGCACAACTGGGTGCTATGGAGATGTGGGGCAGCATCTGGGCAGACAGGCAGGGTCAGCGGGCGCCGTGGGCTTGGACCCTCAGAAAGGCGGGTGAACCGTGCGGATGGAGAGTGGTGCAGTGTTTGGGCAGACAGGCAGGGTCAGCAGGCACCGTGGGCTTAGACCCTCAGAAAGGCAGGTGAACCACGATGTGGTGCAGTGTCTGGGCAGACAGGCAGGGTCAGCGGGCCCCATGGGCTTAGACCCTCATAAAGATGGGTGAACCACGCACATGGAGAGTGGTGCAGTGTCTGGGCAGACAGGCAGGGTCAGCGAGCTCCATGGGCTTAGACCCTCGGAAAGGTGGGTGAACCACGCGCATGGAGAGTGGTGCAGTGTCTGGGCAGACAGGCAGGGTCAGCGGGCTCCATGGGCTTAGACCCTCGGAAAGGTGGGTGAACCACGCGCATGGAGAGTGGTGCAGTGTCTGGGCAGGCAGGCAGGGTCAGCGGGCCCCATGGGCCTAGACCCTCAGAAAGGCGGGTGAACCACAATGTGGTTCAGTGTCTGGGCAGACAGGCAGGGTCAGCGGGTGCCGTGGGCTTGGACCCTCAGAAAGGTGGGTGAACCATGCGCGTGGAAAGTGGCGCAGTGTCTGGGCAGACAGGCAGGGTCAGCGGGCCCCATGGGCTTAGACCCTCAGAAAGGCAGGTGAACCACGATGTGGTGCAGTGTCTGGGCAGACAGGCAGGGTCAGCGGGTGCCATGGGCTCTGACCCTCGGAAAGGCGGGTGAACCATGATGTGGTGCAATGTCTGGGCAGACAGGCAGGGTCAGCGGGCGCCATGGGCTTGGACCCTCAGAAAGGTGGGTGAACCATGCGCGTGGAAGGTGGTGCAGTGTCTGGGCAGACAGGCAGGGTCAGCGGGCGCCGTGGGCTTGGACCCTCAGAAAGGTGGGTGAACCACGCGCGTGGAAAGTGGCGCAGTGTCTGGGCAGACAGGCAGGGTCAGCGGGCCCCATGGGCTTAGACCCTCAGAAAGGCAGGTGAACCACGATGTGGTGCAGTGTCTGGGCAGACAGGCAGGGTCAGCGGGTGCCGTGGGCTTGGACCCTCAGAAAGGTGGGTGAACCATGAGCGTGGAAATAGAAGCACACTGAATTCTGGGCGACCCGTGCTCCCAGGTCTCCTTGTGGCTGGATGTCTTTCCTGCCTCTCACTCTCCCCCGGGAACACTCCTCCCTCCCCGCTTGCTCCTGCCTGGCCTGGCTCAGCCCTGCCTCTCGCATCCTCCTGTGTCAGAGGCACACGCATGTCTGATGCTGTTGCTCAGGGATATCAGTTGAGGAGCTGAGGGCCGGGAATTACGTGACTTATTCCCAAATGAGTAGATGGAAGAAATGGAACGTCTGTGATTCCAGGCCAGGAGGGAATAGTTGACGCCAGAGTAAACCTTTAATTTACATGAAAAACTTACAAAAAATATGGGAGCCAGACATGAAAACAACAAACTCTCATGTAATTTCATCACTTTGGGGGAAAACAAAAATCCTTCTTATTTTTATGTATTTGAGAATCAAGCTTTTGTGTCTCAGAAGGTCCTTAGATATTCTTGTAGGTTCAAGTGATGTTGAGAAACTGTAAACAGCAAGCACAACATAACAATGTTTCCACCAGCAGCAGATCGCGTACATGATGGTGGTCCCATATGGTTGTAGTGGAGCTGAAAACCCCTGTCACCGACTGACCTTGTGGCCCTCATGATGTCACAGTGCAGTGAATTACATGTTTGTGGTGATGCTGGTGTAGACGAGCCAACTGCACTCCCACTTGTATGAAAGTCTAGTCTAGCTGTGCACGGTACATGTGTATTTGCTGTACTTTTATCATTATTTTAGAATGCACTCTTTTTACTTATTAAAAAGCAAAACTAACACTCACACAGACTCAGGCAGGTCCTTCAGGAGATATGCCGGCAGAAGGCATTCTTCTCATAGGAGATGATGGCCCCACATGTGCTATTGCCCCTGAAGACCTTCCTGTGGGACAAGATGTGGAGGTGGAAGACAGTGATATTGATGAGCCTGCCCTGTGTAGGCCTAGGCTAGGGTGTGTGTTTGTGTCTTAGTTTTTTTTTTTTTAACAAAAAAGTTTTAAAAGTGGAAGAAAAGTGTAAATAGGAAAAAGCTTATAGAATAAGGATATAAAGAGACTATTTTTATACTGCTGTACTATGTGTTTGTTTTAAGCTAAGTGTTATAAGAAAAAGTTAAAAGTAGTTAAAACATTTATAAAGTACACAAGTTACTATTTTTTTTTTTCGAGACAGAGTCTTGCTCTGTCACCTAGGCTGGAGAACAGTGGTGCGATCTCAGCTCACTGCAACCTCTGCCTCCTAGGTTTGAACGATTCTCCTGCCTCAGCCTCCCGAGTACCTGGGATTACATGTGCACACTACCACACCTGGCTAATTTTTGTATTTTTAGTAGAGACGGGGTTTAACCATGTTGGCCAGGCTGGTCTTGAATTCCTGACTTCAGGTGATCACCTGTCTCAGCTTCCCAAACTGCTGGGATTATAGGCGTGAGTCACCGTGCCCAGCCCAAAGTTACTATTTAAAGGTAATTTATTATTGAAGAAAAAACATTTTTATAAATTTAGTGTAGCCTAAGTATACAGTGTTGATAGTCTAGAGTGGTGTACAGTAATGTCCTCGGCCTTCACACTCACCCACCCCACCCTCACTGATGCACTCAGAGCAAATTTCAGTCCTGCAGGCTCCATTCATGGTCAGTGCTCTATATAGCTGCACCATTTTAATCTTCTTTTTTAGACTGAATGTCACTCTGTTGCCCAGGCTGGAGTGCAGTGACGTGATCTTGACTCACTGCAACCTCTGCCTCCGTGGTTCAAGTGATTCTCCTGACTCAGCCTCCCTAGTAGCTGGGATTACAGGTGCCTGCTGCCTCGCCAGGCTAATTTTTGTATTTTTAGTAGAGACAGGGTTTCACCATGTTGGCCAGGCTGAACTCAAACTCCTGACCTCAACTGATCCACCCACCTTGACCTCCCAAAGTGCTGGGATTACAGGCGTGAGCCACCATGCCCGGCCCATTTTTATCTTTTATACCATATTTTTACTGCACCTTTTAATGTATAGATGATACACAGATACTTAACCTTGTGTTACAATTGCCTGTAGCATTCAGCACAGTAACTTGTAGGACAGATTTGTAGCCTAGGCACAATGGGCTTTACCATCCAGCCCAGGTGTGTGGCGGGCTGTCCCATCTGGGGGTGCGTAAGTGCACCCGTGATGTTTGCACAGTGACAGGATCACCTAATGAGGAATTACTCAGAATGTACCCCTACCATTAAGCAATGCAACTGTACTACTCTTAGGATTAAAACTACATGGCTTACCTGTGAATGCTTTAAAAGCTTGCATTTTCTTTTCTGATGCAACCCACAGTTTTTACCTTTTAATTTTAAAGTATGAGGTCAGTTAGACTTCATCCCTATTTAAAACTGAAAAGCTTGATTTAGGGCATTCTTTAGTGTTAATGGAAAAGCCTCACCAGGAGGCGGGCTCCATCTGCTTTTGAACATCCTGGAATAGGGGCAGTCTTTGTTTAATAGAAGCTTCATTTCAGACAAGGAAGAACCGTCACCCTCAGGAGAATTAGATGTCTCAACAGAGGAGGAAATTGAGACCTATCGGAACTGGAAGCTTACCAGATGGCAGCACAGAAAACCCTGGCATTTCTGAAAGAAGCAGGAAGGTGGGGAGAGGAGGGATCCATTTGCGGGCTGTATGGAATGTAATCTTGTCTTAAGCCTCACTAAAAGCTAGACAGGTCATGGAGACAATCAGGCTTTTATTCTTTGAAATAATTCACATTACAGGCTTGTGTATTACTGGCCTTATCAAATAAAAGCCTTTAGACTCATGTGGGCAGATAATTACAAATTGATGTCTGGGCCTCTTGTTTTGGAAATGGCTTTTACACTCCCCTCTTCTTTCTCTCCCTCTTTCATCTCTCTCTTCTTGAGTTAAACTTTCTTGTGATTTTGTTAGGGTTCTGGTAGTGTTAGCTGGCTCTAAGAGTAAATGGCAAAGCTATATGAAGAAGTCACTTTTATTTGAAGTCAAGAATCGAGTTACAAAGTGCAGGAACATTGGTGCAGACAGGGAATTTCATTTAACACTGTATTCAGCCTCAGAAATTATTACAAATCAGAAGTAATAAGTCAGACAACCAAAGACAGCAGCACTGTCCAGGGTCAGTTTCATCTGTCAGGGTTGTTTCTTGCCACAGAACTCTATTTTACTTTACCCAGTGAATCTTAACTTTAAAGACAAAAACCAATGAATAAACACTTTTTGGAAAACATTAGAAATCAACCAAAATCTAGTTAATTTATAACAATTGGGGGAGGGGAAGCTCCTAGAGCTTAGACTAAAAAAACCCAAACAAAATATAAATTCCAATAAATGATATCCTCATATCCCTATTGTTTCTCCAGATCAACAAATATGTGTGATTCTGTATCATATGACTTTGTATATCAAGGGAAGAGTGGATAGTATCAGAAAAATCCCTAGAACCCTCAAGTGTGAAAATGATTAGACATCTTGAATAATACAAAGCAACACAGCTAGATCCACATCAAAAGAGTCATGAAGACCAAGTGGGTTGATCCTGGTGAGTACATTTTGAAAACTGTGAAACACAAATGGAAGCTGTTACATCATCACCAAGTGGGGTGGAATGAAGGCAAGCCTTGGAAACTCCTCCTGCCATGAGGTTCTCAACTCCCCACCCCAGAGCAGAAATGCCCCATCTCTGCATCCTGCTCTTGGCTCAGCAGACCTCCTCCTCCTCTGTCAAAGAGCATCCACATTTTATCTGCTGACTTCTTAAAGAATCAGATGCTCCTTTCCCTGAATATTTTAAAGAGAGTCACATAGTCAACATTCGTCAGAGATGGACATCAGCAAGGCAGCAGGAGAGGACTCTCCATTGCTCATCCATCACAGAAACAACAATTTGAACATCTATCTGTGTGCAAAAATACCTTCACAAGTGCTAAGGAAACCAGGTGAGAGGTGATAGCACCTGGGCATGGCACAGAAATAAGATGCACTGAAAAGGCAGAAAAAACAGTTTTGCATGACTGGGTCCCCTCTCACCCAGGCCTAGCAGCATGTTGTGGTGAGAGATGCCCTCTATGTGGGGGAAGGAAAGAGAAGTGAGTACCAGACTTTGCTTCTAACTCTAAAACTGCCTCCTGATCCCCCACCAACCAAGTTAAACCCAGCACCAGACATGCCCCCATAGCTTCCTACTCCAGGCTGGTACCCAAGGACGGAGGCTTCAGGCCTGCCCCAATACCAGGTAGGATCATGCAGGCCCAGGCCCCACACCTGCCCAGTGGACTTAGTCTCTGGGCCCACTCCGCATACAGGTTGACCCCATTGGCCTCAGGCTCCACATCATCTCTGGCACCAGGCTGGCCCTGCAGCTCCATGGTTAGCAGACAGGACCCAGGCCTATCCTGGTAGGCCCCAGCACTGAACCAGCCCTCACTGACCTGGGCTCCAGGAGTGTCCCTGTGGACTCAGGATCCAGGCTGGTCCCCAGTGCTCCAGGCTCCAGAACTCAGAGTCCAGGCCCACTCCAATAGACCCCTGGTGCCAGCCAGCCCCTTTGGACAGAGGCTCCAAGACCACTTCTGCAGACTTAGGCTCCAGGCCAACCCTTGTGGATCCAGGACCCAGGCTCACCCCCACAAATTCAAGCTCTGGGCCCACCTTAGCCCCAGGACAGCCCCTTCAGACTCAGGTATATGGCCTACCCTAGCACCAGTCCTGCCTTAACGGATGCCAGGCTCTAAGTTCACCCTTGCAGACTCAATCAACAGGTCCACTCCAGTGGATCCAGGCCAAGGCTCACTCACCTGCTAACCCAGGCATTGGACCAGCCTGCGTGAGGACCCCAATAGCAAGCCTACCTATGGAGCATGCCAGATGACGCCCAGAATCTGCATGGGCTTATTGATGAAGGGCTTACCCAGGCGAAGCCATTCTACAAAGAATAGAATAAGTCCCTACTTCCCAAAATGTGCAGACATCAACGTAAGGCAACAACAACAACAACAACAACAAACATGAAAAACCAAGGAGACACAACACCACCAAAAACCACAATAATCTCCCAGCAGCAGACTCCAAAGAAATGGAGATAAACAAATGGCCCGATAATTCAAAGTAAGTGTTTGAAGGAAGTTCATGAACTTCAAGAAAATATAGAAAAACAATTCAATAAAATCAGGAAAACAGTAAATGACTGCAATTAGAAATTCCACAGAGAGGTATAAATTATTTTTTAAAAATTCTAGAAACTCTGGATGTGGAAAACACAATAAATGAAATGAAAAATGCAGTAGAGAGTGTCAACTGCAGAATTGATGAAACAGAATCCGTGAACTTAAAGACAGGTTATTTGAAAACATACAGTCAGAGGAGAAAAAGAGTAAACGGGAATGAAGAAAGCTTATGGGATTTGTGAGATAACACCAAAAGATCAAATATTTGAGTTACAGGTATTCAAGAAGGAGAAGAGAGACCAAGGGACTGAAAGCATATTTAAATAATATGAGAAAACATTCCAATTCTGGGGAAATATATAAATATCTAGGTACAGGAAGATCAAAAGTCTCCGATTAGATTGAATCCAAATAAGACTATACTGAGATATATTATAATCAAACTGTCAAAAATCAAAGACAAAGAGGATCTTAAAAGCAGTGAGAGAAAAGAAGCAAATCACATATAAAGGAGTTACAGGAAGGTTTATAGCAGACTTCTCAGCAGAAACCCTATAGGCAAGAGAGAGTAGAATGATATATTCAAGGTGCTGAAGGAAAAAAATGGCCAACCAAGAATACTGTACTTGGCAAAGCTGTTCTTCAGAAATGAAGGAGAGGAAAAGACCTTCCTAGCCAACCAAAAGCTGAGGGATTAATCACCACCAGAGCTGTCCTACAAGAAATTCTAAAGAGAGTTCTTCAAGCTGAAAGAAAAGAATGCTAACTAGCAACATGAAAACATACAAAAGTATAGAACTCACTGATAAAAATAAGTATACAGTCAAATTCAGAATAATACTGTAATGGTGGTGTACAAATCACTTAAGTCTTTAGCATGAAGGTAAAAAGAGAAAACTATCACAGTGATAGCTATGAAATTTCTTAAATAATAGCTACAACAAAAAGATATGAATTGTGACATTAAAGTTTATGCGTGGGGTGGGTGGAGTAAATGTGTAGAGATTTTAAAAATGTGATCAAAGTTAAGCTGTTACCAACTTAGAAAAGCTTGCTATAACTGTAAGATATTTTTATGTAAGCCTCATGGTAACTACAAAGCAAAAACCTTAGTAGATATGCCAAAGATAGAAAGTAAGGAATCAAAGCATATCACTAGAGAAAATCACCCAATCATAAGGGAAGACAGACACAGAGGATGAAAGGAAAAAGGACTTAGAAAATACCAGAAAACAATGAACAAAATGGCATTAGTAAGACCCTGCCTGTCAATAATTACTGTGAATGTAAATGGATTACATTTTCTAATCAAAAGACAGAGTGGCTGAATGGCTGAAAAATAGGACCCAACTATATGCTACCTACAAGAGATTCCCTTCACTTTTAAGGACATAGACTGAAAGCGAAGGGATGAAAAAGATATTTCATGCAAATGAAGACCAAAAGAGAGTAGAAGTGCTATACTTAAATAAAATAGACTTCATGTCATAAACTGTAAAATAAAGTCATTATACAGTGATAAAGGGGTCAATTCATCAAGAAGATATAATAATTATAAATATGGGCTAAAAACTGGAGAACCTAAGTATGTAAAGCAAATATTAATATGTCTGAAGAAAGAGAGATGGACTGTAATGTAGCAGTAGGGGACTTCAATACCCACTTTCGGCAATGGACAGATCATTCAGACAGAAAATCAATAAGGAAACATCAGTCTTAAACTATACTTTTAGACCAAATGGACATAACAGATATATACAGAATATACCATATAATGGTAGCAAATACACATTCTTCTGAAACACAGAGAACATTCTCCAGGATAGATCACATTATGCCACAAAACACATTAATAAATTTAAGAAGATTCAAATCACATTAAGCATCTTTTCTGAACATCCTGGTATGAGACTAGAAATTAATAACAGGAGGAATTTCAGAAAATTGACAAATATATGGAAATTGAACAACATGCTTCTGAACCACCAATATGTCAAAGAAGAAATTAAAAAGAGAATTAAAAGATCTCTTGAGATAAATAAAAATAAAAACAAAGCATACCAAAACCTATGGGATGCAGCAGAAGCAGGTCTAAGAGGGATGTTTATAGTGATAAATGCCTACATCAGAAAAGAAGAAAGAATCCAAATAAACAACCTAATATTACACCTCAAGGTACTATAAAAAGAACTAACTAAGCCTAAATCTAATAGGAAAGAAATAATAAAGATCAGAACAGAAAGAGATTACATCGAAACTAGAAAAACAATAGAAAAGATCAATGGAACTAAGAGTTTGTTTGTTGAAATGATAAACAAAATTGAAAACCTTTAGACTAAGAAAAAAGAGAAAAGTCAAGTGGAATGAGAAATGAAGGAGGAAACATTACAACAAATACCACAGAAATGTAAGGGACCATGAGACTATGAACAATTATATGCCAAAAATTGGATAACCCAGAAGAAATGGAAAATCCCTAAGCATATGATACCTACCAAGAAAAATTATGGAGAAACAGAAAATCTGAACAGACCAATAACAAATATGGAGATTTGATTAGTAATAAAAAGTCTCCCATAAAAAGAGTTCAGGACCTGATGGCTTTACTGCTGATCTTACCTAACATTTAAAGAAGGACTAATACTCATCCTTCTCAAACTCTTCCAAAAAACTGAAGAAGAGGAATACTTCCACACTCATTTTACGAGGTCAGCACTACCGTGATACCAAAGCTGACAAAGGCACTATAAGAAAAGAAAATTACAGGCCAAAATCCCTGATGAACATAGATGCAAAAACCCTCGAAAGAATACCAGCAGACTGAATTCAACAGCTCATGAAAAGGATCATTCACCACGATCAACTGGGATTTATCCCTGGTATGCAAGGATGGTTCAATATATGCAACTCTATTAATGTGATATGCCACATTGAGGGAAGGATAAAAACCATATATCATCTCATTAGATGTATAAAAAACATACAACAAAACACAACATCCTCTCATAATAAAAACACTCAATAAATTAGATATACTGTAGAAGGGATGTGCTTCAACATAATAAAGACCATATATGACAAACTCACAGATAACATCATACGCAATGGTGAAAAGCTGAAAGCTTTTCCTCTAAGATCAGGAACCAGATAAGGATGCTAACTCTCGCCACTTCTTTCAACACTGTATTGCAAAACCTAGCCAGGGCAATTAGGCAAAAGGAAGAAACAAAAGGCATCCAAATTGGAACAAAAGAAGTTAAAATTGTCCCTGTTTGCAGATGACATGATCTTACATATAGAATCCTAAAGATGCCACCAAAAACACTGTTAGAGCTAATAAATTCAGTAAATTTGCAGGATACAAAATCCACAGACAAAAATAAAGAGCATTTTTATACACTGAGAATGAACTGTCTGAAAAAGAAATCAGATAATAATCCCATTTATAGTAGCTCAAAAAATATAAAATACTTAGGACTCCATTTGCCCAGGGAGCCTGGAGAACATGTGAGAGCTGGAGGGCATGTTTCCCGATGGCTGTTGATAAATGTTCATTCTCGTGGTCTGCCCTGCTGCTTGTTAATCCCAACACCAGGAATTGGTTGTGTTTAGCTTGCTGCATAGCAGACACCTCTGTGTGGCTGGATCCAACCTCAGAGGTGTGTGGAGCTCTCTCTGTGAAACCTTTGGTGTCCTCTGAGGGGTGTGGACACAGGTATAGAGCATCTCTACTTCCCTAGCTCAGAGGCGAATGGGGTTGTCACCTGTCTCCCTAACCCAAGGACTGAGGTTTTGCCGGAGTTAGCCGGTGTAGCTGACATAGACAGCCCGCGCTCTACGCTGTTCCACTCCTCATTCCACCCTGATCAGACAAGGTTGAGAGCATAAGGGCTCTTCACACCTGGCCTCTTACAGCAGCATGCTCTGTGGTGTGGGAATGGCAGGCCTGATGAGGAGAAGCTGTGGAGGCAGGGCTGGGACACAGGATGCTGGTGTCAGAGGAGGGGGCTCAGCTGCCTGCTGTACCCAGGCAAGAGCAGGTCCAGCCTCCTGGGGCCCGCCTGCAGGAGCAGCATGGATGGAGGAGGACCTGAGCGCTCAGCTCTGCTTGTGCTGGGGTTGGGCGGGAGAGTTGAAGCCGGCGTGGGCACATCCCTGTCCTTCTGAGGAGAGTGGCTATTGTCATTTGCTGGTCTCTCCTGCAGCCTTGCATTAGTTAGCAATGCTTGGCCTTTGGAATGTCTTGTTCACCAGGAGTCCTGGCACCTTCTCCTGTCCCTACATAGCACAGGATCCCCCAGACCACTCTTTTGTTTGGCCCATGGGACCGCGAGTGCCCTTTTCTTCCCACACATTCTGGGCAGGAGCGCAGTGAAGGTCATTTCACAATGGCAGGATACATTTGCAGCATGGCCCAAAGCCTGGGCACGTCAGAAATATTGTATGTTTTCCACTGAGAGCAACAGCAAGACAGATGCAGGGAGAAAAACAAAACAAAAAACAAACAAAAGCTCCCAGGGAATTACTGAGATGACGAGCGTGATGAGGAGGGTTCCTGTCATCCTTTTTGTACCCAGTGGAGGATAACGTCAGCATATGGGCACAGCCGGGCTCGTGGGGGCACAGGCAGACTGCTCACCCTATGCAATCTAGGCAGGCGGCGTGTGCCAGCCAGGCCAGGCATATTGAGGCACTGCTGCTTTAAAAGTCCAGCTCAACGAGCTCAGGCAGCATGTGGTAGATACACATATGTAGTAGAAGTTCCAAAATTATTGGTGATAGTACATTCATCGCCTGCACCTGCTCACTCCATTGGATGCGGGCAGAGGAGCTGGGTGGGAATGCCTTCCTGCGGGAGGTGTGGGTAGAGGGGACAGAGGTGGGATGGCAGGGAGGGTCAGGAATAAGCGGAGTCCGTACGCCAAACTATGGAGTGGGACAGGAAGGGGCACCTGAGAGCCTCCTAAATTCTCATTAGGAAGTTCAGAAAGAGTCCATAATTTCTGTCAAAACCACCGACAGTGGCTCTGCCTGAGCTCAAATTCTCACTCTTCCTATTACCAGAGTGGCACTGGGCAAGGGTTTGCAGAGTGGATCTCTGTCTCAGCTTTAGTACCTGTGAAATGGGTGTGTCCCAGCAGCACTTACTCATAGAGCATCAAGAGGGCCAAGTGCATTCATGTACACTGACTCGGAGAGTGCCTGGCACACACACAGTGCCCAGTGCCCGGCTGACTTGGAGAGTGCCCAGCCCACAACAGTGCCCAGTGCCTGGCTGACTCGGAGAGTTCCTGGCACACAACAGTGCCCAGTGCCCACCAGCTGTTTGTCTGGATTCTCTCTAAATGTAGGACGCTGCCAATACTGAGTCTTGTGAGTCCGGTGCACACTTGGATTGCACCTGTGCACGACACACATTGGACACAAAAACACACAGGCAAACAAGTGTGTGTGTAAACGCGCTTGAGAGAATTGAAGAGCATCAGTCCATGTTGGAAAATCCAACGACATCGAATATAGCTATGAACATGTCTTTCAGGCGTTCTTAAACGTGTGATTGATTAACGTGTGATCTGATCTTGATGCCCGAACCCTGGAAATGTTTTAGGAGCAGGACACAGCCCTCCTGAGGAAAAGGCTCCTACGCTGGCTGCCTTTGGGTTTGCTTCTCTGTGAGGTGGCGATTCTGAACGACGTGGTGATTCTAGGTCTGTGCTCACAGTGTGTTCTGAGACATGCTGTCACCCCTCTGCATTTCTGGTGCTCAGGAGGCCATTAGGGAGGGGCTGGTGGCTTTGAGTGGCCTGAGGAGTGGTGGTGGCCTGTCTCTGTGGCTGCCACGGCACTGCTGATCACCTGCATGGGCGTGTCCACTAGGGCTGCGGGTGGGGTGAGGTCCGGTCATTATGCCATTGGCGGCCAACACCGTTGATGATTAAAGCTTCCATCAGGGTGCCGTGGACATGCTGTGACCCCGGCGGGTGGCCACAGCAAGGTCCCTATGTCCTTGTCACCTGCATGCCATTCCCTCCACCATGGGCAGCTGCAGACTCCACGACGTGGCCAGTCAGAGCTCCCGTCCCTGCGGCAAGCCCCTGGTTCTACTGAGAAGCCTGGTTACCCTCTCAGTGGTGGTCTCAGTGGTTTTGCTCTGTCTCCTGCCCCGTCTTGGCTACAAGAGGCTGGGCTCTGGGACGGATGGCAGACGGTGTGAACTGCAGACGGGGCCTGCTCGGTCACTGCTCCCTCTCCTCTTGGGGGTCTGGGGAGCTGCCTGAGGCTCACAGCCTCGGTTCATTTCCCACATAGGAGTTTGTTTACCTGTGACGGCTGCCGCCTGACTGAAGTACTTGCTTGGTTTTCTTATTGTGGCGAATACAAAAGCATGGCATGAACGTAACAAGAAGTGTTTTTTTTCATGCGTGTTGTCGAATGCGTCTTCCCCTGACATCAGCGCTACCTTTCCTCAGTTCTCTTCTCTCAAGAGTGTTTTCCTCCTGAGAGCTGAGGCCCCTGCATGTGGGAGCACGAGGAGGGATCAGCCATCTGTGTCCGGCTGCTGTGCGTGTGGGAGCATGAGGAGGGACGAGCCGTCTATGTCCTGCTGCTGCGTGGGAGCACGAGGAGGGACCACCGTCTATATCCCGCTGCTGTGTGGGAGCATGAGGAGGGATGAGCCCTCTGTGTCCCGCTGCTGTGTGTGGGAGCACAGGGAGGGACAAGCCATCTGTGTCCGGCTGCTGTGTGTGTGGGAGCACGAGGAGGGATCAGCTGTCTGTCCGGCTGCTGTGTGTGGGAGCACGAGGAGGGATGAGCCGTCTGTGTCTGGCTGCTGCATGTGGGAGCACGAGGAGGGATCAGCCGTCTGTCCGGCTGCTGTGTGTGGAGCACCAGGAGGGACGAGCCGTTTGTGTCTCGCTGCTGTGTGTGGGAGCACAAGGAGGGATCAGCCGTCTGTCCTGCTGCTGTGCTCACTTCAGCAGTGCTGTCTCCTTCAGAACTCAACATGCCCTGCAGAGTAAGTATGGCTGCCACAGCTCACAAACTCAGCCGCAGCCTCGACCCCGCTGCTCTGCCCGCGGCTTCCTGGCTGTGGACATCTGAGCCAGGCCAGACTCCTGATCTGCGTCTCCTAGACCCACACACCTCTGACGCATGGCCCCGCAGTACTTCTACATTCACTGGCAAGTTCCCACATTGTGTAGTCAAAGACAGTTGCTTCATTATAGAGTTTAACAATAAAATACTCTTTTTTCATCTTACTTTTGATAAGCTACTTTCCCAAGACAGACGGAAAAGACCAGTTACTCAATTGTTGGTTTTTATATCTTGGGTTTACTATGCTGAGTGACGATTTGTCTGAAAATAGAAAGGAAAAAAAAAAAAAAAGGCAGAGCCACTCCTGAGACAGTTGGGTTCTTAGCGGCAAAGGACCCTGTTAACACAGGCTCAGTTTGACTTGAGTTCAGGGCTTCTCAGGAGAGGATCCTGAGGCCTGACTGTCCCTTCTGGGAACACAGTGTTCTCTAACCCTAGACAGGAGGCCAGGTCTCTTAAGAGGCAGATTTCCATGCGACCCAAAATGTCTGGGAGACGATGGCTGGGCTTTGAGCTGGGAGCCTCTGGAAGGAGAAATGGCTTTTGACCCTGTAAATCCTGCTCCTCTGGTGACCAAAGTGAGTTATGCGGGGCTCAGAGTAGCTGAGACTGTTCACACCTCAAAAGAACTAGCAGGGTTTATTCTGGCTTTACCCATGGTTGACTCAGACCTTTGTCAAGAAACTTCCTTTCTAGGAGCATGGATGGGGATTTTGGGCTCTCCTGGCTCCTGGACTCCTTGGGGTTTGGGGCGTGGCAGGAGGTGGGTGCAAAGCCAGCACCAATGCAAAGGGCCCCAGGCATGCCACACACCTGAGCGTTTGCACGGGACGTGGCAGGAGGGGGGTGCAAAGCCAGCACAAATGCGCAGGGCACCACGCACACCACACACCCGAGCATTTCCATGCACCTCTGTGCTCTTAGCCAGTCTGGATCTGTGTCTTCATAGCAGACTGTGGGCATATGACAATGTCTCTTATACTGTAAAGTTACATGCAAATGGCTGTGCCCATCCGCTTGGATTTTGGTGACTATGTTCTTGATGAAAACACACAAAGCATGCACTCCTGGTATTCCTATTTGCCTTTGTTATTTAGGAGTATGTGTATGACTCTACTACTGTTTTATATGCTTTTAAACCATACACAAAATGTATTTGCTTATTTTCATTTTTATTTTTTGAGACGGAGTCTTGCTCTGTCACCCAGACTGGAGTGCAGTGGCATGATCCCAGCTCATTGCAACCTCTGCCTCCCCGGTTCAAGTGATTCTCCTGCCTCACTCTCCCAAGCAGCTGGGATTATAAGCGCGGCTAACTTTTGTATTTTTAGTAGAGGTGGGGTTCACTATGTTGATCAGGCTGGTCTTGAACTCCTGATCTCAAGAGATCTGCCCGACTCGGCCTCCCAAAGTGGTGGGATTAGAGGCGTGAGCCACTGCGCCCAGCCCTCAAGATTTAAATGGAAGCTGTGATGACGAGCACATGGCTTTGAGCCTGCACCACCTCTTTAGACTCTCGCTAGCCTATGTTTCCAGAGCACCGTGTAGCCGTGGGCCGGCGCAGGGCCTGGCGCCTGTTCACAGCGTGCTGGTTCTGGGCACAGCTGCCGTGAGGCCTCCCCTCCCGCTTTCCATCTTTGTCATTTCAGTCTCGGGAGACCTTCTATTTCTCTACTTTAGACAGTTGAGCTCTCTCTGCAAACAACACTTCCATTGTTCAACATTTGGGAAAATTTTAAAATTGATAACACGTTCCTCAGCAAAAAAGGGGTTTAATGACGGTGGAGAAACTCCACGGCCGCGTCTCTACGCAGTGTCGGGCCGCACCCGTCCGGCTCCCCCAGGCTCTCTCGGCTCCTCCTTTCATCTCCTGGTTCTCTCTCCATCTGCCCTCTCCACCCGGTATCTCAGGGCTGCTATGAAAGGTCTTCAAAGACCTAGTTTCAAAAAACATCCCCTGGAGAGGACCAATTAAACGCAGAAGGATGGTTTGTGTGCAGAGGCTGAGCCGTCAGAGTAGAGATGATCCTGCGTTCCCAGGTAGAGCCGCGGCTCCTGCCCTCGTCGCTGTCCCTCCCTGCCGGTGTCAGACCAAAGCCAGCGTCCTTACCGACCCCCAGGCAGGCTCTGCCGGCCTCCCCTAGGCAGCCATGGCCCCCGACGGGGTTAGCCACCTTCTCATGGCTGCTGCCTCTCTTCGCAGCTTCAGGCCGGAGAGGACCTGCTTTCCGATTGGGCCCGGGAAAACCAGATGTGCTTGAAGGCTGTGGATTTAGGATTTGGTGTTCCAGATATGGAAGGGACACAATTCATATTATGCGGTCTGTGAAACAATGATTTGACAGGCCAGTTAAAGCATTAGACGAGTTTAAACTGCTTGAGAGCAAACTGCTGTGTCTTGGTGCAGTTTGGGGGCAGCGGTGGGGCGTGGGGGCCGCCGCGGGGCTCTGTGGGTTCGGGGGCAGCGGTGGGGCGTGGGGGCCGTCCGGGGCTCTGGATTAAGTGCACAGACCTCGACTGTCTTCACGGAACTAAGGAGACCTTTATTTTACCTGGCACACCGTGGGGTCAAGTCCACATTGAGAGGTGATAACGTGCTAGCAGCCCTCGCTCACTCTGGGCGCCTTCTCTGCCTCGGTGTCTGCTCTGGCCGGGCTCGAAGAGCCCCTCAGCCCGCTGCTGCACTGTGGGGGCCCCTCTCTGGGGCTTGCTGAGGCCGGAGCCGGCTCCCTCTGCTTGCGGGGAGGTGTGGAGGGAGAAGCGCGGATGGGAGCCGGGGCTGCACACGGGGCTTGTGGGCCGGCGCAGGTTCCGGGTGGGCACGGGCTTAGCGGGCCTGGCACTCCGTGGGACTGGCCGGCACCTGCTGGGCTTGATTGGAGGCTGGATCCCGTGAGAGGACTGCCATTCCCTCTTCCCTGGGTCGTTGGCCATGATGGTGGGTCTCTGTCTCTTTCTCGCTTCCCCTCTTTTTCTCTTGGTTGTCTGGGACGAGCTCCCATTGGGCTGCCTGGAGTGCCCGGGCTAGGGGCCACAAAGTCCTGCAGCGAGTACCAGTGAGAGGTGAAGCTGGCTGGGCTGCTGGGAGGGTGGGGACTTGGAGAAGTTTTCTGTCTAGCTAAAGGATTGTAAATGCACCCATCAGTGCTCTGTGTCTAGCTAAAGGATTGTAAATGCACAAATCAGCACTCTGTGTCTAGCTAAAGGTTTGTAAATGCACCAACCAGCACTCTGTCAAAACGGACCAGTTAGCCTCTGTAAAATGGACCAATCAACTCTCTGTAAAATGGACCAATCAGCAGGATGTAGGTGCGGCCAGATATGGGGATAAAAGCAGGCTGCCAGAGCCAGCAGCAGCAAACCGGTTGGGTCCCATTCCACAGTGTGGAGGGTTTGTTTTTTTGCTGTTCACAGTAAGTTTTGCTGGTGCTCACTCTTTGGGTCCTCACTACGTCTGTGAGCTGTAACACTCACCTCGAAGGTCTGCAGCTTCACTCCTGAGGCCAGTGAGACCACAAATCCACCACGAGGAATGAACAACTCCGGATATGCTACCTTTATGAGCTGTAACACTCACTGTGAGGGTCTTCAGCTTCACTCTTGAAGCCATAGAGACCACGAACCCACTGGGAGGAATGAACAATTCTGGATGCGCTGTGTTTATGAGCTGTGACACCCACTGCAAAGGTCTGCAGCTTCACTCCTGAAGTCAGGGAGACCATGAACCCACCGGAAGAAAGAAACTCTGGACACACCTGAAGGAACAAACTCTGGACACACCATCTTTAAAAACTGTAACACTCACCGCGAGGGTCCGCGGCTTCATTCTTGAAGTCAGCGAGACCAAGAACCCACCAATTCCGGACACAACATGTCCATCTACATCAGGAAGTTGTGGGTTCTGGGCTTATTGGTTTGTATTGATTGTTGGTTTCGAGAGAGAATTTCAGTTTGTTGCCCAAATGGTGCGATCTCAGCTCACTGCTACCGGTTCGAGCAATTCTCCTGCTGCAGCCTCCCACGTAGCTGGGATTACAGGCGCCCACCTTCACCCGCAGCCTCCCGCGTAGCTGGGATTACAGGTGCCCACCTTCACGTCCAGCTGAATTTTTTTTTTTTTTTGTATTTTAGTAGAGACGGGGTTTCATCATGTTGCACAGGCTGGTCTTGGGATTTGACCTTGTTTCCTCCTCCCTGGGGTCAGAGGTCCCCTGGCAGGTGGTGGGTGGTCCCTGCATTCGATTCCCATTTCCCTGTCCACTGGGAAGTGTATTCTGGAAGGAAGTTCCTACATCCTTCTGGCTCTAGGAATGTTCTAGACATGTTACGTGCTGAGGCTGGTGGGGCAGGCTCAGGCCTCCTGCAGACGCCTGTTTTCTCATAGGAGCCATACTTGGTCCCCGGCCACCCCGGGCCTTGGATCTGATGATTCTCTGGGTGTGTCAGACAAGGACCTGGCCTCCCTGTTATGTGCTGGAGGTCAGGGAGGTCAGGAGCAGGGCTGGCACCTCTAACTCCCATCCCCCCCTTGTGTGCCTGGTGGTCCTGCCCGGCTGAGAGCCTTTCTCTTAGACTCTGCCGCAGCCGTGATGCCAGACAGGAGAAGCCAGGGAGGGCATGGGCTGCTCCCTGAAGGCGGATTCCTCTCCCCAGGTGGGAGGAGGAGCCTCTGTAGCTGCCCTGGGCTGCTCCTCTTTCCCAGGGTGGCCTGACCACAACCCCGGCCGGGCAAGGGAGTAGGGAGGACCGTACAGAGTTTCTCTTCCCCAGCTCATTGTTTTGGAGACAGACTTGGAGGCAAGGCCAGAGCTATATGTCCCAGCCCCTGCGTGTGCACCTCGTGCAGCAGTGTGGCAAGGCCCTGACAGTGCCTTCAAGGGGTGCTTCTGGCAGGCCTCGGGAGCTGTGTGATGAGGAGGAGACTTGGGAGAGCGCGGGTTAGGTCCTGGCACTGTAGCCGCCTCCTCTTGCTGATTTCAGGGGTCAGTGTTTTCAGGGTTCATCTCCTTTATAGGGCAGACTTGAGGGCTTCAGGTACAAACGTCCGTGTCTCCATCAGGCCTGGGCCCGGCCTCCTCCGTCTGGAGCACATTCCTCTGTGGTCTTCAGCATTGGTGCCCGTGGAGTGGCTGAAGCCCTGACTGCCCGTTGTGGCTGAGGTGTGGGACCGAATGGCGAACAGAGTGGGCAGGACCCCGAGGAGGCTGGAGGCCGATTCGCACAGGCTGCCGTCATCTCACCGCTCTGACAGTTCTTAAAGCAACAGTGCAAGAGAAATCCACTGCGACGTGAGAAGAGCATGTTTATGTGCACGTGTATGTGCGCGTGTGTGCGTGTGCGGGCACGTGTGTGTGTGTGTGCACGTGTGTGAGAGGATGGCTTCTGACGAAGGGGCTGTTCATGGAGCTCTGATCAGCCACTCTTGCCCGTGGGGATCTTGCAGGGTCCGACCAGTCAGTGCCCCCCACCCCACCCTGTTAGAGGGGACGGAGCCCGGTCCTCACCCCGCTGTGGGCTGCCTGAGAGTTTGGCTTCTCCCTCCAGAGCTGATAGACAGCACCTGAGCATATGGCCCCCTCGGCCCCAGCTCACAGTGGCATGCCTCGCACCCTCCGCCCCTGCCTCCACTACGAGGAGGCCGCCCGCACACCTGGGGAGGCATATCCTGCCAGCTGAGCGTCCCCAGGCCGACGTCCTTCCCAGCCATGGCATCAGGGCCCCGCAGCAGCTGGTGTCATAGCACCCACATCCATCAGCTTCCCTGGAGCCCCTGGCACAGTGCTGTGTGGGCCTGGAAACGCTGGAAGCATGGTTTCATCCCTCAGGAAGCTGGTGGTTAATAAATGGGGCCAAGTTAATAAAGAAGGAAGCTACCAACAAGGCCATGCGGTCACCACGACTGCCCAGGGCCAGGGTGTGGGGGTGCTGCCTTACAGCCTGTCGGGGCCGGGGTGTGGGGGTGCTGCCTTACAGCCTGTCGGGGCCGGGGTGTGGGGGTGATACATTACAGCCTGTTGGGGCCGGGGTGTGGGGGTGCTGCCTTACAGCCTGTCGGGGCCGGGGTGTGGGGGGTGATACAGCCTGTTGGGGCCGGGGTGTGGGGGTGCTGCCTTACAGCCTGTCGGGGCCGGGGTGCGGGGGTGATACATTACAGCCTGTCGGGGCCGGGGTGTGGGGGTGCTGCCTTACAGCCTGTTGGGGCCAGAGTGTGGGGGTGCTACCAGGACCGGGATGTGGGGGTGCTACCTTACAGCCTGCCGGGGCCAGGGCAGGAGCTGTGCTTCAAGGGCAGAGAGGCTTTCCAGGTGGACAAGGGACGAACACTTGGGGAGGGAGGGAAGGTTCAGATGGAAGAGGAAGCTGAGAGGAGACGCACCCCTGGAGGCAGCTGGCTGACCGGTGGGCTCCCAGGAGACTGTAGGATTTGTGCAGATAAAAGTCAGGCAGCAGAGTCAGAGGGCAGCCATAGCACGTGTAAGGCGGCGGGGATGCTGACAGCAAGACGTTTTCTGGAGAATCTGGGTTTTACTGCAAATACAAATTCACTGTTCTCAGGATGGCGGAGGGACCAGCTCCTTGGGAAGGTCACCCCCTTGGCCACCTGTTGTCCCTGAGGGGCTGATGGAGGGAGGAGGCCACCTTATGAACTGCACCAGGTCCGTGGCTTTGGCGGTGGAGGCCCCATCACTGCAACTCTTCTTCTGGGAGTTCGGCTCTGCCTGCCACACGTGGAGGTGCGCAGGGTGGGGGCCAGCCCTGGCAAACCCACCCCACATAACGTAGTACCTCGATTCTCACCAAAGAACAAAAATTACTTGCGATTACGTGCAATTAGCAATTTTAAATTATTAATGGTGGTGAAAGAATGTGTCTATTCAACAAGTAATTTATTGCAATTTTTGTAATTGAAAGTAATTTCTAGCAATTAAATCCTAATTTAGAGCATTTTCTGGGCGACGCCTTTATTCATGGGGTGCACGCCAGTTTTATTGTTGGCTGCTTTGTTCCAGGCACTTTGTCCAGTAAAATTTGCTGGGTAGGCTCTTTGGGAAGAGAAAAATAGCCGAACTCTAGGCAATGTAGAAAAAACAGAGTGGGTCTGCCAGCACAGTGAAGCTGTGGCTTCCCTGGAGAGGCGTGAGGAGGTGCGCGCCTTCCCATGGAGACAGCCCTGCAGCTTGTTCAGAGGCCCTCCGAGGAAGTGGGCAGGCACCTGGGCCAACGTCCAGGGAGCACGTCTCTGTGGCCCCGAGGCGCTGTCCCCACTGTCCCCACAGCCACGGTGCTGTCCCTGCTGGAGGCTGGTCCAGGCTTGGCCACTGGCTTGAGCTCTTCCCCGGGGCTCCTCGGCACTGCTGCCGGCCCCTGGGGACTTCATTGTTCTGTCTCCTCTTTCCTGGTAAGAACACCCTTTACCCTCAGAAGGCAGCTTTTTGAACCCCACAATCAGAAAGTGCTCCCTATTTTGGGGGGAGACAGGACTCTGCTACGCCCCAGGAGTTGATCTGTGGTGGATTTGAATATAAAAGGCAGCCAGGAGATGGTCTTTGTCGAGATCTTATCCCTGATGAAGTCTCTTCTTTGTCAAGTAGCAAATAAATATTCGGAATGAATTCTTCAGAAACAAAATGACCTGTGTTTCTATGTGAAATGCAACCACGTTCTCCTCCAGAAAGCTGCAGTCAGGCTCCCTGTGTGTGGCCACAGCGTGATTCCTGGTCATGGGGTGACTCCCCCCGTAGGGTACCTGAGCCCCTCTGGGCCCCACACCTCAAATGCAGATGCAGTAATGTCGTCCCAGGCAGCAGGAAGCCACGCGGCCCCTCCACACATTTCCACAGCGTTCCCAGGAAGGCTGCTGACAAGCTGGGCCGAGCGCCTCGGGCTCGTCCACACACGCTAGATCCCGGAGTGTGAGGGTGTCTGTGGCTCCCCCTGTGCCTGCGGCTCCCCCGTGCCTGTGGCTCCCCCTGTGCCTGCGGCTCCTCGTGTGTCTCCTCCTGTGTCTGCGGCTCCCCGTGTCTGCGGCTCCTCCCATGTCTGTCTGCGGCTCCCCCTGTGCCTGTGGCTCCCCCTGTGCCTGCGGCTCCCCCTGTGTCTGCGGCTCCCCCTGTGTCTGTGGCTCTCCCGCGTCTGCGGCTCCCCCTGTGGCTGCGGCTCCTTGTGTGTCTCCTCCTGTGTCTGCGTCTCCCCCTGTGTCTGCGGCTCCCCGTGTCTGCGGCTCCCGTGTCTGTGGCTCCTCCCATGTCTGTCTGCGGCTCCCCCTGTGTCTGCGGCTCCTCGTGTGTCTCCTCCTGTGTCTGCGGCTCCCCCTGTGTCTGCGGCTCCCTGTGTCTGCGGCTCCCCGTGTCTGCGGCTCCTCCCATGTCTGTCTGCAGCTCCCCCTGTGTCTGCGGCTCCCCCTGTGCCTGCGGCTCCTCGTGTGTCTCCTCCTGTGTCTGCGGCTCCCCCTGTGTCTGCGGCTCCCTGTGTCTGCGGCTCCCTGTGTCTGCGGCTCCTCCCATGTCTGTCTGCAGCTCCCCCTGTGTCTGCGGCTCCCCCTGTGTCTGCGGCTCCTCCCGCGTCTGTCTGCGGCTCCTCCTGCGTCTGCGGCTCCTCGTGTGTCTCCTCCTGTGTCTGCGGCTCCCCCTGTGTCTGCGGCTCCCCCATGCCTGCGGCTCCCCCTGTGTCTGCGGCTCCCCGTGTCTGCGGCTCCTCCCATGTCTGTCTGTGGCTCCCCCTGTGTCTGCGGCTCCTTGTGTGTCTCCTCCTGTGTCTGCAGCTCCCCCTGTGTCTGCGGCTCCCTGTGTCTGCGGCTCCTCCCGTGTCTGCGGCTCCTCCCATGTCTGTCTGCGGCTCCCCCATGCCTGCGGCTCCCCGTGTCTGCGGCTCCTCCCATGTCTGTCTGCGGCTCCCCCTGTGCCTGCGGCTCCCCCTGTGTCTGCGGCTCCCCGTGTCTGCGGCTCCTCCCATGTCTGTCTGCGGCTCCCCCTGTGCCTGCGGCTCCCCCTGTGCCTGCGGCTCCCCCTGCGTCTGCGGCTCCTCCCGCGTCTGTCTGCGGCTCCTCCCGCGTCTGTCTGCGGCTCCTCCCGTGTCTGCATCCACGACGCTGGGACAGGGCTGCAGGCAGTGCTTCTGCCCTTGGTTCTGCATCTCCTGGCCTCCCCAGCAGGCAAGGAGCTCACAGTGTGGGCTTGCGGTGGGTGCTCACTGGCCATAAACGTTCGGTGTCATTTTCAAGACAGAGAAACAGCACACGCAGGGCCCTGGAGAGGCTGCCTGGAGCTCCACGTGCCCTGTCCTAGGAGGGTTCCTCCCCTGCGAGCTCACTCCCGAAGGGCACTCGAATCCTGCAGCTGGGGCCTGAGTCCTCTCTCCCCTTCGTCCCACAGCCCTGGGTCTTGTCTTCCTTGTGGCTGGAGTTGCAGCTACAGCACAGAGCTCTTCCCCTTTACATTCTGAGCTGTTTGGAGGCCCATGGCCACTTTCATATTCCCTGATGCTCAATAAATGATGAATGAGTGAAACGAGAGTCCCAAACCGTGGGACTGTCAGCAGAGTCTGCATGCACCGGGCTGGGGGGCAACACAGCCAAGCCCCATCAGCTATTGACTGTAGCTTCCTCCTGGTCATTCCTGATCCTTCCATCCACTCAGCCTTCCCACCTCTCCTTCTGCCGGCGGCACCTCCCCGATGGCCCTCACACCTATGAGGCCCTGGTTTCACCTCACTCTGCAGTCTGGTGAAAGGGATCTGGCAGATGCGACTGTCTCCATCCTGAGGGCTTATCCCGGCAGTGGCGCTGAGACCTCCCCTCACCTGGTGCTCCGAGATTTGACTCTGTGAGGTTGGCTCCTGCCTGGACTCAGGCTTTCAACCCTGGTGTCTGGGGTGCAAGGCAGGTGGGCCGCGTGCGGTGTCTTTGAGGTGGGCTGCCGTTCTGGTAGAGAGTGAGGGGATGTGGAAGTTCCATGCAGACTGTATTTTCTGGGCAAACCTGCTCAGTGTTTTTGGTAAGTAATGCCTAAAATTCAGGACTCTAATTGAAGGTATATCCCTACTTCTGACTCAAACCACTTGAAAAACTCAGTCAATAGACAGTGACGTTGGGACCCAAGTCTTTAAAGCTCTGCTGCAATTCTCATCCTTGACCGTTGGTACCGGGCAGTTGCAAAAGGCTGAGCAAGTACAGCCCAGGCAGGGAGACCACAGGGCCTGCCCGGGCCCCGGAGACGCGGCTCTCCGAAGACAAGACGTCCCGGGGGGCTGTTTTTCCATTTGGACCAGTTCCACTTGGCTTGAGATGGGCTTCACTCTAGACCCTCCTCTGCCAGCTCAGCACGAAGTGTGCATAGTCACCTGATGGCACCCTGTGATCATTTTCACGTTGTAGGAGGAAAAATCGTTTTAAAATTGGCTTAAATGAGGAGGGAACAACCTGACCGTCTTTTGATGGTGCAGCTTTTAACCCTAAAAGAATGTCAAACGAATTCATTTTTGTATATAAGTACAAATTACTTATTAGTCACAATTGCCATAGCGACTGAAGGTTTGTGTCCGCCTACCCCACGCCTCCAGTTCCTACATGGAAATCCTCACCCAAGGCCATGGTGTTAGGGGCCTTTGCAAGGCGCTGAGGCCCTGAGGAAGAGCCTCACGGATGGGCTAATGCGCTTCTGAAAGAGGCCTCAGGACGCTTCTTCACCCCTTCTGCTGTGAGATGACAGGGGAAGGCCCAACCAAAAAGTGGGCGCTCACCGACACCGAATCTGTGGGTATCTCCAGAACTGTGAGAAAGAAACCTCTGTTGTTTATCAATTACCCAAGCTATGGTATTTTCTTATAGCAGCCTGCATGGGCTGAGACACCTATCAAGTGAGTTATTAACGTTTATTAAAATTTGGCACAAACTAAAAGCCAGCAGTGTCTGCAGAGAAGCTGGATTGCCCCATGGGGCTTGGCTGTGTTGCCCCCGTCCCGTGCATGTGGACTCTGCTGAGAGTCCCACAGTTTTGGGAAGGACCCTGATGAATTGTGACCATTGGTATTGCTTAGCGTTGATTGTGGCTTTTCATTATAAATTATGTAATTGAATACTTTAATGATAAGTTGTGGCTAGTCCAGCTTCAACAGTATGGATCTGCCGATTGTCGGATATTCAGTTAATTATGCAGTGTGTGGAGAGGATATATGTGCATCAAAAGCATTTAATCCAAGAATTCCAGTGACTGGGTGTCATTTGGTGTTTTGCGGCTGACCGCTGCATTCACAACACAAGAGAAGCAGCACGTGACCTCTCCTGGCCACCCACTAGAGTCGAATTTTGTTTCCATCCCACAGTTACTCCCTCTGGCACACCCCAGGTGGAGGGGGTGGTCCAGGTGGAGGGGGCAGCCCAGGTGGAGGGGGTCGTCCAGGTGGAGGGGGTGGCCCAGGTTGGGGGGAGGCCCAGGTGGAGGGGGCCGTCCAGGTGGAGGGGTGGTCCAGGTGGATGGGGAGGCCCAGGTGGAGGGGGTGGTCCAGGTGGAGGGGTGGTCCAGGTGGGGGGGTGGTCCAGGTGGGGGGGGTGGTCCAGGTGGGGGGGGTGGTCCAGGTGGAGGGGGTCATCCAGGTGGAGGGGGCGGTCCAGGTGGGGGGGCGGTCCAGGTGAGGGGGTCATCCAGGTGGAGGGGGCGGTCCAGGTGAGGGGGTGGTCCAGGTGGAGGGGTGGTCCAGGTGGACGGGGTGGTCCAGGTGGAGAAGACGGCTCAGGTAGAGAAGGCACCCCAGGGAGAGGGGCAGCCCAGTAGAGGGGTGGCCCAGCAAGCTCCCAGGGAGAGGGACAGCCAGGTAAAGGGGTTGGCCCTTCTGCAGCTAACAGTGGTCGAAACCTTCCCTTATTACTGCCCTGAAAGGACTCAGTTTCCCCTGGGGTGTTCAGCCCTCAATTGTGATAGCAGCACCCACTGCAGGGGGCCTGGCCTGGTCATAGGCAGAGGGAGCCAGGGGGTCGGGGGCACGTTATGGCCAGTGAGTGAGGCTCATCTGTCTCCGGTAGGATCACCCTCTGTGAAGGTAGCAGCTTGCACCTTGTTGACCAGTCACCAGTGACATGGAGTGGGGCCAAGGAGGCGTCCTCACCCCGAGAACCATGCCTGTGCTCCCAGTGCCCCCGCCTGGCTCCCGCTCTGCACCTATAAAGCTGGCCTTTGTGCTGGCCCTTCTGCCTTCTGGCCATGACTTGCCTTGCTGACCTGCCCTTGGCCGGTGGAGCCTTCCAGGCAGCCTCTGCCCACGGGGCTCTCCAGGCCCTGAGTCACTGCTGGCCTGACCAGTTCAGGTGTCCTGGCTTTTGCTGTGGGGCGTCTGTCCTGGGTCTCCTGATGGTCCAGCTCTGGGCTCCCCTCCACAGTGAGCAGCCCCTCCTGCAAAAGCTCTGGTTGGGGCACATCCAAGGTCAGAAGAGGCAGATTGCAGGTCAGGCAGAGAGTGGACGGGCAACTGCTGGGACTCTGTCTCTGCTGTTCTCTGGCTATCTCTGTCTCTGATTCTTTCTCTCTGTCTCCCTGTGTCTCTCTATCTCTGTCTCTCTGTTTCTCTGTCTCTATGTCTCTGTCTCTCTGTCTCTCTCTGTCTCTTTCTGTCTCTCTCTGTCTCTGTGTCTCCGACTCCCTATCCCTCTGTCTCTTTCTATCTCTGTCTCTGTCCCTCTCCTGCTCCCTTTGTCTCTCTCTCTGTCTCTGTTCCTCTGTCTCTGTCTCTCTCTGTCTCTGTCTCTCTGTTTCTGTCTCTTGGTCCCAGCCGTCAGCTGACTTTGCTGTCCTCCTGGGCCCTGGCAGAACCACCTGGCAGGCTCCCGTCCTGTGCCATCCTGGACCCTTCACCATTGTTCCTACTCTGGCTCAGAGCACTTTCTTCTTGAAGCATCCTTTACCCACCCCAGGGACTTGAAAACTGGATTTGAAAATGCCAAATAGTTTTAAAATTAGAGCTGCAGAATGTCTTCCCCAGAGCCCAGACTTCCCAGGTGTCTGGGAAGCAAAGACAGCCAGCCTGGGCTGCAGGTATGCCCCGGGGACTGGGCACAGGATGGCAGCTGCTCACATTTATTGGCAGCAAAGGTCAAAGCAGAAACCAGGTGTGATGACGGGGATGGCCGCGCCTCCTGAGGCTGGTGTTTGGGCCTTTCTGCACCAGGCATGGCCTTGGCATTCAGGGTTACACTGCTAGGTGAGGGCCGTCTCCTTGTTCTCCTTCCATAGATGAGGAGACGAGGTTTGGCGATGGGAGGGAGCATCTGGGGCGGGGTCGGGCAGGGGCTCCTAGGAGGCCCCTTTGGGGCATTTTCCCTGAAGGCCACTCCAACAGAAGGTGGGGGTGACCGGAGGCAACAGTGGCGACTCCTGAGGGGCCTTGGAGCTCCTCCTGTGCTCCTCCGTTCAAAGTTGGGCAGCAGCCGCCACGTCCTTCCTAGAAAACAAAGCCGGGGAGGTTCAGTGTGTGCGTTCAAAAAGCTGCGATTTTCAGGCCCGGCAACGGCTTTCAACAACAATGTGGCTGCGATATTTCACACCCGCCCTGTGTGCACGCGGCTGGGATATTTCACACCCCACTCTGTGTGCGTGCGGCTGGGATATTTCACACCCGCCCTGTGTGTGTGCGGCTGGGATATTTCACACCCACCCTGTGTGCGTGCGGCTGGGATATTTCACACCCGCCCTGTGTGTGTGCGGCTGGGATATTTCACACCCGCCCTGTGTGCGGCTGGGCTGGGATATTTCACACCCTCTCTGTGTGCGGCTGGGCTGGGATATTTCACACCCTCTCTGTGTGCACACGGCTGGGATATTTCACACCCGCCCTGTGTGTGTGCGGCTGGGATATTTCACACCCGCCCTGTGTGCCTGCGGCTGGGATATTTCACACCCGCCCTGTGTGCGTGCGGCTGGGATATTACACACCCGCCCTGTGTGCGTGTGGCTGGGATATTTCACACCCGCCCTGTTTGTGGCTGGGCTGGGATATTTCACACCCACCCTGTGTGTGTGCAGCTGGGATATTTCACACCTGCCCTGTGTGCATGCGGCTGGGATATTACACACTCGCCCTGTGTGCGTGCGGCTGGGATATTTCACACCCCACTCTGTGTGCGTGCAGCTGGGATATTTCACACCCGCCCTGTGTGCGTGCGGCTGGGATATTTCACACCCGCCCCGTGTGCACGCGTCTGGGCTGGGATATTTCACACCCCGCTCTGTGTGTGTGCGGCTGGGATATCTCACACCCCGCTCTGTGTGCGTGCGGCCGCGGCTCTGATGCTTTTGCAGGCGGCATTGTGTCACTGATTCACTTAGGGGCTCTCTAATTAGCTGGCGGCTCAATGAGCTGTGATTGCAGGTGAGACACAGACTTGTTGACGGTGCTGAGGATCTCGTGCCTTGAAGAGCGCTCAAATGGGCTGTCACACCACGAGGGTGAAACAGTTACCCAAATACAGTCACTGGGGCAGCATCTCTGTGCACATAACCCAGTGTGCGTTTAAATGGCAAGCTGGGAAGAGTCAACTGCATCAGCTTCTCTCTAAATTACGGGCTGGAGGTGGCAGGGAGGTGAGGTGAAGGAGGTAGGAAACAGTGTTCCTAAGTCCGTGGTCACAGCTGGTCACGTGGAGAGATGCCCAGAGCTCTTGCTGTAGAGTCAGGAAGAACAGAAGCTCAGCCTGGCATAGAGGTTGGGTTTTTTGCTGCCCTTGGTTTGTACACAGCACTAAAAATGTTTCTGAGTTTAATCTACTTAAATGATGGAAGGATATGAGAGAGGTGAGAGAGAAGGCCTGCAGAAGCTTAGGCTGTGCCCACAACGGCTCTAACCAGGAGCTCTCAGGGGCGAGGGGCAGGCCCCCAGGCCACGGTGATCCCGCTCAGATGCTCAGTCACCCCCGTGTAAGGGTTCCCACTGCCACCTCCTTGAGGTGGAAGGTGGGGTGTGGAGCCCACGTCCATCATCTCCCTGAATTCCTATCGCTTTGACACCTGGAATTCCTCTGTGCTGCAGGCAGGGTCTGGGCGTTGTCCACAATCAACACTCACACAAAAACATGCTCCCTGGCTTCCAGGCGGCTCCAGATGGAGAGAGCACACACCCTCCCCAGTGTCCCTTCTAACAAGGTTGCTGTGAGCACCACGCCCCCGGGGTTCCCCGCGGGAACCAGCTCTGCCGGGCCAGCCGGTCAACTCCAGCACCCAGCACCCATCATCCCGTGTGCTCACAGTGCCTCGCTGCTCGGCTAACAAGCAGGTTGGCAGGTCCCTTTTCCTGACTGGCTCCTTCCTGATTAAGCAGCTTTTAAAATTCCACGCAAAGTGTCAACATTTCTAGATCTCTTAAATGCAAGAGCTTCCCGAGTGCCAGGCGGGACCTGCCGCGGGTGTGGGGCTGTCTGAGGTGCCAGTCACTGGAGACGACGCTGCAGATGAGGCACCTCCCCTGCAGCTTCCCCGCCCTTTAGTGACACGGAAAGTGGAAGCCAGACATCTTGGATGTAGACGTGGGAGGGAGCTGGGGTGGAGGCAGCTGGGCCACCCCACCACCCCTGAAGGCCGGCCCCACAGCGGCATCTGAACCACCAGCCAGGGCCACTGGAGCCCACTTTCCTGTTTGTGCAGCCAATGGATGAAGTTTTAAAAATTTGGCATATTTGAACTCCATTTTTTAATGGGGTCAGGCAATGTACTTTGAATTATTTATCAGACTGAATTCAATCTTCAAAAATTACAGAACTCTCATCTCTCTGCCCAGGTTAAAGCCGGGAAGTGGCTCTCGTCTCTCTGCCCAGGTTAAGCCGGGAAGTGGCCGTTGTGCCTGTCCTGAGGCCGCTGCTGCTGGGTCCCTCTGTCAGGCTGTTCCTCAGTTCACGGAATTCAGGCCTGATGCTCACAGCCACACTGGCCCCGGCTCTTTCTGCCAGACATCACACCGCAGCAGACACCGTCCCCAGCCTCACTGCCAGACATCACACTGCAGCGGACACCGTCCCCAGCTTCACTGCCAGACAACACCCCGCAGCAGACACCATCCCCAGCCTCACTGCCAGACAATACCCCGCAGCAGACACCGTCCCCAGCCTCACTGCCAGACAATACCCCGCAGCAGACGCCGTCCCCAGCCTCACTGCCAGACAATACCCCGCAGCAGACGCCGTCCCCAGCCTCACTGCCAGACAATACCCCGCAGCAGACGCCGTCCCCAGCCTCACTGCCAGACAATACCCCGCAGCAGACGCCGTCCCCAGCCTCACTGCCAGACAATACCCCGCAGCAGACGCCGTCCCCAGCCTCACTGCCAGACAATACCCCGCAGCAGACGCCGTCCCCAGCCTCACTGCCAGACAATACCCCGCAGCAGACGCCGTCCCCAGCCTCACTGCCAGACAATACCCCGCAGCAGACGCCGTCCCCAGCCTCACTGCCAGACATCACACCGCAGCAGACACTGTCCCCACTGGTCCTCCAGACCAGGGGTCCCCAACCCCTGGGGAGGCGAAGGAGCCCTGCGCCTCTGTGGGGTCTGAGCATGCTAGAGAGAGAAGCTGGGCAAACAGATGGGGTGGACGCAGCCCCCACGCAGACTCTGATTCTGTGTTCCATGGCGGGGCTCTGTGGGCCTCCACCCAAAGGCAGGGCTGAAGCTCCTGCTGATGGGGAGCCAGGCGGCCTCTGGCCACCGCCTTTGATGTGTGCCTGGACCATGTCCTCATGGTGCCTCTGCTCATTCATTTCCAGCTGTACTCATCAAATGCCACGCTGTGTACCCGGGGCTGTGCTGCTGGGCAGCCTCACACAGTTCTGCCAGGCCTCCTGCTGAGGCACTTCTCTGAGGGCTGGTGATAGACTGATGATGGCACCAGGTGATCCCTTCACCCAGAGTCTGGGACCAAACAGAAATGTGCAGAGGGCAGCCTGGCAAGGGGGCTGTGCAGAGGGTGGACATGGGGGGATATATGCACCTGTGGGTGGGTGCCTGCAGGTGGGTGCCTACCTCCAGGTGTGTCCCGTCGGTGTGTACCTGCCTGCAGGTGTGCCCACAGGTGTGTGCCCACAGGTGTGTGCCCGCAGGTGGGTGCCTGCCTGCAAGTATGTGCCCATAGGTATGTACCTGCCTGCAGGTGTGCATCCACAAGTGTGCCCCTGCAGGTGTGTGCCTGCAGGTATGTGCTCGTGTCTGTGTCAGGGGCCTCTGGGGACCACTCTGAGCCACATGGGGGTGTTTCCAGCACCAGGAGCATAGTGGATGGCAGGTGGGGAGCCAGGTCAGTGGGAGGCCACTACCGAGAGGCCTTGCTAGTTTCTGAGCAAGTCACTGCTCCACCGGGCCAGGGGCCTGCGGAACACATACGAAGCATGCACTACCTTGGGGGCTGGGAGGTAGCCTACCTGGAGCAGATAGAAAGTGACCTGGGGGAATGTCACCAGGCTTGGGGGCTGTGGGGCCTGGAGTAGGAGAGCCCATGGCCAGGAGGGCTGTTGTGAACAGGCGGACCTCGACTGCTCTAGCAGGTGAGGGTCAGGGGGCTCTTCGTGTAAAGGCAGAAAAGGGAGGGAAGAGGAGGAGGACCCCAAAACTCCATGGGACAGCTCCTCCCGGGCATCAAGGAAAGTGCCAGCAAGGACCAGGGACCCCACGTGAGAAGCAGCATCGCTGTTCTGGAACCCTACCAGGAACAAGAAGGTGCAAGCTGGCTTTTCGGAATGGGGCAGTTTTCAGTGCACACTTGAGGCAGTCCTGGAGCCTGGGCATGGAGGAAGAGCATTAGGAGAGAGCCCACGGCTCCTGGCTCCCGGCCTTTGGTCCCCGCAAGGGACCTGAGACCATTTGGAGTCTCGAGGTGAATCTGGGGCAGTGAGTCTCTTCCTAGACTGTTGCAAGGGCCATCTCGATGGTCCCCACTGTCACCTGCTGCCACCGGCTGCTGCAGGTACCCATGCACATGTCACGTGTGGCCCATGGCGATCTGTCGTATGGACAGGAGTGTGGCTTAGGCGGTGAACTTCAGGCTGTGTGTGTCCAGCATGTAGGAAGAGCTCAGCACGATCTTTGGACCGTGTGTGTCCAGCACGCAGGAAGAGCTCAGCAAACTGCCCTGGGAAGCTACCTTCACTCCACGGTGCTTTGAGTGGTAAATGATTGTCTAACTTGAGATGTCAGTGTGCCAGCGTCTCAGTGCAGTTCCATCTGGATATGTATTTTATTTCCCCTACTGAATTGCATGGTTTTATTTCTACCACGACATTTTCAGGCGGTCGTTACCAACTCTAAACAGAGGCTCATTCTGCCTGACGCGCTGCTGCGGCTGTTCGTTAGGGACAATGTTATCAGCAAGCCTTGACTAGAAGGTGAGGAGGCTTGGACTTTCACCATGTGACCTCCTTCTAAATAATAACCGTTTGCCGCTCCAAAGTCCTGCACTGGAAGATGAAGGTGGGAAGCGTGAGAGTGGCAGGGGTAGAGTTGGACTTGAATTTAGGGAGCCCAGTGGCTCTAGATGAAGTTGGTCAGCTGGCCCACATCACCGTGGAGTTTGCTGAGTGACGCGGGTGTTCAGCCACCTCCGCTGGGTGCAGGGTGTGCTAGGGAGGTGCTGCTCTCTGGCTCGGCCGTCATTGCAGCCTTGCTTTCACATTTTCAAGTGCCTCTCACTCAGTGTCCCATGCAGGGAGGTGTCCACAACTGGCAGGAGGTTCTCCCCAGGTGCCACGGGTGCTTTGGAGGGGTCCCTGGTGGGAAAAGGGCCGTTGAGGTGCTGGGCGCCCACCCATGGCTGTGCCTTCCCCTTAGCCAGCAGGCCACAGAAGCCAGGAGCTGGAATGCCCGGGAGAGGAATTTGGAAGTAGACCCTCACCCAGCACCCAGAGGCTCTGTGGCAGAGCGATGGGAAATACACAAACAACGGTGGGGCAAAGTCCTCCAGAGCAAGCTGAGCAGATGCTGATGGGCCTGCCCCAAACCCAGGCAGCATGGGGTGAGGAAGCCCCTCCTGTGGGATGCGGTCGGGAGAAGATGGCTGTGTGTGTGTGCCTGTGTGTGTGTGCATGTGTTTGTGCATTGTGGATGAATGTGGATGTGCACGTGTGTGTACAGTGTGCATGTGTGTGCTCATATGTGTACACATGTACATGTGCAGTAGGTACAGCTGTGTGTACACCCACACACGGTGTGCACATGTGACTGTGAGTGCAACACGTGCAGTGCATGCACAAGTGTGTAAATGCATGCATACAGTAGGCACATGCGGGTGCACACAGGTACCGCATGTGCAGTGTGTGTGAATGTGTGTGCAGTGTGTGTGAATGTGTGACTGTGTGCAGTGTGTGAATGTGTGTATATGTGTATGTGTGTGCAGTGTGTGTGTGCAGTGTGTGAATGTGTGTGGTGTGTGTGATGTGTGTGTGCAATGTGAATGTATATGTGCATTTTGTGAATATGTATGTGTGCACTGTGTGTGAATGTGTGTGTGCAATGTGTGTGAATCTGTATGTGTGCAGTGTGTGAATGTGTGTATGTGTGTGAATGTGTGTGTGCAGTGTGTGAATGTGTGTGCAGTGTGAATGTTTGCAGTGTGTGTGAATGTATGTGTGTGCAGTGTGTGAATGTGTGTGAATGTATGTATGTGTGTGTAGTGTGTGAATGTGTGCAGTGTGAATGTGTGTAGTGTGTGAATGTGTATGTGTGTAGTGTGTGTGAATGTGTGTGTGCAGTGTGTGTATATGTGCAGTGTGTGAATGTATGTGTGCGCAATGTGTGTGAATCTGTGCAGTGTGTGTGAATGTGTGTATGTGTGAATGTGCGTGCAGTGTGTCAGTGTGTGCAGTGAATGTTTGCAGTGTGAATGTATGTGTGTGTGCAGTGTGTGTGAATGTGTGTGAATGTGTGTGCTGTGTGTGAATGTGTGTGTAGTGTGTGCAGTGTGTGAATGTGTGTATGTGTGCAGTGTGTGAATGTGTGTGCAGTGTGTGTGCATGTATGTGTGTGCAGCGTGAATGTTTGCAGTGTGTGAATCTGCGTGTGCAGTGTGTGTGAATGTGTGTATGTGTGTGAATGTATGTATGTGTGTGTGCAGTGTGTGTGAATGTGTGTATGTGTGTGCAGTGAATGTTTGCAGTGTGTGTGAATATGTGTGCAGTGTGTGTGAATGTGTGTGCAGTGTGTGAATGTGTGTGCGGTGTGTGTGAATGTGTGTATATGTGTTGCAGTGTGCATCTGTGAGTGTGAGTGCCTGTGTGTCCATGCAAGTGTGTATGCTTGTGTCTGTGTTTACATCAGGAAAGCAGGGGAGGGAGGCAGGAGTGAACCGGGGAGGCCTCAGACTTTGGGGCAGTCACTGTGGCCTCGAGGGTGTGACCCTTAACATCCCCTGCTGGACGTAGGAGCTCTTCGTGCTCTGGGAACCGTAGGTGGCCTCCGTGCTGCAGCCACTGGCACCTGGGAACCAGGGGCTCAGGGCGGCTGTGGCCCCTCCTGTTGTCACAGTCACCGCGGGAGGAGGGGCAGAAGTACGGCGCAGCCACCACGGGCTTTAGGGCCAAGTGAGCTCCTAGATTCCTCCCTCCTGAGCACTAACTGTGTGGGGAATTAGCTTCTCCTGAAATAACGGGAAGCCCCGTCAGAATATTCGAAATGCAACAGACACAGGTTTCCTAAAATCGTCCGTAGTGCCTGGAGCTCAGGTTCTGAGGGTGGCTCATGGCGGTGCCCTGAAGAGGCTTCTGCATGGCGTCTTCCACAGAGCTGCTGTGTCCTGGCGGTGTGCATGCCCAGACAGGGACCCATGTGTGCTGGGGGGAGCCTGCGGTCCCGGAGTGCACCCTGCTGTTTTATCCTCTTCGTGTGCTCTATGGAGTGGACGTCCACATTCTGGCTCAGGATGGGTGGCTGGAGTCCCCCAGGCACCAAGCCTCTGTCTCTAACTGGCAGGGGAGCCATCCCTTCCCTTCTCACCTGTGCAGGACAGGGCTCAGTTTGCAGGGAGTCGCTGGGCCCTGAAGCCCTTCCTTGGCCCATCGCTGCCTGTGAGCCCCTGAGGCTTGGGCTGGGTCCCTGCCAGGATCACACAGTTGGGAATCTGGGGAAGGGATTGTGTCTCACAAGTTCGTGTGCTTTATTATTTCCCAGGGGCTGTTACCTCCCTCCCCCTGACTCCTTGCCCTGTCCAAGCTCCATGTGGCCTGGTGCTCCCATCTTTCCGGGAGCTTCTTCCCGCTGCCCGGCCTGCTTGTCTGCATGCAGGCCGACCCTGGCCTCTGCCACCTGCTCTCTGAGCTGCCCGTAGGCAGGGTCTTCCACCTTCCACCATGTCCTGGGGTGCGCTGGGAAAGAGCTCGGGATGGGCACTGTTGCTGACGCTGACACAGACTCAGCCAGTCGGAGCCTCACGCCCCCCTTGCTGGATACCCCAGGTCCCATCACAGTGCAGCTTCTCAGAGGAGTCACTGTATCTATTGTGCCCAGACCTCCTACAAGTGGCTCTGAGGGCTGAGCTGACCCTGGAGGGACAGGCCCCCTCCTGCCCGTCTGCCTCCTCTCTCCTCCCCTGTCTCTCCTGAGACATTAGGAGCTCACACTCCTGCCTGAGGACCTGCCAGAGTGGCAGGGCATGCTGGGTCCCGGCCTGTGCGACTGATCAGCTTTCTCTCCTGGCTTCTGGGTCAGGAGGAAGGAGCCGTCTCTGCCAGTCTTCCCCTTGTGTAGGCGTGGCAGCGAGGGTGTTTTCTGGAAATGCCAGCCTGAGGCTTGGGGTCTTGCCATCTTCAGCCCCACGGAGCGCTAGTGGCAACAGCCAGTTTGTGTTTGTGTGTGGGTGTGTTATGTGGACGGGGATTTTAACCTTACTATCAGCATTAGAATGTCCGTAGGATAAATGTCATGGTTGTTTTGCTTTTGTTTTGGGGTATTGTGGGAGTGCATACTTTGGATTCTATAGGCCCTCTGGGCTTTATTCAAATAGACTCTTTTTCTAGGCCTTCTGAAGAAGTCGTATCCGGTTGTGTCTCTGCTTCTGTTAACCATGATTTATGAATGCATGCATTACTATACATTACTGACAAATTATTTATAAAGCAAACTTTTGTGTATAAAGTCTTATTTCCCCATGGAATTATTTAATAACATTTGAGCTGTGTGCTGAGAAGGTGTTTTTGCAGGCACTGATATGAAAGCTTTTGTCAAGCTAGCTGACTTGGGAAGGCAGCCTAGGGCGGCATCCTGGCCTGAGAGTCCTCAGCATTGCTAATTGGCTTTGCTTTGTCGTGTTTTAGGCAGCCTGGTGACTGTACTGATGTGCTTCTCCAAACCCCACAGAGAGACAGCAGGCATCTTGTCTGCTAGGCATGCAGGCGTTCTGGTTCTCATGTGCAGAATATGCACACAGACGTGCACGCACATACACACAAATATGTGCATGCACACACATGTACACACAAACGCACATACATGTACACCAGGGACACATGGACACACAAACACATTCACATATGTGTACACAAAGGGACGCGTGGACAAATACATATGTGTATACCAGAGACACATGGACACAGAAACACATGCACATATGTGTACTCATGGACACATGGACACACAAACGCACATACATGTACACCAGGGACACATGGACACACAAACACATTCACATATGTGTACACAAAGGGACACGTGGACAAATACGTGTATACCAGAGACACATGGACACAAACACATGCACATATGTGTACTCATGGACACATGGACACACAAACACACATACCTGTACACCCGGGACACAAGGACACACAAACACATGCATATATACATGTACACACAGGGACACATGGACACAGCCATGCTGCTCCCTGGTGAGGAGTGGGAGCAGGTGGGATCCCCGGGAAGAGTGAGTCCCACTCTTGGGCTCTTGTTATAAATCCACCTTTGGCAGACACGCCCTCCTCTAATTTCCCAAGGAACATGCCAGCCGTTGGTGCCGACGGTCTTTGGTGGAGCCTCCAGAGCCTCCTTTAGGCTTTTCCCAGGGGCTCTGAGGGGTGTCTGTGATGTCACTCTTCCCTGCAGCACAGCAGCAGCTGCGGGTTGTGACGTGGGATGAGAGGCCGCTTGCCCTGCCCGGAAGGGTGGCTCTGTGCCCTGCATGGGCCACCTGCTTCCCTGGCTCTTCTCCGTGTCCTGCGTGGCCTGCCTGCTCCCATGGCCCTTCTCTGTGGCCTGTGCCTGTGGCCCTTTAGCATTGTGTTGGTTATCAAACTGCCATTTGTCATTTATTTGTGCATCTGCCTTGAGCAACCTTCCACTTCCGGTGTCTAGAAGTTCTGCTCCTTGTCACTCCATTTGGAAACTGAGCTCTCACTCAAGAGACGTTTGCAGCATCAGGCAGCAGAGGCATCAGGGGTCCTCACGGGGACATGCACAAGGGGTTTCACAGGCGTTGCTGGTGCTGCTGCCTCAACCCGTCCTGCTCCTGCTTCCTGCCTCCCTGTACCGACGCTGCACCTCCCTCACCCCACTCTGGATCCTTTAGTTGAAATCAACTCTTCCACATTCGTCTCCTAGCCGGTGTGTCTACCCAGCACGACCACGCAGTGCAGGCCTCGTGGACAGACCTCGCGTGGCTGCAGGAGACTTCTGGCTTCCTGGGACCTTGTGAAACCAGATCCCCAAATGTTCCTCCCTAAAGCTTAACAATATGAACAACAAATAGGCCAAAACAAACAGATACAGAAGCAACAAGGAAAACCCTGGATGCCATTCCAGCAGAGCCAACGGCTGGTGGTTGCTGAAAAAGCAAGAGAATCCACCTTCCAGGAAAGGCTTCAGGGAAGGCCCTGAAACCTCTGAAATCTCCCCCAAAGCTGTGACTGGGGGGCAGGGGAGGAGACACAGACCCTTCCACAGAGGTGGTATCTGATGTGGTCGCCCCCATCCTACCAGAGGCTGGATGCAGAGGATCAGCAGGGCGGCCACCCAGGCAGCTCCCTCCGTGGAGAAGCACATGCACATGGAGTGCGTACTCACAGGGTCGTCTCGCGGCGATTCATAGAAATTTAAATTAAATGCAGACAACAGAAAAGACAAGAACTTAAGAACTGGAGCAGGAAGGAGGCTGATGATAGCAGAGTGTGAGACGCACCAGAGCCCTTTCCACGCCAGTCGCGCAGGGCAGGGGCTGCACGTGGAGATGCCGGGGGAGGCGTCAGCGGCTGATTCAGGACGGCCTGTGTTCACCCTGGAGCAGGCTCTGCAGCAGACAGAGCGGAGGAAATGTGGTGTGTGGACGTCGGGAATGCTCCAGGAGAAATCCCAGGTGAGAAGGAGCCGGGGCAGCCATGCTGTGAGCTGTTCTTACGTGCCCGCTTGGAGATTAGTTCTATTTGGGTCTCTTAAACTGTCAGGCTCCCGCCCAGTTATCTTACCTGAAGCAGAGTAGGATTCAGGCTGCAAAGTGAAAACTGCCTCTCAAGAAAGCCTTAGGTAAAAAAGAATGGATAGAAGGTAGCTATGATGAGACCCATCCCACTCTCAGCTCATGTGATGAGCTGAGGCAGCGCTCAGAGGAAGAGCTGCTGTCACCGCGAAGCCAGGGTACTGTCAGCTGACAGCAAGGAGCCCAGCAGGGGAGGGCATGGGCTGTGGCCCTCACCAGCTCCTCTGCAGGCGGGCTCACCCCTGGCACGCACGCCATCCCTGTGATTCTCATCATCAGGGCAGTTCCAGGTCAGCGCCGTGGGGCTGGGCGGGGGCAGTCACCGCCGCAGGTCTTGGTCAGTCCTCCAGGAGCGGAGCTGCAGGGTTGGATCCTTTGTACAGTGGGTGAGACCCAGGCTGAGCGAAGTGGGCTTGAAGCCTGGGGGCTCAGACATTTCTCGCTGCTGCACGCTTGCTCACCCAACTGGGGGCTCGGGGTCGTCCAGCACCACAGTCCTCTTATCCTATGATTCCCAGAGCTTGAGGGCCCCCCAGAAGGAAGAGCAGAGTTCCAGATTGAATACAGGATGCCTGACTGGATTCGAATGTCAGAGTAACAAGAAAAAGACGTTTAGCGCACGTACAGCAGGTCCTCAAATCACGCCATCTCATTGTAACGCTGAGGAGAAAAGAATCAGCCAAATCTGGGATGTAGACTCTCTGAACATTTGGTTCCTGTGTAAGTTTTTATTTAAAGGAAGGATCCTACCCCAGAAACACGCCACAGGTTTCTGTGATCAAACCTGAGGGGTCGGGTTCCGCGTCTGACTGCGTCCTGAGCAGCCGTGTGCCCGGGTCTCTCCACACGCTGGTCCAGGGCAAACCCCGCCTGCTGACCTGGGTGGTAGACAGAGGATACTCGAAACCTCTTTGAGCATGATTCTGGTTGTCCGGGTCCCTCATTCAACTCCATTTCAACCCAGATCCCAGGGAAAGCAGGGATCTGACTGGGCTCTCAGTCTGCCTTAGCAGGTTGTCTCATGCCTGTTCCAGGGAACTAGGGGTCCGGAATTTACAGGGGATCTTCTGAAACCCAAGCTCCCAGACGGCAAAAAGCTGGTAGCTTGAAGGACCTTATTCCTCGTTTTGGCAGAATAAACTCACATCCATGTTTCTTTTTGCATAAGTTTAGGTTATAGATAGATTTGATTATTCCACAATTTCTTAGAGACTATATTTTTTGGGAAAAATACTCTTTTCTACTCCAAGAAAGATAAATTTTATTACAGATGGTGAATCATTCCATAAACTTCCTATTAGGGCTGAGTTTAATTTTAAGCTCGGGCAAATTCTATTGCTCTCAAGCCACCAGGGTAGTGCATGGTTGTCCAACATGGAGCTTCTGCTGGGCGCCCAGCTGCTTGAGTCCTGCCCTCTTCTCTGCCGTCATCACTTGTCCTCACGGGAGCTGCCTAGGTTCCCCCCCGCCCCCGCCAGCTTCTGTCTCCTCCACCACCTTTCCTCAGGTACCTGAACCAATAGGTAGGTCTTCCGGGGCCTTAGTGTATTTCTAAAACTGCCAATGGTCCACCATCTAAAACTTTTTAAAATTCCACATGGCGCGGACCAGAATAATGGCCCTGCACTTGTGACTGGCTGGTGACCTTGCTCCAAGGGTGCACGTGACAACTCCTCTCAGAGTGAGGAGAAGCCTCGGTGCCCTCTTGTCCCCCTCAGCAGAGGCAGCCGCGGGGTCCCTGCCACGTCCACTTTCCTCAGCCAGTCGGCATCAGACTCTGAGTCCCAAGAGGTCAGTCCATTGTGTGGGGGACAGAGCTTGGTCCAAAGCTGTGCCTATGGGAGACAACAGAAGAGGACCATCAAAGCATCGTCGTCAACACTCCCTGCCCACATCACCTTTGCACAGAGATTCTGCAGGCAGGCCTCCCCCGAAGGTCCTGCAGTAGACACGGGACATCCCTGGATGAGACAGAACACACAGCACCTGCAGGGTTCTGATCACGGCATCCAAAATCAAACCCGCTGAGAAGCTGGAGTCAGCACTGGCTCTCCCAGCAAGGGGTTTCCTGTGGCATCTAAGTCTGAGGACAGAGGTAGTTCTGAGGCTGGGTAGTTCTGAGCATCGTCTGGTTTAGAAGGTTTTGCTCAGTGGGTCCAGCTGGAACAGGCAGAGAAAGGTAGTCAGGCAGTGAGGACGGGTGCCCTGAGGCTTAGTGCCAAGCCCCAGGGACAGGAGGGCCCATTGGCCTCATCAGCTGGCGAGCCCAGGGCAGCCAGAAAAGAGTGGCCAGGAGCTTGGTGCATGGGGTGGGAGGGTGGGTCAGGGCCCAGTGCAAGGGTGCGGCGGACAGCACAGCCCCAGCGGGAATGGAGTCCTCGAAACTGTGAGACTCATAGTTTGGTAAAAACATTTCCAAAGCATCCTGAATGGACAGAGGGCTCAACACCCCTCACTCCACAAAAAGCTACATGATTGTGTAATTCTCTGTACACACATACTGTCCTCTGCAGTTCCCCAAATCCGTGAACCACTTTTAATCCTGAAGCTGTCGTGCTGAGGCAAGTTCAGGTTAAATTTCAGCAAGGTGGTTCGGCCGCGGATCTTTGGTGGTGGAGTGGCCGATCCTCTTGTTCCCCACAGGAAGGCAGCATTCCCTGTTCCCTGTGGCCGTGGACTCCTGCCCTGGGCCTACTTTCTTCCAGAGCCCGGCCCCTGGAGGCTGAACCAGGCCTTTTGGTTTCCTCTGTGGTGTGATTTGAGAGATGCTTGTAGAAACGGTCAGATAAGCCCCAAACATCTTCCTCAGCTGTGCTCGCGTGAAGTCTTGCCCTTGGTGATCTTGTTGGGTAGATCATTGCCTTGTCTGGGTCTTTAGCCAAAGAACCTCCCTTGCTCACACGTCGTGAAGCCTGCAGGGGCTTCTGCGAGGGAGCTTTTGGGTTGCTCTGTGTCACTCAACACCAGAAGACAGGAACCTCTATACAAAGAACAGGTCCTGGACGTGGGTGAGCAGGGAAGGGATGTCCTAGGAAAGACAGCAGGGGAGGGACATGAATTTCTCCTTTTCTGCAGCTTCTTCCTGGGCCTGGGCCATGCCTCGGGATTTTCCCTGTAACACCATGCTTCGCATTTATTATTCGTGTCCAGATCTATTTTGCTATAGAAAGTAGACATGTCTAAGAAGTAAACTGCAGGATGAGAAAGTTTAAATAATTTGTTTCTTCAGGTGCAAAGATGACTGTCGTAGTTTCCTGTCCTGTAGGGAGGTGAAACTCATGCCCTCTGCTCCTGAACGCAGAGAGGGAGGGCTGTACATTTTTACTGCTGTGTGCAGCGGTGGCTCTGTGCCACTGTCCAGTTACAGGGATGCTCCTGAACGTGGAGATGGAGGGCGGGTCGTGCCGTGGGCAGTGGCTCTGTGCCACTGTCCAGTTACAGGGATGCTCCTGAACGTGGAGATGGAGGGCAGGTCGTGCCGTGGGCAGTGGCTCTGTGCCACTGTCCAGTTACAGGGATGCTCCTGAACGTGGAGATGGAGGGCGGGTCGTGCCGTGGGCAGTGGCTCTGTGCCACTGTCCAGTTACAGGGATGCTCCTGAACGTGGAGATGGGGGGCGGGTCGTGCCGTGGGCAGTGGCTCTGTGCCACTGTCCAGTTACAGGGATGCTCCTGAACGTGGAGATGGAGGGCGGGTCGTGCCGTGGGCAGTGGCTCTGTGCCACTGTCCAGTTACAGGGATGCTCCTGAACGTGGAGATGGAGGGCGGGTCGTGCCGTGGGCAGTGGCTCTGTGCCGCTGTCCAGTTACAGGGATGCTCCTGAACGTGGAGATGGGGGGCGGGTTGTGCTGTGGGCGGCAGTGGCTCTGTGCCACTGTCCAGTTACAGGGATGCTCCTGAACGTGGAGATGGAGGGCGGGTCATGCCGTGGGCAGTGGCTCTGTGCTGCTGTCCAGTTACAGGGATGCTCCTGAACGTGGAGATGGAGGGCGGGTCGTGCCGTGGGCAGTGGCTCTGTGCTGCTGTCCAGTTACAGGGATGCTCCTGAACGTGGAGATGGAGGGCGGGTCGTGCCGTGGGCAGTGGCTCTGTGCTGCTGTCCAGTTACAGGGATGCTCCTGAACGTAGAGATGGAGGGCGGGTCGTGCCGTGGGCAGTGGCTCTGTGCCGCCGTGCAGTTACAGGGATGCTTCCTCTGCTCGATAAATATGGATGCCAGCGGCTCGAGAATCTGTTGCCCAGCTCGACTTCTGCGAGCCTGCTCTTAAAAAGAGTTATTCCGCTCTTCTAATGAATCATTTTCTCAATTTCCTTCCTCACCATTAGAGTATTTTTAAAGCACTGGACACCTTGTTATTCAAGGAAGTCCCCAGTCTTGCCTCGCCTGTGTGCCGCATTCTGCAGATTCTCATGGAAGACTCAAGGCCAACCTGACCACCGCCGAGGGGAGGGGACAGATTCCTGTGGGGCGCGGTCCTGGCCTGGGTTTCGGGAGTCTGGCGTGTGCTCTGGAGACCCGGGGCTGCCCCTGCCCTAGATGGTTTTGCAGTGGGTTCCTTGTGGAAGCAACAGGCGCGGCAATCACCCGGTGACTGGAAACGGAAGGTTCTGTTGAGTGCTTCCTCCTTTCTACGAAATGCAGCATAAAACACTTCTGTGAAAGGAGCACGTTGTTAAAAGAAACACGCGAAAGTGTATTTAATGGGCAGAGCCCCGCCCGCTGTGCTGGCCCCGGTCAGTCCTCGAGTCCTCAGGCCCCCGCCCGCTGTGCTGGCCCCGGTCAGTCCTCCAGTCCTCAGGCAGCTTCAGTTATGCACATCCAGGCTCAGTCGCCTGGAAAATGAGACTGGCCCAGGTAGATCTGGTGGATCTGCCAGTTTATTAGAAGAAAAGGCTCATGTATTTATTTAAGTCCTCCCAGCATTAGTGCTTGACACATATTTAAAGCACTTGGCTAAAAAACAGATTGGAACTGTGGTTGGGTTTGGTCTGGACAACGAGGTCTGGTCCGGGGAAACCACACCCTCCGCATGCCAGCCTCAGTTCTGAGTGCCGTGGGCATGACAGGAGGAACCTCGGGCCACAGGGACTCTCACTCCGCCAGCCCAAGGGTGAGGGAAGATTAAGGTCTCCTTTGAGAAACCAGGCTCTGCTTTGTGATATGGGGTCGTTTTCCGGCATGTTAATCTCCCCATCAATCGGGGGTGGTGGGGGTGGCTCATGTTGGGGAGGATTGGATTTGGGGAGTGAGAGGTTCGTTCTCTGGCTTTGCATGTGATGCGGCTGATTGTCGGGATGTGCTGTGTGATTTTGCTGCTTGGACTCGATCTAACTGGGCTGTCAGCCTCCTCCTTGGGCTTCAGCACTGGGGTGCCTGTCACGCGTCTGTGCAGCTGGCGTGGTGGCTTCCCTGAAAGCCAGGTGCCTGGAGATGGGGTGGTGGGGCCTTCCTACCCTGTCCTGTCCTGCCATCCTTTGGAGAAACGTGTCTCTTGTTTGTCTTTGGTAACTGGTGCAGGGCTGGGGCTGGGGGGTAGTGAGGGATAGGGCTCCGGGCTATCAGGTCCGCCTGGAGTGCTCACCAACCCACACACTAATTCAGGAGCAGTATGCTTGGGTCTGCCTGCCTAGAAAGGCTCCATTCCCGCTGCCCAGTTGGCCGCCTTCATCTGAGCCATCCGAACGGTGACACCACTCACCACCCTGGGCACGGGGATGATTCCATTTTTCCTCCAAGTAATTGGCACTGAGAGATTATGGGAGTGGTGTGGCAGGAGCTTCTGCGACTGCTCTGATTCTCGCCGCAGAGGTGATGGGGACGAGGCAGAGTTGTCAGGCCACTGGTGCTCAAGTGCTCTCGCGTTCCCACCCACTCCAAGCAGCTGAGGCTTGAGGCTGTGCGGCAACCAGAGCAGAGTTGCCATGGCAACTGGAGAGGCAGGCTGCTTAGGCGAAGGATGGATGGAGGGACCAACTTTGTGTTTCTGGTAAAATGGGCGTGTCCCACAGACGATGAGGAGGCCAGAGCCAAGAAGGGGCTTTGCTGGGACCTGCCCTGAGCCTGGGGCAGGTATGTGGTGGCTCTCGTTTCCCTGACCTCCCCTTAGGGAGCCCTGCTTGTGTGTCCCCAACAATGGAATGGAGGCTTCAAGTCACAGGTCCAGTTTTACAGCGTTTCAGGATTTGCACACTTACTGTGCTGAGCATACTCTGGGCTTTATTAAGGTGTGTGTCTGTGCTCTATACGCATGTGAGGTAATGAGGGGGACACACACATGCATACGTGCACCATATACATCCATTGCACACCTGTGCACACCACACGTGCACCATAGACATCCATTGCACACCTGCACACACCACACGTGCACCATAGACATCCATTGCACACCTGTGCACACCACATGTGCACCATAGACATCCATTGCACACCTGCACACGCCCCACATGCACCATAGACATCCATTGCACACCTGCACACACCCCACAGGCACCATAGACATCCATTGCACACCCCCCACATGCACCATATACATCCATTGCACACCTGCACACACCACACGTGCACCATATACATCCATTGCACACCTGCACACACCCCACATGCACCATATACATCCATTGCACACCTGCACACGCCCCACATGCACTGTATACATCCATTGCACACCTGCACACGCCCCACATGCACACATACCGCATGCACATGTATCATATCCGTGCAGTAAGGAGGACATCTGATCTCTGCTGGGAGAAAGGCGAGGTTCTCCTCGGCTCACCAATGAGGGTTCCAAAGCACCCCAGGGACCTCAGCAGGCAGGACGGGAGCCCAGTTCTTTGACCCTGAGCACTTGTTCCCATTCTCCTGAAGATGAGCACATTATTACCGTCATGCTGTGTGGTTCTTGAGAGCCTGCTAAGTAACAGTACGCTTTGTGCGTGTCCCATTACCCTTTCTATGCATTAGGATTTCATGCCAGCCTAGATAGGGAATTGTCTCCTAGAGTCTACTTTATGTGATTTCCACCGAGATTTCCAGGGGGCTTTAACTTCCGTACTTGTTACAATCAAGTAAAAATGTGCTCATCTCACTGTGCGTAATTTCACCTTTTTTCTTTTGGAAAATTTCCCCACAAACACTTTAAGAATAAGCGAATTGTTAATTTTTTCTCTACCAGATAGCAAAGCATCTGGAATTGTCTTTTGTGGCAACATGGTTAGGAGGACACATTTATGACTGGTTGAAAATGATATGAAATAGTGATAGCACAGTGCTGCTAAGAGTCAGCTGATGTTGATTTGAAGGAATCAGGACTACGGCGCAACATTCAAACATGTTTTGCATCACGTCAAAAAACAGACGAGAGAGAAACCACAACAATTCGGGGGTTTGAGATTTTGCAAAGAAAATATACCTGTCTTATAAAAATCGTTGTTTTCTATCACTTCTGTTTCTGTGTGGATGTGGGGGGGATGTGTGTGTACGTGTGTGTGTGCATATGTATGGAATGTGTGTGTACATGGGTGTGTACATGTATGCAGAAAAGCAAAACCTGAGTCTGGGTTAAGAGCAGATGGAGAGGGGATGAGGATGGGGAGGCCGGTTCCCTTTTGCTGTTCTGTGCAATTTCTGCCTTGTTTTGATACCATTTCAATTTTCTTAAATAGGCATGCATTATGCTATAAATGTATAACAATAAATAACCTATATGCATTAGAAAGAATCTGAAAATTATGCAACAGTAGGAATGAGAGAATATCCACATTCATACATCCTAAAAATGAGGGCTTAAGTGTCCTACTTTATCTGAGCTCAGGTTAGAGGCAGGGACCACCCCATAGATCCGATTGTGGGTCCTGTTGTTCGGCTTTCCTTGATAGTATAAGTATTTTCTTTATTATAATATTTCCATAAATATGTGAAGCATTTAGAGCTGATGTACCATACTTCAACAATTCATCTGTTGCTTTTTACTTTGGTAAGAGTAGACCATAAATGCATCTGAGTGTCAAGTGTAGGAAACTCGTGTGTGTGTTGTGCATCCACTGAGTGTCCAGTGTGGGAAACTCGTGTGTGTGTCGTGCATCCAACACGTGTTCTCTCACTTGCATTACACTCAGATGCATTTATGACACAATGACACTGCACGGGTCGTTGTGCACACACACTGGGGGAGGGACGTGGCGTCTTGCTGGAGCACAGGAGAAGCAGTTTAAATGGGAATGCATTCAGTGCATGTCTGTCAAAGTTATGAGTGAATGATGCTTGGCAATGATGTCACAGAGGGCATCTGACCGCTGAGATAAAGCCCTCTGCAGTCCCCAGGGGATGGGGCTTTTCTGGTCCTAAAGCCTCACTGACCATAGGAAACCCCTCTTCCACATTTTATTGGCTGCATAGACGTCACAACTGGGAGACTCATCAGCCAATCCAACTCACAGGTATGGTGCATGTGTGTGATGCGTGTGCATGCAGGGTGTGTGTGTGCAGGTGTGGTAGATATGTGTATGTATGCATGTATGGTGTGCATGTGTGTGATGCATGTGCATGCAGGGTGTGTGTGTGCAGGTGTGGTAGATATGTGTATGTATGCATGTATGTATGGTGTGCATGTGTGTGATGCGTGTGCATGCAGGGTGTGTGCGTGCAGGTGTGGTAGATATGTGTATGTATGCATGTATGTATGGTGTGCATGTGTGTGATGTGTGTGCATGCAGGGTGTGTGCATGCAGGTGTGGTAGATATGCATATGTATGCATGTGTGTATGGTGTGCATGTGTGTGATGCGTGTGCATGCAGGATGTGTGGTAGATACGTGTATGTATGCATTTATGTATGGTGTGCATGTGTGTGATGTGTGTTCGTGTGTGTGCTGTGTGCACGTGTGTGGTGATATGAATATGTGATTCACGTGTGGTGTGTGTGGCATGTTCATGTGTGTGTGTGATGTGTGCATATGTGTGGTGTGTGTGGTGTATGTGTGTGATGTGGGTGCACGTGTGTGGCATGTGTGCACGTGTGTTTATGTATGCACATATGTGCTGCATGTGTGATGTGTGCATATGTGTGGTGTGCACGTGTATGTGCATGTATGTGATGTGGGTGCATGTGTGTGGCATGTGTGCACTGTGTGGTGTATATATGCACATATGTGCTGCGTGTGATGCGTGCATATGTGTGGTGTGTGCATGTGTATGTGCATGTATGTGACGTGGGTGCATGCGTGTGGCATGTGTGCACGTGTGTCATCTATATGCACATATGTGATGTGTGCGATGTGCACATATGTGTGATGTGTGTGCGTGTGTAGGGGCATGCATGTGATGTGGGTGCATGTGTGTGGCGTGTGTGCACGTGTGTGGTGTATATATGCACATATGTGCTGTGTGGGTGTGATGTGTGCATATGTGTGGTGTGTGTGCGTGTGTATGTGCATGTATGTGATGTGGGTCCGTGTGTGGCATGTGTGCACTGTGTGGTGTATATATGCACATATGTGATATGTGTGCATGGGGTGTGTGTGGGAGTGTTTTGTTTTGTTCAGTCCTACACAGTATTTTGAAAATTTTGAATTTATTGCAAACATTTTAAGATTTGAATTCAAGTAAATGAGAAACAAGCTTCCTGGCCTCAGTTCCTTCAGGGAAACACTGGCTGCCCCTTGGGAGGGCTGTGTCCCCACGTGGTCGGGGTACCCCACTCCTTCCTGGCTGCATCTTGGGGTACGCAGGTGCTTGCTGCATAGCTGGCAGCTCAGCGGCTTCTTACAGGAGAGCTGGGAGAAAAGCAAAGGCTTTTCTCCTCTGACATTTGCCTCCAGCCCGATGGTTTGAGTGTCAAGACGGAAGGGGTGGGGCCGCTCCTGGAAGGACAGCATGACCCGCCTGGCCTTAGTGGGCTCTGAGCAAAGCCCCAGCTTTAGGATTTCATCTTAGAAGCTTGTTAAAGCATCACTCATTCTCTCCCATTTTCAAGGAGTCTCTAATTCTTTACCCTCAGAAACGATGTGCTGTGATTTTATGAGACAAGCCTTTGGGATCTCCCTAATAATGGGGGGATAAAGGCCTCCCCCTCCCGCTCCTCTCTCCAGGCTGGGGTCTTGTGCGAGGTATGGTTAAGAACACAGATGGTAGGCTGGGCGCGGTGGATCATGCCTGTAATCCCAGCACTTTGGGAGGCCAAGGTGGGTGGATCACCTGAGGTGAGGAGTTCGAGACCAGCCTGGCCAACATGGGGAAAACCCATCTCTACTAAAATTACAAAGTTACCCAGGCATGGTGGTGCATGCCTGTAATCCCACCTACTCAGGAGGCTGAGGCAGGAGAATCGCTTGAACCCGGGAGGCGGAGATTGCAGTGAGCCAAGATCGCACCATAGCACTCCAGCCTGGGCCACAAGAATGAAACTCCATCTTAAAAACAAACAAACAAAAAAACCGCAGACACCCAAGTCCCCTTTGCTGTGTTTGCTGTGTGGCTGGAGAGGGAGCAAGTTACCTGTGTGGAGTGTTTAGGACGGTGTCTGAGTGGCCCAGTGCCCAGCTGCCCACGAGCCGTGGACATGGGCGTGGTGGGGAAGCAGGGGCGCCGTGAAGAAGAGCACACCTGGGACGGGCACCCCTGGCCACTCCTTCCCTTTGCGCCCCTGTATCCTTTGCTTAGACACGCAGACACGGTCAAGAGCGCCCTCCTCCCCACTTCCCCACCTCCCATCACGGCCTTCTCCTGTGAGACCCCACGTGGGTTGGAAATCTCCTTCCAGATCCTGGCGCCTGCCCCCTTCCTCCACCCCTCTTGGCCAGGGGGCGTCTCAGAGCCCAGCGTGCGCCTCGGTGCTCCTGGCCATGCTGGGGGGTGCCACCCACGGGCCACGCTCTGTGTAGTGAGATGCAGGGGCTATGTGCAGATATGGGGATGGGCAGCCGGGAAGCCCACACCTCCTCATTCCTTGAGGCAGCCCGTGCCAGGGATGGTTTCTCAGGCTGCCTAACCCCATCGTGCGTCCTCACACATGTCTCCCAGCCCAGGCCTGGCATGGCTGCACGCTTGCTCTGGGAAGCTCCATGCGCTCTATGAGAAGTGCGTGGAGATGGCTTCTGATGGCCTCATCACAGAAACTCAACAGGCCGCGCATTCCTGGTGTAGCCCCTCTCAGTCCTGTTTGACCAGCTCTGAAGCTGTCTTGTGACTTTTCCCATCGTGGGTCACGTGCACCATCAGTGGATTCCGGCATGACCACGGATTCCGGCATGGCCATGGGAAGCACACGCCTGGGGGACGTCACCCCTGGATTCACTGTCGTCGTTGCTGTCATCAGAGCCCTCCCACACATTGGTCGGCCTTGCCTGTCAGCTCTGTAAGGTTGAATTAGCAATAAAACCATATGCTTTTGGTTGCAGTCACTTTCTGCATAAGTCTTTAAAAAGGTCAAAAAGGAAGAAAACGCAACTTCTTTAAAATACAGATTGTCCTACTTTGAAAAATCCCGTGGACAAGGACAATGACCACCCACGGTGACTTGTGAAACGCTCACATTTTCTTATCGTCAGCAGCCCCAGCATCCTCCTTCTCCCGTGTGGGACTTCCTGTCCTGTGGACCACACGGAGTTAGAGCTGGGGGCAGTGAGAGCCGTCTTCTTCCTTCTTGGTAGAGAGACGCGTCTCGACTCCAAATCTTTAAGCCTCTGTTTCTCTCTCCATCTCTCACCTCCCAGGATGTCTTTGGTCACCAGGAGACCCACCCATTACGCTGCCATTTCCATAACATGGATTTTTCCCCCTCTTCCTTCAAGTGATGAGTTTTTTCAAGTGATAATTTTATTCATGTGGGGTATTTATATTTTGCCGTATGTGCCGAGAAGCTTACGAGAAAGGTGTATTTTAAATAAATCAAATTATCAATCAATCAATCAATCAATTAGTGAATGCAGCCTGGCCCAGAATATTCATTTTTAATGAATTTTGGTTTCACACAATCCTGGGTCATCCCTGGAGGGTAACATCATGCGGTGTTTATTGTCGCAGGTGGGGAGGGCACCCTGACGGTCTCGCTGCTGCCAACCAGGCCCTGATTTGTGTCTCAGTGACTGAAAGTTAGTAGGGTAAGAGCAGCTTTCCAGTGTGCCTGCGAGCCAGACTGATGTCCAGCTCCATGCCTGTGAGTCAGCAGCCCCATGCCTGTGAGTCAGCATAGGGATAACCATGGCACCGGGGTTGGCGGATAGCATGGTGGCCACGCACAAGCGACCTACTGTGTGCCGGCCCTGAGCCGGCTGCTTCCACATCCCCACTCACCTGTTCACACAGCCACGTCATGAGACGCTGTGCCTGACTCCTGGGGAAACTGCCAGAGGGGCCTAGAAGGCAGCTCCCATCCATGCGAATTTGGATGTGCAGAGTTGCCTTTGTATCAACCCAAACAAACCCAGTCTGGAAAACTCCCTCCACCTAGTAATGGATCAGGGTGCAGGTCCCACTCTCGGCAAGGAGACCTGACTCTACGTCAAGAGGTCGGCTCGGATGAAAGGCCCCTGGTTTGACTCAGGCCAGGGCGGCCCATGCGCTCTATGAGAAGTGCGTGGAGATGGCTTCTGATGGCCTCATCACTGAAACTCAACAGGCCGCGCATTCCTGGTGCAGCCCCTCTCAGTCCCGTTTGACCAGCTCTGAAGCTGTCTTGTGACTTTTCCCATCGTGGGTCACGTGCACCATCAGTGGATTCCGGCATGACCACGGATTCTGGCATGACCACGGATTCTGGCATGGCCATGGGTTCCGGCATGACCGTGGATTCCAGCATGACCACGGATTCCGGCATGGCCATGGGTTCCGGCATGACCGTGGATTCCAGCATGACCACGGATTCCGGCATGGCCATGGATTCCGGCATGGCCACGGATTCTGGCATGACCACGGATTCCGGCATGACCATGGATGTCAGCCTCTGTGCTGACCACGCTGCAGATGCAGGGCTGGACGCCTCATCTCATTTCATGCCCACCGCCGCCTCACGAGGCCATCCTCAAGACGACGTCACTTGTCCACATGACACAGCCAGGGAGCAGGGGCTTCGAACTGCTGGCCTCGCTCAGGCCTGTCGCTTCTCCCACGGCCCCCACCCCGGGGCACTGGGGCTCTGTCACACTGGGAGACACTGAGCTCAGAGAAAAAGTTTAATATTTTATATAACACACGCCCCCCATACACTCACATGTGCACAACTCACACTCATACACACTCTCACACACAACTCACACTCACACAACTCACACACACCCACACATACTCTGACGCTAACCACACAACTCACACACACACACACTTTCACTCTAACACAACTCACAACCACACACACTCACAACTTACACAGCTTACAGAACTCACACAACTGACACACAAAACAATCACAAGTCAGCTCACACAAAACACATACATAGCTTGTACACACAACTCAGACAAAACTCACGCTCACACACTCATTTTCACACAAAACACACACAAAAAACATGCTCATTCACACACACCCTCACACACAGCTCACACAAAAACTCATAAACACTCATAGCTTATGCACAGCTCACACACAAAACACGCTCATTCACACTCACGCAAAACACACAGCTCACTGTCTACAGACACTCTGTGTATCTGTTCCTTTTTCATGAATACCTGAAAGGTGTGTTTTTGAGGCTTGTTCAGCCTTTTTCTTCAGGACACTGCCTTGACCTTTCACCTTTTAATTTGCGTTTCCAACTTCTGTGCTACTACCCCCTCTGAAGCATTAATGGGAAGGTCAGTTTCCTGCACTTCTGAGTGAAGAAGCAGGAGCTAGCTGGAAGGACTTCAGAGCCTGGCCTTTCCCTTCTGGCTGAGCAGGAACCACCATGGAAGTCCTGGGGGAAGGAGGCAGCTTGTTCTCTTCCCAGGGACTGGGTGCTGCATTGGTGGTCAGTGGGGAAAATGGGCCACATTGTGAGGAAGGAGGGAGGACAGGAAGTGATGTCAGTGACTCGGGGTGGGAGGGATCAGCACTAAGTAGAGACTGTTGCTTAGGAGGTATTAGATACGAAGTAGGGACTGTGACTTAGGAAGTACTTAGTATTTAGCAGTACTTAGAACTAAGCAAAGACTGCTACTTAGGAGGTAGTTTGTAATTATCATTAATAGTACTTTGTACTAAACAGACTGCTATTTAGGAGGTACTTAGTGCTTAGCAGTAGTTAGTACTAAGTAGACACTGATACTTAGGAGATATATAGTAGTGACTAGTGCTTAGTACTTAGCAGAGACTATGACTCAGGAGGTACCTAGTACTAAGCAGAGACTACAACTTAGGAGGTACTTAGTACTTAGCACTAAGTAGAGACTACTGCCAAGGAGCAGAGCCTGCTCTCTGTGTGGATGGATCTGGTTTGTAGGATGTTGCTTCTTCCAAATCAACCTTTGTGGGCTTCCTGCAGCTCCTGGCCAACTCTGAAGGTGGTATCTGTGGTGGAGTTTGGCTGGGACAGCGTTCTGGGGTCCACAGAACCATCTGGAAAACACGAGTAACCATCTCTCCACTGAGCATTTCTTCTCATGAAACCAGACAGATCTTTTTTTCCTCTCACTACAGTGACCAGACTTTTAAACCACAATGTCCAGGCTGTTGTGCTCACATGGGAATCATTTTTACTAGGGTTGGGCAAGAGAAACAAGGTGAGAAGTGCCAGTGTGAAGCAGTGAAATGGTCTGCTCCTCTTGCATTGATTAATTTTGGGAGAGAAGACTTTCTTTGCCTCTTTTCAGCTCTGAGTCTGGTATATGGAAATGAAAGCTTTCCTGCTTTCCTGCTGTGTCTGCTCTGATCACAGGTTGAGGCTGAAGTGAAGGCGTCTGTGCTTTCTAGCTGGAATCTTCTCACTCCAGCTTCCTGGGTTAGCTTATTTTGTTTTCTAATCAACCTAACATTACACCCCAAGGCACTAGGAAATGAAGAACAAACTAAGCCCAAAGTTAGTGGAAGGAAGGAAATAACAATGATTAGAGAAGAAACAAGTCAAATAGCCTAGAAAAACAATAGGAAAGATCATCAAAATTGGGAGTTGTTTTGTTGAAAAGACACAAAATGGACAGATCTTCAGCTAGACTGAGAAATGAGAGAAGACTCAAATAAATAGAATCAGAAATGAAAGAAGAGGCGTTACAATGGATACCACAGAAACACCAAGGGTCATGAGACCACTGTGGACATTTATACGCCAAGACATTGGACAATCTGGAAGAAATGGAGCCCTTCCTAGACACATACAACCTACCAAGACTGAATCATGAAGAAACAGAAAAACAGACTGTAACGAGTAAGGAGATTGAATCAGTAATAAAATGTCTCAGCCAAAATAATGCCCACGAACGGATGTTTTCATTGCTGAATCCTACCAGACACTTCCAGAAGAACTAATACCCATCTTCTCAAACTCTTCCAAAACACTGAAGAGGAGGAAACACTTCCAAACAGATTTTACGAGGCCATCATTACCCTGATGCCAAAGCCAGACAAACACTCCAGGGAAAGAAGACTACAGGCCAGTATTCCCGACGAACACAGATGTTTTCTGAAAGGAGTTGAACTTTGTGAATTCCCTCCCTCACTCTTGGCCACTGATTGCAATCTTTAGAGGAGATTCTCATCTTTTGAATCTCTCCACTTTGCAGACACGCTTTTGATTTAGAATTCTCTCTAATTGAAAAGAAGCGGAACTAAGAGGTTGGAGAAGTCCATGCCTAGGCAGGTGGAAAGTGGAGCTTGAGATAGAAGACTGGAGATGGAAATGAAAATAAACGATGGGAGAGGAAGGTGCAGAGGACGGGGCGGGGAGGAGGTTGTACTGGAAACTTTAGGTTCAGCTCCTTTCCCTCCAGGGATGAATGGTTACAGGCTGGGCTCTTGGGCTGCTAGGAGCCACTAGCATGGCTCTACCGGGTGGGTGAACCTGCCTTATAGGCCAAGTCAGAGTCAGTTAAGATTTGGACAATAACAGAAGCAAGCAAACAAGGCTCCACAGCAAAAGCAAAGCTAGTTTAGTGAAGATAAGGACCCCTCGGTTTGCGACTGTGCTGTCTAGAAATATGGGCCTGAGGGGGTTTCAGATGGCAGCTTTGGTAGAGCTGTGGTCTCCCTTCTCCAGGACCATATGCACTTTGTGGGAACATTCGAGCCATCTGTATCATTTCCTTGACTTAAAAAAGGTCCCAAGATGTTTTCTTACTCAGTGATCATTTGGGGAGGACCTCAGAGCTGTGATTAGGAGAACGGGGAGCTGTAGAACGTTAGCTGTAAAATCAATCATAAGATTCAGGTAGGATATGAGAAAACAGAACAGAACACTGCCTCCTTTCCTGGTATGCCCAAAACAGGGCGTGAACACTTCAGAAAACAATGTCTTCAGAGCTGAATTTGGGTGTGATGATTCGTACTTTAAAGTCTGTGTCAGGGGAAGTGAAGGATTTTTTTAAAATTTAAATTTAAATTTTATTTATTTATTAATTCTTTTTTTGAGATAGAGTCTTACTCTGTCACCCAGGCTGGAATGCAGTGGTGTGATCTTGGCTCACTGCAACCTTTGCCTCCTGGGTTCAAGCCATTCTCCTGCCTCAACCTCCTGGGTAGCTGGGATTACAGGCACCTGCCATCATGCCCGGCTAATTTTGTATTTTTTGTAGAGATAGGGTTTTGCCATGTTGGCCAGGCTGGTCTTGAACTCCTAACCTCAGGTGATCCTCCCCCTTGGCCTCCCAAAATGCTAGGATTACAGGTGTAAGCCACCACGCCCGGCCGAAAGTGAAGGATTCTAATTAAAGTCCGTCAGCAAATATGTTATGAAAGGAAACTATAGCCGAACTGGAGAAAGGGAAGAGTCACCTGGTAACTGAAGGAATTTCTAAAATGGGTTAACCAAGAACACTTTGATGCTTCCACCATGAAGCTGGAACTGGATGCTGGCTGGCCCAAGACCATGATCCACGTTCACAGGGGGCCCTGGGCCTGAGGGCACCTGCCCACGGGGCTGCCTTGGGGCATCTTTATTCAGAAGTGGGCTCCTGACATGGTTCCTGGGCACCACAGCAGAGGCCTCTGCCTGGAAAGCCAGGCTCAGCTTCTGCTTCCACTTCCTGTCCACAAACAGTTTGATGGCCTTAGACTGAGAATTGTATCTCAATTATTCAATGATGTTTTTCTTCTTTGCTGTTAGCAAAATATGCCTCCCCATTGAATCAATATTAAGATCTAGCAAGGGTAAAGTTCGAAGGAAGCCTTTTGCCATTAGAAAGACCAAACACCTGCCCAGGCACAGTGGCCACACCTGTAATCCCAGCACTTTGGGAGTCCCAGGCAGGTGAATCACCTGAGGTCAGGAGTTCAAGACCAACCTGGCCAACATGGTGAAACCCTGTCTCTACTAAAAATACAAAAATTAGCCGGGTGTGGTGGCACACACCTATAATCCCATCTACTTGGGAGGCCGAGGCAGGAGAATCACTTGACCCCAGGAGGCAGTGGTTGCACTGAGCTGAGATCACGCTACTGCACTCCAGCCTGGGCGACAGAGTGAGAGTCCATCTCGAAAGAAAACAAAAACAAAACAAAAGCCCACACACCTGGTCTTTCTGCTGTGGCAGGCTGTCCTGGTCGTATTCGAGGTCTGGACTAATATTGGGTAGTATTCTTTTCCTTCCCTATCTTCCTCTGCATTTTTATTTAAAAGACTAATGTGCTAGTTTTATGTTCTTTTGGCTTTCTCTCTCTCTCTCTCTTTTTTGGTATATTCCCCATTGTTTTACTGAGACCTGTTAATAGGAGAGAGAAATTAAATTATACTAAGCCAACTTCCTCCACACTTATCAAAAAGATAAAAATGGCCATCCTAAGAAACAAAGACACTGCTTGTTCCATCAAATAATGCACATAAGCCCCAAGTGCCCGTCTGACCTGCCTGGAGGTTCCAGTGGTATTTTTCTCCCTCTCTCTCCTTTAACTAGTAGGAGAGGCGCTGGAGGCCACCTCCCCTCCTTTCCTTTATGCTTGGGATTATAGCTCACTTCGCCAGTTCCCACTCTTAGTCTGTGTATTGCCCGCACCACACCCTCAACGTGTCATCTACGTTCCCTTCATCCACCTGCTCAGATCCGTGATTGTTTATAGCATCCTCCAGTGCCCCGGCCAGGATTAGCAAGGATTTCGTGACCCAATGGGCGTGGAGGAAGCGTGGCTTTCTTTCATTTCACCAGGAAATGACTGACGTCTTGTCTTGGCGTGCATCCAGATGTGGGAAGTGCAGCGTTGCTTGATAACAGAATCTTATTTTGTGCAGCTTCCCAGGCACTGAAGCGGGGCTGCTGGGAGAAGGGCGTGAAGTGGTGTGACATCATTTGATGTGTCCTTGAGCTCCGAGAGGAGAAGCTTTTGATGGTGGCGAGTGCAGTGGCAGGGGCCGCAGGGATGCAGACAAAGCCACGTCCCCATTGGTCCTGCTGCTGTGAGAATGGGGAGGAAAGTGACTGCACACCCTCTGGAACCTTCTGACGGCCAGGGGACTTTGAATAGTTTGCCCCACACGGCAGGAGGGTGGGGGCCGCGCTACGGAGCGTTGGCTTGTGGACTGAAACAAAGCGCCCCAGGAAAGAACAAGCTCCGGGATACCAGCTCCGGGCTCCTTGCTGGCTGCAACTTGAACGTGGTCTGAGAGTCTTGGTTAGAGCTGGAGGTCGCGTCTGCTCCAACAGAGAGAACTGCTGACTCTTCCCTGCACAGAGAGACAGTGCCCCAAGGGGAATAGCTGACGGGTTTTACCCTCCTGAGGTTTCTGCACCATCCTGCTGTTTGGAAAAGGCGCAGAGGAACATCGACCCTCTGGCTGGCCTCAGAGAAGGCCCTCGGTCCTCAGGGCATGGTGGTGGCCCCCACCCCGGGGTGATGGGGGCTGTGGCACCTTGACCGAGCAAACACCAGGCTCGGGTGGCAGCTGCCTGCCTGGCTTTCCGCTCCCCTCCACGGCCCTCACGAGAGCCTCTGAGGCCAGCACCCTCTTCTCCATTCAGGAGTCTGGGGAGCCGCGTGGCTTAGCATAGGCCAGCCTGTCCTGGGGGCGTCCTGGGGGCTGCGTGGCCTTCACACCTCTGCTCTCACCTCTGCCCTTGTAGCCACCGTGTCAGGGTCCCTGGTTTTGTCTCCCTTCATGGGGCCTTGTTGCTCCAGACTTGCAGGGGAGTCCTCCTTGCTGTACCTACCAGGACCTGGTCTGCCCCTCAGGACTGAATCCGTCGGTCCCTGGAATCCTGCTGAGCTGTCATGACCTAGAGCCAGTCCCAGGTCCCAGGAGCCTCTGTCCGTGTGGAGCTGCGACCCGTGCTTCCTGGGCACCCACTTCTTAATAACATGACCTGGGAAGTTCCCGTTTAAGACAAGGAAAGTAAAGCATCCTGGAGCAATGGTTAACAAGACCTGAATCTAAAATAAAATAAGTTCCAACAAACATGATGTTTTGGGTGATACAGAAACCGTGAATGTGGCTGGATTAAGAGGGACAGTGGCTGAGGGCGGAAGAAAGGTTTCTGATGAGCGGCAGAGACCAGAAGCCTTGCTGTGGCTTCCTTCCTTCCTGTGCCCCGCGTCTCGCCTGCTGTGCTTTTGGTGCCACCCACACCCCCCGCTTTATTTTATAGTAACTGGCAGGACCTGCTTGGCCCAGGGCAGGAGGGAGGGGAGGACGGTTTCCTGATCTGCGATGGCCATCAGGTGTGCTGGGCTCCTCTCCAGGCCCAGCTGTAGGGAGGGATGCCCCCCAGAGCTGAGCTTTTCCCCTGTGGACCCTCTGGCCTTTCCTCCCAGCCAAGCCCAGGGCGTCCTTTTCCAATCAGAGCCGGACACGGGCGTGACTTAGCGACTTAGCCGCCCCGAGAGGCAGGACGGGGCGGACGTTCCCAGCAGGAGGCCGCGGCTGCACTGTGGAGATTGTGTGTGTGCCCCAGCCCTGCCGGAACAGCTGGCCTCCAGGGACGTCGGGAGCAGCCAGCACAGGTGTGGCCACAGAAATCACAGACACTTGTGTCCTGTGTGTATCTCCATGGCAGCCGCCGGGCTGCGGGCAACTCCTGCAGGCTCTGTGCTGAGCTCAGCGTGAGGGAAGGGTGTCCTTCGTGCACTCCCATGTAAGCGCTGTGTCTGCCGGGGGGTGTTCAGAAAGAGGGGGAGCAGGAAACGAGAAGCCAGCATCAGTGCAATGGCAGCATGGGTGGCGGCGAAGTGGCAGAGTGTAGGGGTGGGTTGCCCCTACACACCTGTGGGTGTTTCTCGTAAGGTGGGACGAGAGATTTGGAAAAGAAAAAGACACAGAGACAAAGTATAGAGAAAGAAATAAGGGGACCCGGGGAACCAGCGTTCAGCATATGGAGGATCCCGCCAGCCTCTGAGTTCCCTTAGTATTTATTGATCATCTGTGGGTGTTTCTCGAAGAGGGGGATGTGTCAGGGTCACAAGACAATTGTGGGGAGAGGGTCAGCAGACAAACATGTGAACAAAGGTCTTTGCATCATAGACAATGTAAAGGATTAAGTGCTGTGCTTTTAGATATGCATACACATAAACATCTCAGTGCTTTACAAAGCAGTATTGCTGCCCGCAGGTCCCACCTCCAGCCCTAAGGCGGTTTTTCCCTATCTCAGTAGATGGAGCATACAATCGGGTTTTATACCGAGACATTCCATTGCCCAGGGACAGGCAGGAGACAGATGCCTTCCTCTTGTCTCAACTGCAAGAGGCATTCCCTCCTCTTTTACTAATCCTCCTCAGCACAGACCCTTTACGGGTGTCGGGCTGGGGGACGGTCAGGTCTTTCCCTTCCCACGAGGCCATATTTCAGACTATCACATGGGGAGAAACCTTGGACAATACCTGGCTTTCCTAGGCAGAGGTCCCTGCGGCCTTCCGCAGTTTTTGTGTCCCTGGGTACTTGAGATTAGGGAGTGGTGATGACTCTTAAGGAGCATGCTGCCTTCAAGCATCTGTTTAACAAAGCACATCCTGCACCGCCCTTAATCCATTCAACTCTGAGTTGACACAGCACATGTTTCACAGAGCACGGGGTTGGGGGTAAGGTCATAGATTAACAGAATCTCAAGGCAGAAGAATTTTTCTTAGTACATAACAAAATGGAGTCTCCTATGTCTACTTCTTTCTACACAGACACAGTAACAATCTGATCTCTCTTGCTTTTCCCCACAGCAGAGTGGTCGGGCAGGGACAGGTTCTACCTGGTAACAGAGTGGCTGGGTGGGGACGGGTTCCACCAGGTAACTGGGTGACCAGGCGGGGACAGGTTGCACCGGGTAACTGGGTAACTGGGGGGCCAGGCAGGGACAGGTTCCACTGGCCCTGTGGGGAGTCCCACTGAGTGCCATCACGTCTTCACGGCGGCTCCATGAAGACATACTTGAGGCATCTCGAGGCTCACAGCTGGTGCATGTCAGACTGGGATCAGACTGTGTGCCCCCACCCCACAGACGCCAGGGCAGACCCCACCTTCGGGCAGCTTTGCTTGAGGTTCTGAGGGCCCAGGGCCCAGGCAGCCTTACCCACCCCTCAACGTTTGTCTGGTGTGGCTTCTGAATGAGCACGGTGGCTAGAGGGGTGGCCTGCGTGAAGTTTTTCCTTCATGCCCCAAGGGAGCACAAGCGGCCCTACCTAGATCTGAGGAGGAGAAGGGAGAGGAGAAGCTGGGGCTCCTCTGAAGACATTGCCTGCCTGTGTGGCAGGCACCACGTAGCAATGTCAGCAGCATCTTCATTTAGCCAAGCGTTTCCACACCATCCCCTAACGTACCGTAAGGGGCTCTGTTTGCGATGACCAGAGATGACGGCCAGCAATGGCAAGGACGATGGTGATGGTGCCTGGGATCTACTCACAGCTCACCCAGCCCCTTCAACAACGCTGTGGGCTCTGCACTGTCGTCCTTGGGGGAGTTCTGGGATTCTCCTTCTTCAGTCACCCTGCAGTTTCCCCCACGACGTCTCCGTGTCCTAGAATGCTAAGCAGCCCGTAATGGTGGTTTTGGGAGGTGTGGTCACACCGGCTGCTTCCTGCTTGTTGTGGAGGTGCCGAGTGTAGAAAAATGGGCTCTCTAGAAAGCTTTTCTATATTGATACAGAATCGATGTACATATTTTCAGGGTACATGTGATAATTTAATACCATTGTATAATTTGTAAAGATCAAATCAGGGTGATTGGGATCTTCACCTAAAATATTCATCTTTTCTTTGTGCCAGGAACAGTCAAGCTGTTCTCTTTTGGCTAATTTGAAACATACATACATTATTGTTAACTCTAGTCACCCTGTTGATCTATCAAACACTAGGTTTTATTTCTTCTGTCTATTTGTAGCCATTAGTCAATGTCTCTCCTTCCTTCCTCCCAGCTCCCCTTCCCATCCTCTGGTAACCACCAATCTCAACGGAGGCACCCTCATGAGATCCATTTGTTAGCTCCCACATATGAGTGAGAACATGCAGTATTTGTCTTTCTATGTTTGGCTTATTTCACTTCACATAATGACTTCCAGTTTCCCATGTTGGTGCCTATGACAGGCTTGCACCCTTTTTTATGGCAGAATACTATTCCATTGTGTATATATTCTGCATTTTCTATATCCATTCATCCATTGATGGACACTTAGGTCGACTCCATATTTTTGCTATTGTGACTAGTCCTGCAATAAACACAGGCATGCAGATATCTCTTTGATATATTGATTTCCTTTCTTTTGGATACAAACCCGGTAGTGGAATTTCTGGATCATATGTTAGTTCTAGTTTCACTTTTTTCTGAGCAACCTCCATACTATTCTCTATAGTGGCTGCGCTAATTTACATTCCCACCCACAGTGTCCGAGGGCTCCTCTCCACATCCGTGCCAGCCATTTGTTATTTTCTGTCTTTTCAATAAGAGCCATTTTGGGCCAGGCCCGGTGGCTCATGCCTGTAATCCCATCACTTTGGGAGGCTGAGGCAGGCAGATCATGAGGTCAGGAGATCGAGACCAGCCTGGCCAACATGGTGAAACCCCGTCTCTACTAAAAATACAAAAAATTAGCCGGGTGTGGTGGCAGGTGCCTGTAATCCCAGCTACTCGGGAGGCTGAGGCAGGAGAATCGCTTGAATCCAGGAGGTGGAGGTTGCAGTGAGCGGAGATTGTGCCATTGCACTCCAGCCTGGGAGACAGAGCAAGACTCCGTCTCAAAAGAAAAAAAAAGCCATTTTAACGGGAGTGGGATGATATCTCATTGTGATTTTGATTTGTATTTCTCTGATGACTATATCTGTTGGCCATTTGTAAGTTTTTATTTGATGACTATATCTGTTTACCACCTATATGTTTTTATTTGATGACTATACCTGTTGGCCATTTGTATGTTTTTATTTGATGACTATACCTGTTGGCCATTTGTATGTTTTTATTTGATGACTATATCTGTTTTACCATTTGTATGTTTTTATTTGATGACTATATCTGTTGGCCATTTGTATGTTTTTATTTGATGACTATATCTGTTTACCATTTGTGTGTTTTTATTTGATGACTATATCTGTTGGCCATTTGTGTGTTTTTATTTGATGACTATATCTGTTTGCCATTTGTATGTTTTTATTTGATGACTGTACCTGTTGGCCATTTATATGTTTTTATTTGAAAAATGTCTATTCAGATCTTTTGCCCATTTTTAAATTAGAGGTTTGTTTTTTTTTTGCTGTTGAGTGTTTTGAGCTCTTTATATATTCTGGTTATTAATCCCTTGTCAGATGGATCGTTTACATATATTTTCTCCATTCTGTGGGTTGTTTCTTCACTTTTTTGTTTCCTTTGCTGTGCAGAAGCCTTTTAGCTTGATGTGATCTCATTTTATCTTTATTTGCTTTGGTTATCTGTGCTTTTGAGGCCTTACCAAAAAAATCTTTGCCCTGATCAATGTCCTGGAGTGTTTCCTTAGTGTTTTCTTTTAGCGGTTTCATAGTTTCGGGTCTTATATTTAAGCCTTTAATCCATTTTGATTCGATTTTTGTATATGGTGAGACATAGGAGTCTTGTTTCATTCTTCTGTGTATGGAAATCCAGTTTTCTCAGCAACATTTATTGAAGAGATTGTCCTTTCCCCAATATCTGCTCTTGGTGCCTTTGTGAAAAATGAGTTGGTTATAAACGTGTGAATTTATACCTGGATTCTCTATTCTGTTCCATTGGTCTGTGTGTCTGTTTTTATGCCAGTACTATGCTTATTTGGATACTATAGCTTTGAAGCATATTTCGAAGTCAGGTCATATGAGACCTCCATGTTTGTTATTTTTGCTCAGGATTGCTTTGGGTATTTGGGGTCTTTTGTGAGCTTATGTAAATTTTAGAGATTTTTCTTTCTGTGAAGAGTGTCATTGGCATTTTGATAGGGACTACACTGATGTCTACAGCCATGCCCACCCTGAACAAGCCCCATCTCATCTAATAGGGACTGCATTGAATCTGTCAATTGCTTTGGGTAGTATCGACATTTTAACAGTATTAGTTATTTGGATACATGAGCATGGAATATCTTTCCAGTTTTTTGTGTCGTCTTCAATTGTTTTCTTCAGTGTTGTATCGTTTTCCTTGTATAGATCTTTTACTTCTTTGGTTAAATTAATTTCTAGGTATCTTATATTATGTTTAGCTATTGGAAATAGGGTTACTTTATTGTTTTTTAGATTGTTTGCTGTTGGCATATATAAATGCTGCTGATTTTTGTATGTTGATTTTGTATCCTGCAACTTTACTGAATTTGTCAGTTCTGACAGTGTTTTGAAGTCTTTGGTGTTTTATAAATATGATAAGATCATGATGTCTGCAAATAAGGCTAATTTGACTTTTTCCTTTCCAATTTGGGTGCCTGTATTTCTTTCTCTTGCCTAATTGCTGTGGTCAGGACTTCAGTGCTATGTTGTATAAAAATGGTGAAAGTGAACATCCTTGTCTTGCTCCAAATGTTAGAGAAAAGGCTTTCAGTGTTTCCCCATTCATTATGGTGTTAGCTGTGGATTTGTCATATATAGCGTTTATTATTTTGAGGTATGTTCTTTCTATACCCATTTTGATGAGTGTTTTATCATAAAGGGATGTTGAATTTTATCAAATGCTTTTTTAGCATCTATTGAAATGATCATGTAGTTTTGTTCTTAATTCTGTTAATGTGATGTATTATGTTTATTGATATGCATATTTTGAATCGTCATTGTATCCCTGGGATGAATCCCACTCGATCATGTTGAATGATCTTTTTAATGTGTTCTTGAATTCAGTTTGCTAATATTTTGTTGAAGATTTTTGTGTCTATGCCTATAGTCCTCCTTTTTTTTTGTCTTGTCTTTTCAGCTTTTGGTTTCAGGGTAACACTGACCTCATAGAATGAGTTTGGAGGTATTCCCTCCTCTTCAATTTTTTGAAGAGTTTGAGTAGAATTGGTATTATTTCTTCAAATGTTTGGTAGAATTCATCAGTGAAGGCATCAGGTCCTGGGCTTTTCTTTGATGGTAAATTTTTTTATTATGGCTTTGATCTAATTACTTGTTATTGGTTTGTTGAAGTTTTCTATTTCTTCATGGTTCAATCTTGGTAGTGTCCAGGAATGTACCTATTTCTTCTAGGTTTTCCCATTTCTTAGCATGCAGTTGTTTATAATTGTCTCTAATGATCCTTTTTATTCCTGTGATCTGAGTTGTTACATCTCCTTTTTCATTTCTGACTTTATTTATTTGGATCTTCTTTCCTTTTTTCTTAGTCTAGCTAAAGGTTTGTCAATTTTGTTTACCTTTTCAAAAAACTTTTTGTTTTATTGATTTTTCTGTATATTTTATCTTAATTTCATTTATTTCTGCTCTGATTTGTATTATTTCTTTCCTTCTACTCATTTTAGGTTTGGCTTGTTCTTGCTTTCCTTGGTCCTTGAGGTGCATGGTTAGGTTGTTTATTTGAAGTCTTTCTATGTTTTTGATGTAGGCATTTATTATTATACACTTGCCTCTTAGTATTGCTTTTATTGTATCCCATAGATTGTAGTATATTTCAATTTTCATTTGTTTCAAGACATTTTTAAATTTCCTTCTTAACTTCTTCATTGACTCATTGGCCATTTAGAAGGAGGTTTAATTCCCATGTGTTTATGTAGTTTCTGGGGTTCTTCTTGTTATTGATTTCTAGTTTTAGTCTATGGTGGTCAGAAAAGATACTTGATATGATTTCTGCTGCTTTGAATTTGTTGAGACTTGTTTTGTGGCCTAAGATGTGGTGTATTCTGGAGAGTGCTTCATGCTCTGATGAAAAGAATGGGTATTCTGTAGCAGTCGGGTGAAATGATATAAATGTCAGTCAAGCCTATTTGGTGTAGTGTATAGTTTAACTCTAAAGTTTCTTTGTTGATTTCTTGCCTGAATGATCTGTCCATTACTGAGAATGGGGTGTTGAAGTGCCCTGCCATTATTGTATTGCGGGCTATCTCTTCCTTTGGATCTATTAATGTCTGTTTTATATACTTCAGTGTTCCATTGTTGGGTGCATATATATTTATAATTTTATATCCTCTTGCTGATTGACCCTTTTATCACTATATAGTGATGTTCTTTGTTGCTTTTTGCAGTCTTTGACTTGCAGTCTATTTTATCTGATATAAGCACAGCCGCTTCTGCCCATTTTTGGTTTCCACTTGCATGGAATATCTTTTTTGTTGTTTCTGAGACAGGGTCACATTCTCTTATCTCAGCTGAGTGCAGTGGTGTGATCATGGCTCACTGCAGGCTTGACCTTCCATGCTCAAGTGATCCTCCCACCTCAGCATCCCAAGTAGCTGAGACCACAGGCACATGCCACCATGCCCGGCTAATTTTTGATTTTTTTATAGAGATGGAGTCTCACTGTATTGCCCAGGCTGGCCTTGAACTCCCAGACACAAGCAATTCTCTCAACTTGGCCTGTCAAAGTGCTGAGATTACAGGTGTGAGCCTCTGTGCCCAGCCTGAAATATATTTTTCTATTCCTTTCAGTCAATGTCCATCTTTATAGATATGGCTGGTTTATTGTGGGCAGCTTATAGTTGGGTCTTAATTCTTTATCCATACAGCCATTCTATATCTTTTAATTGGAGAATTGAGTACATTTAAATTCAATGTTATTATTGATGAGTAAGGACTGACTACTGCTATTTTGTTTGTTTTTTCATTGTTTTGTAACTCCTCATTCTTGTTGCCTTGCTTGCTTTCTGTCTTACTTTGTGGTAAAGTGATTTTCTCTGCTAGTATGTTTTAATTCATTGCTTTTTATTTTTAGTGCATGTGTTACAGTTTTTTTTTATTGTAGTTGCCATGAGACTTATAAAAAACAACTTAAACATATAACAAGTTATCTTAAAGAGATAACTGAGATCACAAAAGAATAGAAACAAAGAAAAAAATGAAAAAAAACCCCTCTGTATTTTAAGTCCATCCCCCCACACTTTGACTTCCTATTGTCTCAATCTACATATTTGTATGCTGCCTATCTCTTAATAGGTTGCTGCAGCTATTATTGTTTTTGACAGATTTGTCTTTTGGGCTTCATTCTACGGTTATGAGTGGATTGCACCCCACAATTACAGTATTGGAGTATTCTGGGTTAGTTTGAGTGCTTACTTTTACCGGTGTGTTTTATACCTTCAAATATTTTCTTTTTGCATGTTACTTTTTTTTCTTTCAGACTGAAGAACTCTCTTTAGCATGATTTGTAACACAGGACTAGTAGTGGTGAATTATCTCAGCTTTTGTTTGTATGGGTAAGACTTTATCTCTCCTTTATAGTTGAAGGAATGCTTTGCTGGATATAGTATTCTTGGGTGACAGGTTTTTCATTTTTTTCTCCTTCCAGCACTTTGCAAATGTCATCCTACTCTCTCCTGGCCTGTATGGTTTCTGTTGAGTAGTTGGTTGCCAGACAAATGAGAGCTGCTTTAAATATTCCTTGCTTCTTTTCTCTTGCTGCTTTTAGGATCTCTCTTTGTCCTTGACTTTTGAGAGTTTGATTATTATATGCCTTACAGTAGTCTTATTTGGGTCAAATCTGTTTGGTGTTCTCTGACCTTCCTGTACCTAGATGTTTATGTCTTTCTCAAGTTTTGAGAAGTTTTCTGTTATTGTTTCTTTGAGTAAGCTTTCTACCCCTTGTTCTTGCTCAGCTTCCCCTTGAACATCAATCATTCTTATATTTGATGTTTTGAGGTAATTTTCTGTCTTGCAAGTGGTCTTCATCCCTCTTCATTCTTTGTTCTTTTTCCATCCCTGATTGTGTATTTTCAAATAGCCTGTCTTTGAGCTCACTGATTCCTTCCTCTGCTTGATCCATTCTGCTTTTGAGAGGCTATAATGAATTTTTCAGTTCAGCAAATGTATTTCTCAGTTCCAAGATTTCTGTTTGAATTTTTAAAAATTGTTTCAATCTCTTTGTTAAATTTCTGAATTGCTTTTCTGTGTTATCTTGGAAATCACTGAGTTTCCTTAAAACTGCTATTTTGAATTCTTGGTCCGAGAACTCACATATTGCCATCTTATTAGGGCCAATTGCTAGTTCCTTACTTTGTCCATTTGAGAAGGCCATGGTTTCCCATTTGCTGCTGTTTCTTGTTGATGTGTGTCTGTGTCCTTGCACTGAAGGATTATTTATTTACTCCAGTCTTGTCTCCTGGCTTGTTTTAGTTTTTATTGGATACATTTGCTTAGAGAGTCACATAATTTACCTGTGGAATTTCTTTTTCTCCCCCTTCTAGGTCCCTGTCTCCTTTTCGGCACTAGATGGCACCTTAAGCCCAGGTTTACCTTGGCTCTGGTTAAAGATCTGAGTGCTGCCTGTACTGAAGGTTAAAGATCTGAGTGCTGCCTGTACTGAATGGGAGAGGTCTCAAAGGGGATATGCCAGCAGTGTGAGAAGGCTGGCTGGGGCCTCGTGCTGAGGGGACCTGTGGAGCATTCCTGCTACAGGGTGGTGCTGTGAGCAGCCACTCTGATGGAGTGCCTCTTTGACCGAGTTGCAGAGTAGAGTTTGTGGGGCTGGGGACTATAGTCCCACCTCCCCCTTTTATCTCTGGCTGTCCTCAGGGATGTTTCCCTTCACACATTTGCAGCGCTTCCCATGGGTTGAAGCAGGAACAGGTCTCCAGCCAGGGCCCCCAAGAGGTTGGAGAAGCTGATTGTCCACCTCACCCTCACTTTTTCCAGCATAGAAGCTATGAGTTGAGGGGAAATTTCCCATACTCTTGATGCCAAACAGATTATGAGGAGGGATGGTGCAGACATGGTGGTCTGATGCTTTTGCTGTCTGCTTGGGGTGTTTTCAATTTTCTGTGTTCCTGGGAACTGTCTCCTTTTGTATTTGAGTGTGTGGCCATTGCTGGGATTGTGTCAGTGCTGTGTGTGTTTTTGCTTCTCTGTGGAGCAGAGTGAAGTCACCTTGCTTCTACTGCACCACCATTTTGGGACCAGAAGTCCCTCCTAGTAGAAATTTCCAACAGGTGTAGTGGAATATGAAATGTATCTGGAGAAAATATTTTCTTTTCAAAAATTTCACCTTGGAAAGCTTCTGATGTTGCTCAGAAAAGTTTAAAATTCTTCTTTGGGATCTTCCTTCAGTAACCTGGTAGAGGGCGATCTCTGAACATTCTCAGTAATGGTGACTCTTCTTTTTGAAGGCAGATGCATGAGGATGTGGCATAAAGTTAGTTGATACCAGGTGGGATAAATAAGTTATTTGCATCCCAGTCATTGACTAAGTTGATTGTCACACTGTTTTCAATGTAAAAGTGAAGTGTGAACATATAACAACAAGACTGATTTATTGTCTGGTTTCTAAACTGTCTTTGTAAATGTGTTCCAAAGAGACATAAAATATCACCAACAATGCTACCACCTTTGAATACGCATAGAGCTTTTTAATGTCTTGAATGTATAGGTTCCATTTCTATTTGATATACATGTAAAGCCTTAACTACTTTATAGAAATGCTTTGCATTTTTCCAGGGATTGTGAAAATGTGAGTTAAAACCATGTCAAGGAGTCTGTGCTGGCCCTGACCAGGCCTGGGACAGGCACCCCCACTGTGCACAGTTGAGCAGCCCAGGAATGGAACTATGACCCTGTCTTCTCTGATTGGGAAGGAGAGCCCACCTGATCCCTTTAATTGACTTCACGTCATCTTCTTAAGGAGTGTTTCCTCTCAGTTCACAAAGCCTACAGGCTTCCTGCATGGGATCATCCTTCACACTCTGCTCACCAGCCCTTTCCTTGCTGATGCGAGGGCAAGCTGCACATTCATCTTCCGTAAAGAGCATTTTGAGCATGAGTTTACTGCTGATTAGAGTGCCACTGTATTTTTTTATATAGTCGTGAATTCTACTCATAAAATCTAGATCCTGCAATGTGCTGACCACCGCCTTTCCCCGACACTTCTTCCTCGCCACCTGGGGTCTTCCCGTCACACGTCAGGGGCTCCTCCTCAGCCCCATTTCAACCCTGACCACGTTCATATTTTGAAATCAGCCTCTCATTTACAGCTTTCCTGTAGGCAAAATAAAATGCTAATAGATTTCATTTCTGATTCTTATCACTCTGATTTATCTCTCAGTATTACCGCGTTTGAAATGAATACCGCCTCTCTCTCACCCTTGAAGCTCTCTCTTCTCCTGGCTCCTGAGCACATGACCTTGGGCTGTCTGTCTTTATTGTCGATTTTGCTCCTCTGCTCAGCACCTCTTTTTTATTGTTTTTCTCCTAAAACAGATGGAGGATCTATCCCATCCTCTTTACTTTGACAGATTTTCTACTGTTCCATTTTCTCACACCTTCTCCCAACTGACCTCCCTCCTCCCATTTATCCACGCACAGTGCACTCTCTGATGAGTAGCTCTGAGGCCTCCATTCGTCCTGTGACCCAGGGTCCTCTCCTGGAGCTGGTGCCACTGGAGCCTAGCTTGGCAGTCAGTCATCTTCAGCTTCACCCCCAAACCTTTGCATCTCTGTTCCTCAGCCTGGCTCCCTCCTCCCTCCAAACAGCCTGTCGCCTGGATCCAGTGTGTTTGAAACTGCAAGCCACAGCCCATTAATGACCCTGAGAGAGTTTTAGGGTGTTGCAGCCAGAAATTTTAAAAAGTGAGACAGAAGAGAATAAATATGATATAATAGGACACAGTGATACGTGAGAGGCTCCCACGCGATTAGGGTAAGTGCTGTGTTGTGGGACTTCCCCAGGTCTCACTTCAAGATGCATATCTTACTCTTGGATACCACCGGAAAAAAAAAAAAAAAAAAGGGAAGCGCTGTCTTCGTTCCTCATATGCAGCGTGCACCTTGGTTTCTGTCCTTGCTATGCCCTTGCCTGCTTAAGTGTTGACGTGTTGCATGCAAGCCGGGACCACCATGCACGCTGCCACCACTTGCTCTGCCGCCTCCGTTTCCCTCTCAGCAGTCTGTCCCTGGCATTCTCCACCTGCCCCTCCCACGGGGATCTCCTCTGCCACACAGTTCAGCCTGCAGAAGAAACAAACGTCGTCCCCACCCACAAACCTGGTGTGTTCCCAGCCTTCCTTCTTTGTGATTTCCTCTTCCCCAGTGACCTAGCCAACCTCTCTTGCAGTTAACCTTGACACCTTGTTCTCCTTTAATCCTGCATATACTGATTATTTTTACCAATTCTGCTTCTCAAACTATCCACACTAGTGTTCTCTGAGTTTACAACCTTATCATCTCTCTAATGAACCGTTTTTGTAACTCTTATTGAATGCCTTCCCTTCTCCCTATTATCTTTAATTCATTATTCACAAATCCTGAGGATTAAAATAGGAAGGACTTAGAATAGTGCTGGCTCATAGTTAAGGCTCAGCAAATAGAAACTGCTATGTATCTTTAAATTTTTAATTTTAATATTGTTACTTTTATCCTCCTTCTGGGACACAGTTGGATGATATTTCTGTCCGATGCAGAGCTTTTACTGCTCCCCACTGTGCACAGATGCACCGGTGCTTCCTGATGTAGCTTTGACGTCCTCCTGTGACTATGCAACTCCCCTCCCTCTGTTCCTGCACTGCCCCCACCTCCCTCCCCATGTCATACACCATCCCCTGAGTGCACCACTCAGTGCCACAGCCCCAAGTCCCTTCCCATGCTACTCCGTTATCTTAGAGTTCCTCCCCTAATCCATCCCCACCTGTTAGAATTCTATTTATCTTTCCAGTCTTAGTTCAAATACCACTTGTTTCTATGAAACTTTCTTAACTTTCCAACACAAATTCACCTCTTCATTTCTCTATTCCCTTAGCAGTTTGCTCATAACTTTATTATATAATGATTGCACTCCAACTTGGATCTTAGCTAATTACGTACCTGCATTCCACACTAGACTGCAAACTTGAGGAAGATGGGTGCTGTGGCTGCCCTCAAACCGTATGTGCCTCCCATAGGACACAAGAGTTGGTTATGCAGGTGTTGTCTAGATGAAATTATATAGCATCTATCCTTCTTGAATTGGCTTTTTGCCTCAGCACAGTTCCGGGGAGATTCAGCGAGGCTGTGGTGTGTACTAATCGTTCTTTCCTTCATAACCAAGTGGTGCTCCGTGGTGCAGAGGTGCTGCATGGTAACCATCCACCTGCTGAGGGACTCGGTGGTTCCCAGTTTGGGGCTATTCTAAATAAAACTGGTGAACATTCATACACAAGATTTTGTTTGAACATAAGTCTTCATTTCTTTGGGATGAATGGTCAGGGGTTCAATTTTTGTGTCTTATGATAAGTATATGTTTAGTTTTTAAAGGAACTCTCAAACCATTTTCCAGAACAAAATTTGACATTCACAGTAAAAAAGAAAAAAAAAAGTAACAGTGATACAGTTTTTCTGAATCCAAATCCTTTCCAGCATTTGATGTTGTCCCTATTTTTTATTTTAGCCTTTCTGATAGGTGTGTGGTGGCATCTCATTGTGGGTGTAATTGACATTTCCCTGATGAGATGATGGTCAGCATCTCTTCGTGTGGTTATTTGCCATCAGTAGATCCTCTTTGTCGAAATGTCTTTTCATCTCTCACCCTTTTTCTAATTGAATGTTTTTAATGTTTAGTTTTGAGAGTTCTGTGTATATTCCTGATACTAGTCCTTTGTCAGATACGTGGTTTGCCAATATTTCTCCAACTCTGCGCTCATTGTTTCAGCTCTTAAGAGGGCCTTTCCACAGAGCAAAAGTTTTTAATTTTGATGAAGGCCAATTTGTCAATTTTTCTTTTTATGGAAGATGTTTGATGTCAAGTCTAAGAACTTTTTGCCTAGCTCTAGCTTCCAAAGATTTTCTGTTGTTTTTTTCTAAAAGTTTTATAGTTTTGCATTTTTACATTTATGTCCATGAGTTGCTTTTGTGTAGACTGTGAAGCTTACATAGAGGTTCCTGTTTTTGCCTGTGGATGTCCAATCACTCCAGGACCATTTGTTGAAAAGGCAAATTTTCCTACCATTAAATTGTTTATGCATCTTTGTCAAAAATAACTTGGACATATTTTTATGGATCTATTTCTGGGTTTTCTATTCTATTGTATTATTTGTATCTGTTCATCAGTACTACACAGTCTTGATTATTGTACCTATATAAGACTTGAAATTATATATGATCACTCCTTCCACTTTATTTTTATTTTCCCAAATTGTTTTAGCTACTCTAGTTCCTTTGCTCTTCCATATAACTTGCTTTTCTGTATCTACAAAGTATTTCCCTGGGATTTTTTATAGGAATTATGTGAAACCTCTGTATCAATCTGGGGAGAGTTGACATCATTATTATGTTGAATCTTCTGATCTACCAACATGGTATGTCTGTCATTTATTTTGATCTTTGGTTTCTTTCATCACCATTGTTTGTGTTTCAGCACATAGGTCCTGTACGTGGTTTGTTAAATTTACACCTAGGTATTCTTTGAGTGGTTTTAAATAGTATTTTAATTTCAGTTTTCATGCCTTCATTGTTAGTATATAGTACAAGAACTTATTAGGTTTGAGAGGTTTTTATATTTTTTGTAGAGTCCTTGGGGCTTTCTGTGTAGATAATCAGGAAATAGGACATAGGTACAGTTTAATTTCTTCCTTTGTGTCTGCATATCTTTTATTTTTTTTTTATCTTGCCCTATTGCACTGGCTGGAACTTCCAGCTTTATGTTGAATAAGATTGGTGAGAGCAAACATCCTTGCTTTGTTCCTAGTCTTCAGTGAAAGCTTTTGATGGTTACTCACCATTAAGTACAGTGAAATGTGGGGTTTTGTAGATGTTTATTGTTAGCTTGATAAAGTGCCCCTTGATTTCTATTTTTCTGAAAGTTTTCTTCATGAATGAGTGTTGAATTTTTTAAATGTCTTTTCTGCATCGATTGCTGTAATCATGTGATTTTTTTCTTCTTTAGCCTATTAATATGGTGGATTACATTGATTTGTTTTGAAATAGTGAACCAGCCTTTCATTCCTGGAATAAACCTCATGATGTATCATTATTTTCATATATTGCTGGATTTTATTTGCTAATATTTTGTAAAGGATTTTTGTGTCTACATTTGTGAGGGATTTTGGTCTGTAGGTTTCTTTTTACTGTCTTTGTTTGCTTTTGGTATCGGGTTAATATTAGCTACATAAAATAAATTGGGAACTGTTTCCTCGCCTTCTATTTTCTGGAAGATATTTATGGAATTTGTTTTAATTCCTCTTTAAATGTTTGGTATAATTCTTTGGTGAAACCATCTGGGCCTGATTATTTCTTTCTGGGTAGATATTTAATTATTAATTCAAGTTCCTTAATAGTGTAGAAGTATTCAAATTATTGATTTCACATTGGATGAATTGAGGTAACTTGTGGATTTCAAGGAGTCGATCCATTTCATCTATGTTGTCAGGTTTATGTGTGTAGAGTTGTTTATTCCCTGATTATCCTTTTGATGTTTGCAGAGTCTGTAGTGACTTCCCCTGTTTCTTTGCTTATATTGATAATTTGTGTCTTCTCTCTTGTTTTTTGTTAGTCTTGATAGAGATTTGTCAATTTTACTGATTTTTTTCAAGGAACCAGCTTTCATTGTCATTTATCTTCTCTATTTTTTTCTCACTTAAATTACATTGATTTCTTTTCTTATCCTTATTATTTATTTTCTTCTACTTTATTTGGGTTTATTGTGTTCTCCTTTATTACAGATTCTTAAAGAATTCAGATTATTGATTTGAGACTTTCTCTTTTATTTTTCTTTTGACTTTTGTTTTCGGTTTGAGGGTACATATGCATGGGTGAATTGTGTGTTGTTACAGTTTGGTGTGATAACAATCCTGCCACCCAGGTAGTGAACCTAGTCCCTTATAGCTTTTCAACCCACGTCTTCCTCCCACCCTCTGCCTTTCATAGTCCTCGGCGTCTGTCATCCTCATTTTTGTGTCTGTGTGTACTCCGTGTTTAGTTTCCACTTATAAGTGAGAACACGCAGTATTTGGTTTTCTGTTCCTATATTAATTTGATTAGGATGATGGCCTACAGCTGCATCTATGTTGCTGCAAAGGACATGATTTCATTATTTTTATGGCTGTGTAGTATTCCATGGTGTATGTGTACCGTATTTTCTTTTTCCAGTCCATCATCAGTGGGTATCTAGGTTGATTCCATGTCTTTGCTATTGTGAATAATACCGTGATGAATGTACAGGTGCTTGTGTCTTTTTGGTAGGATGATTTATTTTCCTTTGGCTATATGCCCATACTGGGATTGCTGGGTCGAATGGTAGTTCTGTGTTAAGTTCTCTGAGAAATTTCCAAACTGCTTTCTACACCAGCTGAACTACTTTACATTCCCACCAGCAGTGTATAAGCATTCCCTGTTCTCTGCAACCTTGTCAACATCTGTTATTTTTTGACTTTTTAAAAATATTCATTCTGGCTCATGTGAAATAGTATCTCATTTTGGTTTTGGTTTGCATTTCTCTGATGATTACTAATGATGAACATTTTTCCTACGTTTCTTGGCCGCTTCTATGTCTTCTTTTAAGAAGTGTCTGTTCATGTCTCCTACCCATTTTTTAATGGGGCTGCTTTTTTCTTGTTGAATAATTTAAGTTCCTTACAGATTCTGGATATTAAATTTCTTTTGGATGCTGATATGGTTTGGCTGTGTCCCCACCCACATCTCATCTTGAATTGTAGCTTCCATAATTTCCACGTCTTGTGGGAGGGGACCTGGTAGGAGATAATTGACTCATGGGGCAGTTTCCCCCATATTATTCTCATGTTAGTGAATAAGTCTCATGAGATCTGATGGATCCGAAGGAAACCCTTTCCGCTTGGCATTCATTCTCTCTTTTGCCTGCTGCCATGTAAGACGTGCTTTTCACCTTCCATCATGATTGTGAGGCCTCCCCAGCCACATGGAACTGTGGGTCCATTAAACCTCTTGCTCTTTTAGTTTACCCAGTCTCAAGTGTGTCTTTATCAGCAGTGTGAAAATGGACTAATGCAGATGCATAGTTTGCAAATATTTTTTCCTACCCTATAGGTTGTCTATTTACCTGTTAATAGTTGCTTTTGTTGTTCAGAAGCGCTTTGGTTTAATTAGGTCCCTCTTGTCTTTTTTTTTTTCTTGCAGTTGCTTTTGGAGATGTCATCATTAAATCTTTGCTAAGGCCTGTGTCCAGAGTGGTGTGTCCTACATTTTCTTCTAGGGTTTTTATGGTTTTAGGTCTTACATTTAAATCTTTAAGCCATCTTAAATTGATTTTTGTATATGGTAAAAGGAAGGAGTCAAGTTTCAATCTTCTGCATACGGCTAACCAGCTATCCTAGCACCATTTATTGAATAGGGAGTCCTTTCTCCATTTCTTGTTTTTGTTGACTTTGTTGAAGATCAGATGTTTGTAGGTGTGTGGCTTTATTTCTGGTTTCTCTAACCTGTTCCATTGGTCTATGTGTCTGTTTTTGTACCAGTACCATGCTGTTTTGGTTACTATGGCCTTATAGTATATTTTGAAGTCAGGTAGTGTGATTCCTCCAGCTTTGTTCTTTTTGCTTAGGGTTGCTTTGGCTATTCAGCCTTTTTTTTTTTTTGGATCCATATGAATTTTATAATTCTTTTTTTTTTCTAATTCTGTGAAAAATGATGCTGGTGGTTTGATAGGAATAGCATTGAGTCTGTAAATTGCTTTGGGTAATGTCACCATTTTAACAATATTGATTCTTCCTATCCATGAGCGTGGAATGTTGTTCCATTTGTTTGTATTATCTCTGCAGTGTTTTTTAATTCTTGTAGAGATCTTTCACTTTCTTGGTTAGCTATAACCTTAGGTATTTTATTCTTTTTGTACATGTTGTAAATGGGATTGCATTCTTGATTTGGATTTCAGCTTGGAAATTATTGATGTGTAGAAATGATATTAGTTTTTTAGTTTTTGTTTTGGTTTGCTAAGGGTAAGTGAATTGTATGCTACTGGTTTTTATACATTGATATTTTTTTCCTGAAACTTTACTGAAGTCATTTATTAGTTCTAGAAGTCTTTTGGCAGAGTTTTTAGGGGTTTCTATGTATAGTATATCATCTATGAAGAGAGATAATTTGACTTCCTCTTTTCCTATTTGGATACCTTTTATTTCTTTCCCTTGCCTGACTGCTCTGGCTAGGAATTCCAATACTATGTTGAATAGGAGTGATGAGAGTGGGCATTTTGTTTCATTCCAGTTCTCACAGGAAATGCTTCCAACTTTTGCCTGTTCAATATGATGTTGCCTTTGGGTTTGTAATTGATGGATCTTATTATTTTGAGGCATATTCCTTTTATCTTTGTCCTTTGATGCCTAATTTGTTGAAGGTTTTTAACATGAAGGGATGTTGAATTTTATTGAAAGCCCTTCCTGTATCTATTAAGATGATCATATGGTTTCTGTTTTCAATTCTGTTTAGTGTCATAGAATGATTTAGGGAGGAGTTCCTACTTTTTGGTTTTTTGAAGTAATTTTAGTAGGATTGTTACTAGCTCTGCTTTCTATGTCTGGTAGAATTCAGCTGTGAATTTGTCTGGTTCCGGGCTTTTTTGGTTGGTAGGTTTTTTTTTTATTAGCAATTCAATTTTGAAAGTCATTATTCATCTGTTCAGGATTTGAATTTCTTCCTGGTTCAATATTGCAAGGTTGTATGTTTCTGGGAATTTATTTATTTCTTCAAGGTGTTCTAGAAGAAATGGAAAAAACCCAGAAAACCTAAAAGGTTTTCTTGTAATATCACCGTTGTCATTTCTTATTGTGCTTATTTAGGTCTTCTATTTTTGTTAATCTAGCTAGTGGTCTACCAATCTTATTTATTATTTCAAAAAATGAACTTTCTTTTGTTTGTGTTTTTGTGTCCCAATTTCATTCAGTTCTGCTCTGATTTTGATTTTTTCTTTTCTTCTGCTAGCTTTGGGATTGGTTTGTTCTTTTTTTTTCTAGTTCTTCCAGGTGTAATGTTATGTTGTTAATTTGAGATCTTTCTAACTTTATGATGTAGTTGTTTAGTGTTATAAACTTTCCTTTTAACACTGCTTTAGTTGTGTCCCAAATATTCTGGTATGTTGTGTCACAGTTTTCATTAGTTTCAAATAATTTTTTGATTTCTGCATTAATTTCATTCTTTACCCAAAAGTCATCTAGGAGCAAAATGTTTAATTTTGATGTAACTGGATAGTTTTGAGAGATCTTCTTGTTTTTTATTTGTATTTATATTACATGTGGGCCAAGAGAGTGGTTGGTATGATTTCAATTTTCTTTGGATTTTTTTGAGACTTGCTTTATGGCATGTGGCTGATCTTAGAGTATGTGTCATGTGCAGATAAGAAGAATATATATTCTGTTGTTGTTGGGTAGTCTGTAGACATCTAGAAGACCCAGTTGATCAAGGGTTGAGTTTGAGTCCAGAATATCTTTGTTTTCTGCCTCTATGATCTGTCTAATGCTGTCAAATGGGATATTGAAATCTCCCCCTATTATTGTGTTTATGTCTCTTTATAGGTCTCTAAGAACTTGTTTTATGAATCTGGGTGCCCCAATGTTGGGTGCATAAATATTTAGGGTAGTTAAGTCTTCTTGTTGAATTGAACCCTTTTTCATTATGTAAAGCCCCTCTTTGTTCTTTTTGATCATTGCTGGTTTAAAATCTGCTTCATCTGATATAAGAATAGCAACCTCTGCTCTTTGTTGTTTTCCACTTACAAGATAGATCTTTCTCCATCCCTTTACTTTGAGCCAAAGTGTGTCATTACATGTGAGATGGGTTCTTGAAGACAGCAGACAGTTGGGTCTTGCCTCTTTATCCAACTTGTCAATCTATGCCTTTTAAGTGGGTGTTTAGCCTGTTTACATTCAAGGTTAATATTGATATGTAAGGATTTAATCCTGTCATTTGTGTTGTTAGCTGGTTTTCATGTAAACTTGATTGTATAGTTGCTTTATAGTGCAAGTGAGCTACGTATTTGTGTTTTTGTGGAGGCAGGTATCTTTCTTGTTTCCATGTTTAGCACTCCCTTAAGGACCTTTGTAAAGCGGGTCTAATGATAGTGAATTTCTTTAGTGTTCACTTGTCTAAAAATGATTTTATTTCTTCTTTGCTTATGATGCTTAGTTTTGTGGGATATGAAATCCTTGATTGGAATTTTTTTTCTTTAAGGATGCTGAAAATAGGGCCCCCAGTCTCTTCTGGCTTGTAAGCTTTTTTCTGACATGTCTGCTATCAGCCTGGTGGGTTCTCTTTGTAACTGACCTGCCCTTTCTCTATAGCTGCTTTTAAGAGTTTTTCTTTCACAACAACCTTGGAGAATCTGATGACCATATGCCTTGGGGATGGTCATCTTATATAGTATCTCACAGGGGTTTTCTGAATTCCTTGAATATCATGTCAACCTCTAGTGAGATTGGGAAAATTTTCATGGACTGTATCCTCAACTATGTTTTCCAAGTTGCTTACTCTCTCTCCTTCTCTTTCAGAAATGCCAGTGAGTCATAGTTTTGGTCACTTTACATAATCCCATACTTTTCAGAGGTTTTATTCATTTTTTAACACTCTTTTTTCTTTATTTTTGTCTGCCTGTGTTGATTTGAAAGAACTGCCTTTAAGCTCTAAAATTCTTCTCTCAGCTTGGTCTCTTCTGATGTTAATGCTTCCAATTTTATTATGAAATTCTTATATTGAATTTTAAATTTCAGAAGTTCAGTTTGGTTATTCTTAAAATGGCTATGTTGTCTTTCAACTCTCAAATCATTTCCTTGGATTGAGTTTCAACTTTCTCCTGTATCTCATTGAGCTTCCTTGCCATCTAGACTCTGAATCCTATGTCTGTCATTTCAGTCATTTCAGTTTGATTAAGAACCATTGCTGGGTAGCTAGTGTGTTCATTTGTAGGTAAAAAGACACTCTGGCTTTTAGAACTGCCAGAGTTCTTGTGCTGTTTTCTCATCTGTGAGTGCTGATGTTCTTTTATCCTTTTGAAGTTGCTGTCCTGGGGATAGGGCTTTTTGTTTTTATGTTCGTTATTTCTCATAAGAGTTTTGCTGTTGTGTAAGTTGGATATAGTTGATTGGCTTTGTTTCTGAATTTTTTCATAGGGCCGAGGTTCAGCTTGGAACTCCTGGGCTGTATGCTCTAACCCTGGTGACCTGGGACCAGGCCTGTGGCTTTGTCCTCTGGCCCCTTGAGCTTTAGTACCAGCTTCACTGGGAGGTCAAGGTGCAGCTAGGCTGCTGGTGAAAGCACTCTATCAGGGGCCACCAGCTAAACTGCCCCATTGGTGGTTGCTGGCAAAAGTGCCCTGGCAGGGTGGGTGGGGGCCACTGGCAAAAGTGCTCCAGTAGGGCCCTCTTTTTTAATGTAAGCATTTAGTGCTAAAAATTTCACTTAGCACAGTTTTAACTGTATGTGCCATGAATTTTGATATGTTGTGCTTTTATTTTAATTACATGTAATGTATTATCTTCTCTTTGACCCATGGATTATTTTATAACATGTTGTTATATTTCCCCATTATCTTTCTGTTATTGATTTCTACCTTGACTATATTGTGGTCAGAGAACACACTCTGAATGATTATAATTTTGCTGAAGTTTGTTTTATGGCCCAGCATTAAGTCTATCATGGTTTGTGTTCTATGAGCAATTGAAAAGAACATATACTCTGCTCTTGTTGGGTACAGTGTTCCATAAATGTTCATTAGATCCTGTTGATTAATGGTATTGTTGAGTTCTTTTCTATCTTTGTTGATTTTTTGTTTAGTTGCTCTATCTATATAATTCATATATAGGATTGCTGTATCTTCTTAGTGGGTTGACCTATTTATAACTCTGTAATTCCCTTCTCTGTAGCCATTTTCTTTACTCTAAATGTTAACTTATCTGATATTAATATAGCTATTGCTTCCATCCTTTGATTAATACTTACATGATATATTTTTAAAAATATTTTTACTTTCAACCATCCTATATCATTTTATTCAAAGTGAGCTTCATATAGTGTATAGTTGAGTCTTTTTTTAAAAAAAACCCACTCAGCCAGTGTTTTCATTGTCATATTTAGCCCATTTACATTTAATGTAATTATTAACATGTTAGGATTTAAAACTCATTTAATTTTGTATTTTCTACTTGTTCTTGTATTTTTTGTTTCTTTGTTTCTTCCTCCCTTCCTTTGAGTTACTTTAATGATTTTGGAAATCCACTTTATCTATGTTTTTGAGTGTATGTCTTTGATAGCTTTCTTTTATTTATTGTTCTAGATATAATATTCATATACATATTCATAACATTAAAGTTTACTGGTGTCATAATTTTACCAGTTTGGGTGAAATATAGAAACTTTACCTTCCTTTATGACATTTTACTTATGCCCCTCATTTATATTATAATTGTTTAAATATTTCCTCTATGTGCATTTAAAATGACATAAGACAGTAGTATGGTGTTTAATTGAACTGTCAAGCATAAAACTCAAGGAATGCTTATTGTACTTACTCAGGTTGTTGCTTGCCATGTTCTTGCATTCTTCCTGATGCTCCAAAATTCCTTTTTTTATATTTCTCTTCTATATGGAGACATAAATTTAGTAATTCTTTCAGAGTTGGTCTGGTGAAAAACACAATTTTCCTTTTTCTGGGGATATCTTTATTTCCCCCTGATTCCTGAAGGATAACTTCACTGGGTATCTGGATTGATAGACTTGTGGGATTCTGGGTTGACATATTTTTCTTTCAGCACTTGAAAAATGTGCTGTTTCCTTGTGGCCTCCATTGTTTCTGATAAGAAATCCCCTGTCATTTGAATTGTGTTTTCCTTGTAGGTAAGTTGTCATTTTTCTCTGGCTGCTGTTAAGATTTTTCTTTGTAAGTTTTCAGAAACTTAATTATTATGTGTCTTGGAGGAGATTTGGGTTTACCCTGTTTGGGGTATGCTTAGCTTCTTAAAGTTTTAGGTTCATGTTTCTTCCAAAATTGAGAAGTTTTCAGCCATTATTTTTCTGAGTACCTTTTCAGACCTGTCATCTTGTCTTCTTTCACTCCTCTTTTTGAAACTCTGATAGCATGAATATTATATCTTTGGTTATAGCCCCGCAGTTGCTGAAGCTTTATCATGTTTTTCTACTATTTTCTCTGTGTTGTTGACATTGAGTAATTCCTACTGTTTTATCCTCACTTCACTGATTCTTTCCTCTGTCTCTCCATCCTTCTGTTATGTGCATCCACTGCGTTGTTTATTTTGGTTATTGTATCTTTCAGTAATAATATTTCAATTTGGCTTTTATTTACATCATCTATTTTCTGAGACATCCTACTTTTTCATTTGTTTCAAGTGTGTTCATAATTGCTCATTGAAGCATTTTTATCGTAACTGGTTTAAAATCTTTCTCAGGCAATTTTAACATCTCGGTCATCTCAGTGTTGGTTTCTGTGGATTGTCTCTTTTCTATTTATTTTGTGATCTTCTTTGTTCTTTGTATAACCAGTTATTTTCTTTTGAAATCTGGACATTTTTGTATTATGTCATGATTCTGGATCTCATTTAAACCTTGCATTTTAACTGTCTCTTTTTGGACACTCCTCTTCTGGGGGTAAGGGGTGGTGGTGGTGATTCCTTGTAACTGACAGGGAGATGGAAGTCTAGATTCCCCAGGAGGCCTCTGTTGATACCTGAAGGTGGGGTCTTTTTACTGATTGGTTAGGGAGAGGGGTGGGAGTTTCAACTTCCCAGATGGTCTCTGCTGGCACTGCAGGGGTTGTGGTAATTACAACCCAATGGAGATGAAAGTTCTGGATCCCTACTTGGCCTTCTCTGACACTACCTGGTAGGCCTGAGGGGAGGCCTTATTACAGCCTCATGAAAGAGGAAGTCTAGATCCCCATTTGGCCTTTGTTGGCATGGGTAGGGAGAGGCTGTACTTTTTTCTGTGGTGTTTTGCTGGGGTAGAGCTGTTAATATCTAATATTTTTCTGTCTTGCTGAGTTGATTCTTTCCTGACTCCTTGATTAGAGAGAGGCTGCTTTAGTTGTGTGTGTGTGTGTGTGTGTGTGTGTGTGTGTGTACACGCTGGTGTTTCCGGATTGCGGCCTCTTTGACTCCAAGTCTGAGGTACCTGAGGCAAAAAGAAAACCCAGGGAATCCACCACCATGTCCTTCTCTGCTCTGCCTTCGTATTGCCATCCTTCAGAGTCTTATGCTTGTTTTACGTATGCTCAGAGATTTTAGTTGTACTTAGTGGGAAGACGTATGTCATCTCTGGGAGTGGATTCCTTCTTCCCAGGGTTATATTTTCTCCAAGATATGCCACGGACAGAAGTTCATAGGAGATGCTTAAACTCCCATACCTCTGCATTGTTTTGTTTGTTTTTTATATCTAAGAGCACAGTTTCTTCTGACTTCCGGGAAGGCTGAGATGGCTGGGCTAAGGTATACAGGGTCCTCTCAGACTGCCCAGTACAGATGATTCTGAGTAGTTGACCAACTGTTGTTCTGGAAGAACTGAGCCTTTATCATAGATCCCAAAGTTGACATAACTCAGACTTATATGATTTTTAGATAAAAATTTTTAAATTTTAGTTATTTAAATTTTATAAATGATATTTTTCATGAAAAGTTCTTTTTGTGCCATTGATTTTCTGTTTCCTGATAAATATTAATATTAAGAGAATCCCTTTTAGGAATGGCGTGGTTAAAATATCCTTATTTCTAAATCCACAATAATAGATATTATACTAACATTGCAAATGTGCTTTCAGTTGAGTATACTCCCAAGAATGGATCAGAAATAGCTATATAAACAAAAGTACATTTCATAGTGGGTGTTTTTAAGTTGCTTTGGCAAATGGGATAGACTTGATTATTATTAAGTACATTTAATCTTAAATTGGATAGTAGTGAGTGTGGGGCCTGTTTTCTGCAGCGACCTATACTCTAAGTGATATATTCCAACTAGAGCAGCTTAGAGTAAGTTGGAGGCCATCCTAATGGTGAATTTTCCTATCATTCTTCACTTCAGGTAATGCCATTTAGGCTTTTGAGATTTAGAAATATGACAATTGCTTTAATTTGCCGTCTATAACATTTAAAAAATCTAGATTTGCATGTGAAAAAAATATTTGTGTGTTCATGAAGATAGCTTATATTTACTGAGCTCTTTTAATTCCATCCAGAATATGTGGTTCTCATCATGTTCTGGACTTCCTACGCCACACACACACACACACACACACACACACACACACACACACACACAAGCACAGAGCCATCCTGATTTGAAGATTTTGGTAATGTGTTTTTGTACAGGGCATAAAAATATATCTCTGTAATTACATGATATTTAGTGATTAGATAATTATGGATAATTGCATGGGGTAGTTCTAAGTGCTAAAGTGTTACCATAAGATCTAACATGTACAAATTGCATAATAATTATTCTTGAGAGTTATTTGGTAATTTTGAGCATAATTATCATGTGATCCACAGTGCATGTAATTAATGCATAATCACATGGATTTTGCCTTCATAACTACTTCACCCTTGTTATAAAGCTCTTTGTCATAACATTTGAGTATAAATATAATGTAATTGGCTCCCGGATACAGTACATTAAGCCCCATGATAATTGCTTTCACAGTAACAATACCCCTTATTCCATTCCAATTGCTGTCTTTTAAGATTTTGTTAGGAAGAACAAAATACCTAAGATATGGTGGCGGGCAGGTAGAGGAGTGGGTGAGTGGCGGGTACTATGTGCTTATTGTGGATGAGGAGTATCTTTGCTGTGACCACAATATTTCCATGTAGATGGAAGATGTTTCCATCTTTCATAGTAGATAAAAATCTGTCTTCTAACTAAACTTGTATTTGGTGTAAGGCTCCTTGCTGTCTAGCCATAGTCAGCACCCATTAAGTCTATTTTTTTAATTTTTAATTTTTGTGGGTACACAGGTGTATATATTTATGGGGTACATGGGATATTTTGATACAGGCATACAATGCATAATAATCACGTCAGGGTAAATGGGATGTTCATCACCTGAAGTATTTATCCTTTCATTGTGTTACAAATAATCCAGTTATACTCTTAGTTATTTGTAAATGTACAATAAATTATTGTTGACTGTAGTTACCCTGTTGTGCTATCAAGTACCAGATCTTATTCATTCTACTTAACTGTATTTTTGTACTCATTAACCATTCCCACTTGCCCCCCGCCCCCTGCCAATTTCCTTCCCAGTAACAATGGTTACTTCCTTCTGGTAGCTGTTGTTCTACTCTCTATAAGTTCAGTTGTTTTAAGTTTTAGTTCCCACAAATCGGTGAGAACATGCAAAGTTTGTCTTTCTATGTCTGGCTTATTTCACTTAACATAATGATTTTCAGTTCCATCCATGTTGTTGCAAATGAAAGAATCTCACCTTTTTATGGCTGAATAGTACTCCACTGTGTAGAGGTACCACATTTTTAAAAATCCATTCATCTGTTGATGGACATTTAGGTTGCTTCCAAATGTTCACTGTTGTTAACAGTGCTGCAATAAACATGGGAGTGTGGATATCAATTTGATACACTGATTACCTTTTGGGTATAAACCTAGCAGTGGGATTGCTGGATTATATTATAGCTCTATTTTCAGCTTTTTAAGGAACCTCCAAACTACTCTCCATAATAGTTGTACTAATTTACAATTCTACCAACAGTGTGTATGAGGGTTCCCTTTTTCCTATATCCTCGCCAGCATTTGTTATTGCCTGTCTTTTGGACAAAAGCCATTTGAACTGGGTGAGATGATATCTCATTGTAGGTTTGATTTGCATTTCTCTGATGATCAGTGATGTTGAGCACCTTTTCATACGCCTGTTTGCCGTCTGAATGTCTTTTTTGAGAAATGTCTATTCAGAGTTATATCTATTTGCCCATTTAAAGTTAGATTATTGAAATTTTTTTCTACAGAGTTGTTTGAGCTTTTTATACATTCTGGTTATTAATCCCTTGTCAGATGAATACTTTGCAAATATTTTCTCCTATTCTGTGGGTATCTCTTCACTTTGTTGATTGTTTCCTTTGCTGTGCAGAGGTTTTTTCACTTGATGTGATCCCATCTGTCCAGTTTTGCTTTGGTTGCCTGTGCTTGTGGAGCATTACTCAAGTTGCTTTGGCTGCCTGTGCTCATGGGGTATTACTAAATAAATCTTTACACTATCCAGTGTACTAGGGAGTTTTCCCAGTGTTTTCTTTTAGTCGTTTCATAGTTTGAGGTCTTAGATTTATGTCTTTAATCCATTTTTATGTGATTTTTGTATAGGAAGAGATAGGAGTCTAGTTTCATTCTTCTGCATGTGGTTATCCAGTCTTCCCAGCACCATTTATAGAAGAGACTGTCCTATCCCCAGGACAGTTGACGATTGTTGACGATTTTTGCATCAATATTCATCAGGGATATTGGCGTGAAGTTTTATTTTTTGATGTGTCTTTGGTTTTGGTATCAGGGTAATACTGGCTTAATGGAATGAATTTGGAAGTGTTTCCTCCTCCTCTATCTTTTGGAATAGTTTGAGCAAGATTCTTCTTTAAATATTTGGTAAAATTCAGCAGTGAAGTGATCAAGTCCCAGGCTTTTCTTTGCTTGGAGACTTTATTACAGCTTCAATCTCATTATTTGTTATTGATCTGTTCAGGTTTTTGATTTCTTCATGGTTCAGTCCTGGTAGATTCTATGTGTCTAGGAATTTATCCATTTCTTCTGGGTTTTCTAATTTACTGGCATGTAGTTGCTCATAGTAGCCTCTAATGATCCTTTGAATTACTGCAGTATTAGTTGTAATGTCTCCTTTTTCATCTCTGATTTTATTTATTTGGGTCTTTTCTCTTTTTTTCTTAGACTAGAAAATGGTTTGTCAATTTTATCTTTTCAAAAACCAACTTTTTGTTTCATTGATCTTTTGTATTGTTTTCTTCATTCCAACTTGATTTATTTCTGCTCTGATCTTTATTATTTCTTTTCTTTTACTAATTTTGGGTTTGGTTTGCTCTTGCTTTTCTAGTTCTTTAAGATGCATCACTTTGGGAGGCCGAGGCGGGCGGATCACGAGGTCAGGAGATCGAGACCATCCTGGCTAACACGGTGAAACCCCGTCTCTACTAAAAATACAAAAAATTAGCCAGGCGTGGTAGCGGGCGCCTGTAGTCCCAGCTACTCGGGAGGCTGAGGCAGGAGAATGGCGTGAACCCGGGAGGCGGAGCTTGCAGTGAGCCGAGATCGCGCCACTGCACTCCAGCCTGGGCGACAGAGCGAGACTCCGTCTCAAAAAAAAAAAAAAAAAAAAAAGATGCATCATTAGATTGTTTGAGGGTATTCTCTTTTTTCTCGATGTAGTTGCTTATAGCTATAAACTTTCCTCTTAGTACTGCTTTTGCTGCATCCCACAGGTTTTTGGTATGTTGTGTTTGTATTATTATTTGTTTCAAGAAATCTCTAAATTTTCTCCTTAATTTCCTCATTGACCCACTGGTCATTCAGAAGCATATTGTTTAATTTCCATGTGTTTGTATAGTTTCCAAAATTTTCCCTGTTATTGATTTCTAGTGTTATTCCATTGTGGTCAGAGAAGATACTTGATATAATTTCAGTTTGTTTTTGAATTTTTAAAGATGCATTTTTTTGCCATAATGTATGGGCTATTCTTGAGAATTATTCATGTGTTGAGGAGAAGAATGTGGATTTCATAGCCATTGAATGAAATGTTCTGTAAATGTCAATTCAGTCCATTTGGTTAACAGTGCAGCTTGGTCAATATATCTTCGTTGAATTTCTGTCTCAATGATCTGTCCAGTGCTGAAAGTGGCATGTGGAAGTCTTCAGCTGTTACTGTATTGGGGTCTGTCTCTTGCTTTAACTCTAATAAAATTTGTTTTATATATCTGGATGCTCCAGTGTTGGGTACATATATATTTACAATTGTTATGTCCTCTTGCTCAATTTACCCCTTTATCATTATGACCTTCTTTGTCTCTTTTGCTAGTTTTGTCTTGAAATCTATTTTGTCTGATACAAGTACTGCTACTCTTGCTCTTTTTTGGTTTCCATTTGCACGGATTATCTTTTTCCATCCCTTTCTTTTTAGTCTATATTTGTCTTTATAGGTGAAGTGTGTCTTTTATAGGCAACAGATGATTGGGTCTTTTTTTTAATCCATTCAACCACTCTGTGTGTTTTGATTGGAGAGTTTAGTCCATGTGTATTTGTTATTATTGATAGGTAAGAACTTACTCTTGCCATTTTGTTATTTGTTTTCTGATTGTTTTGTGGTCTTCTCTTTCTTATTTCTTTCCTTACTTTTTTTTTTAAGTGAAAGTGATTTTCTTTGGTGGTATGTTTTAATTTCTAGCTTTTTACTTTTTGTTGTATCTGTTTATGTTTTTTGATTTGAGGTTACAATAAGGCTTGCAAATAACATCTTATAACCCATTATTTTAAACGGATGACAACTTAACATTGATTACATAAGCAAACTAACAAACCAGCACAGAGAAAACTAATAAAAACTCTACACTTTAGCTTCATCCCCCTACTTTTTAACTTTTTGTTGTTTCTATTTATATCTTTATATCTGAAAAGTTGTTGGAGTTATTTGATAAGTTCATCTTTTAGTCTTTTAACTCCAGATATGAGCAGTTTACACACCACAATTACAGTGTTATGATATTCTGTGTTTTTCTGTGTACTTACTATTACCAGTGAGTTTTGTACCTTTAGATGATTTCTTACTGCTCACTAACATTCTTTTATTTCAGACGGAAGAAATCCCTTTAGCATTTCTTATAGGACAGGTCTGCTGTTGATGGAATCCTTCAGCTTTTGTTTGTCTGGGAAAGTATTTTTCCTTCATATTTGAAATGCATTTTTGTTGGATATACAATTTCAGAATAAAAGGGTTTCTTTCCTTTAACACTTTAAATAACAATCCCGTTTCCTGGCCTGTAAAGTTTCCACTGAAAAGTCTGCTGCCAGATGTACTGCAGCTCCATTGTATTTTTGTTTGTTTGTTTATTTTCTTTTGCAGATTTTAGGATTCTTTCTTCATTCCTGACCTTTGGGAGTTTGATAATTAAATGTCTTGAGGTAGTCTTATTTGGGTTGAATCTGTTTAGTGTTCTTATAGCCTTCCTATACTTGAACACTGACATCTTTCTCTAGGTTCGAGAAGTTCTCATTATTATCCTTTCAACTAAACTTTCTACCTCTTTCTCTCTCTCCCTCCTCTTTAAGGGTGATAAATCTTAGATTTGTCTTTTTGAGGCTATTTTCTAGATCATGCAGGTGTGCTTCATTTTTTAAAATCCTTTTTTCTTTGGTCTCCTCTGACGGCATATTTTCAACTAGCCAGTCTTCAAGCTCACTAATTCTTTGTCTTGCTTGGTCAACTCTGCTGTCAAGAGAGTCTGAGGCATTCTGCAATGGGTCAGTTATGTTTTTCAACTCCAGAGATTTTGCATGATTGTTTTTAATTATTCTAATTTCATTGTTAAGTTTATCGGATAGGATTCTGATTGTCTTTTCTATGTTATCTTGAATTTCACTGAATTTTTTTAAAACAACTATTTTGAATTCTTTGTCTGAAAGGTAACATATCTATCCCTGTCTCTCCAGGATTGGTCCCTGGTGCCTTATTTAGTTCGTTTGGTGAGGTCATGTTTTCCTGGATAGTCTTGATGCTCTTGGATGTTTGTTGGTGTCTGAGTTAGGTATTTATTGTAGTCGCTAAAATCTCGGCTTGTTTGTATTCATCCTTCTTGGGAAGGCTTTCCAGGTATTTGAAAAGACTTTGCCCACTTTTTGATGGGGTTGTTTTTTTCTTGTAAATTTGTTTTGAGTTCATTGTAGATTCTGGATATTAGCCCTTTGTCAGATGAGTAGGTTGCGAAAATTTTCTCCCATTTTGTAGGTTGCCTGTTCACTCTGATGGTAGTTTCTTTTGCTGTGCAGAAGCTCTTTAGTTTAATTAGATCCCATTTGTCAATTTTGTCTTTTGTTGCCATTGCTTTGTAAACTAGTTCAACCATTGTGGAAGTCAGTGTGGCGATTCCTCAGGGATCTAGAACTAGAAATACCATTTGACCCAGCCATCCCATTACTGGGTATATACCCAAAGGACTATAAATCATGCTGCTATAAAGACACATGCACACGTATGTTTATTGCGGCATTATTCACAATAGCAAAGACTTGGAACCAACCCAAATGTCCAACAATGATAGACCGGATTAAGAAAATGTGGCACATATACACCATGGAATACTATGCAGCCATAAAAAATGATGAGTGCATGTCCTTTGTAGGGACATGGATGAAATTGGAAACCATCATTCTCAGTAAACTATCGCAAGAACAAAAAACCAAACACCGCATATTCTCACTCATAGGCGGGAATTGAACAATGAGATCACATGGACACAGGAAGGGGAACATCACACTCTGGGGACTGTTGTGGGGTGGGGGGAGGGGGGAGGGATAGCATTGGGAGATATACCTAATGCTAGATGACGAGTTAGTGGGTGCAGCACACCAGCATGGCACATGTATACGTATGTAACTAACCTGTACAATGTGCACATGTACCCTAAAACTTAAAGTATAATAATAAAAAATAAATAAATTAAAAAAAAAAAAGAAAAGACTTTGGTTCTGTGATCTACGTTTTTAATCCCTGCAGCCATATCTGCATTAGGGGCCACTCAAAGCCCAGTAATTTCATGGCTGTTTCAGACTCACAGATGTATCACCTTGGCAGTCTTGGATACAATCTAGAAGAATTTTGTGGATTACCAGGCAGACTTTTTTTCTCTTACATTCTCCGAGACAAACGAACGGACGGTCTCTCTCTCTCCCCCCCTCCCCGAGCTTCCTGGAGCTGGGTGACGGGTGACACAAGCACCTCTGTGGCCACCCCACCACTAGGACTGTACCAGATCAGACCTGAAGCCAGGACATCTCTGAGTCTTACCCAAGGCCCATGGGGTACTGCCTGGGTACCACTGTTGATTATTCAGGGCCCAAAGGCTCTGTAGTCAGGAGATGATGAATCCTTTCAGTACTGGGACCTTCCCTTCAAGGCAGTGGGTTTTCCTTTGGCCCAAGGTGTGTCTAGAAATGTCACCTGGGAGCTAGGGCCTGGAATGGGGGCCTCATGACTCTGCCCAGTGCCCTATCCTACTTGGCTGAGCAGTTATCTAAGTTGTAAGATAAAGTCCTCTTTACTCTTCCCTCTCCTCTCCTCAAGGAGAAGGAAGGAGTCTCTTTTGGAGCTGTGAGCTGTGCTGCCTAGGGTTGAGGGAAGGGTGACACTAGCACCCTTAGTTGTGCCAGCTAGTACCTTACTAGGTTGTCTGCACCCCAAGTCCAGTGGCTACAAGCCAAGCACAGCACCAGGACTTGCCCAGGAATTGTAGTCCTTCCATCATAGGCAGCCTTCAAGTTTATTTAGGACCCCAGAGCACTTTAGCCCATGGTGGTGAGGCTTGTCAGAACTCAGATTCTGACCACTGGGATGGGTGGTACTGCTCTGTCTAGGGCTGGTCTAAATATTCCCTCCATGGGCTCTGGTTGAGTTTTGCCTGTTGTTTTTACTGTGACAGGGCAGCACCGAGTTCCAATACCAAGTCCCACTATCACTGTGCTCTCTCTCCCAAGTGCATGCGTTCTCTCTCTGGGGCACACAGCCACTGCAGGGGGATGGGTGAGGGGTGACATCAGCAATTCCAAATGATCTTTTCCACCCTCTTCAGTGCCTCTTTCAATGATATGGAGTTAAAACCAGGTACTGTGACCACTCACCTGAAATTTGGTTCGTATGAAGGTGCTTTGCTGTGCGGACAGTTGTTCAATTTGGTGTTCCTACAGGGAGGATGATTGGTAGAGGCTTCTATTTGGCCAGCTTTCTCCACTCTCACCCAAGCCTTTTTATTACTATTAATGCAGCAGAGCATCAGTTTTCTTTTTGGCCTAGAAGTTTCAGAAAGCTGGAATTTCTGTAAGGAGATCTTGATAAACTGCAGTGAGAGGGAGGCTTACTTTGCTGATGGGACCATCAACTTAATGCTGAAATGCAACTAATTGTGAGACTGAAGCAAGAGCTTTGGCTAAATTTCCAAAATGATGACATAATTTTTGCAATTTTTGTCCACAGGTTTCACGTGGCAGGATGACTATACTCAGTATGTGATGGACCAGGAACTTGCAGACCTCCCGAAAACCTACCTGAGGCGTCCTGAAGCATCCAGCCCAGCCAGGTAAGTGTGGACGTGGCTTGTTGCTCCTTGCTCCCAGGACACAGTCCATAGCCATTACACTTATTATTTGTTTGTTTGTTTGTTTTAATGTAGCAAAGCACCCACCATCTTTCTGGTGCAGACGTTTCAGAAAGTTAGGATGTCTGTAAGGAAAAGTTTGGTTCCCATGAGAGAAAGCGATATTGGGGTGACCCTCCAGTAAGAGACATGCCCAGGGGTTCTTCGTTTTTCCATGAGACTCTTAGAAAAATCCTGCATCTTCAAGGCCTTGGTCGAAAGCAGATAAGTCGAGAATTCTCATTTCTCAGTAAGAAATTATTTTTGCTTTAGACAAAAAACAGAATTGTGAAAGTCTTTATCATCCTTTCCCAGAGCATAGCAACGTATACTGAGCTAAATATATTGTTCCATATTATCTTATTTTGTACTCAAAACTATGTGGTAATTACTAATGTCATACAAACGATGTGGTAATGTCATACATACCATGGACTAATGTCATACCGATTCTTGAAAGTGAGGAAATTGAGTCATAGGGAGGTTAAAAAATTAGTCTAAAGACAAACCACAGTAAGAAAGCTGGCACTGTCGGATTCCTGAGCCATTGTGCTATTTTTCATGTTTTTTAAAAAAAAACATGAAAATGACCTTTCCTAAAGGTTTAGTTTGAAAAGTTCATTTTTCCCTGACAGACAATTCTAGAGTCATAGTCTTTAGAAAGATTCCAGTAACACAAAATTTAGATATCTGCTTTCATGCTCATGGCCATCTGATAGGGAAAGCAGTTAAGTGTCCTGGCAGGATCAAGAGTGAGAACGTGTGGAGAACTGGTAACCGTCCCCCAGCACGCCGCACACACTGAGGGCGCGGGTTGCCTCTTTCCTCAGAACGCGGCGCACACTGAGGGCGGGGGCTGCGTCTTTCCCCAGCAAGCGGCGCACACCGAGGGCGGGGGCTTCGTCTTCACCACACGGCGCACGCTGAGGGCGGCGGCTGCTTCTTTCCCCAGAACGCCGCACACACTGAGGGCGGGGGCTGCGTCTTTCCCCAGCAAGCGGCGCACACCGAGGGCGGGGGCTTCGTCTTCACCACACGGCGCTCGCTGAGGGCAGGGGCCGTGTCTTTCCCCAGAACGCGGCTCACGCTGAGGGCAGGGGCTGCGTCTTTCCCCAGAACATGGCGCACACTGAGGTTAGGGGCTGCGACTTCAGCACGCGGCGCACACTGAGGGCAGGGGCTGCCTCTTTGTGCTTCTGTGCCTGGTGTATCTACCTTTAATACCTCCTTTATCAAAGAGAATGTGCTGTTATAGTCTGTAAGACTTTTCTGTAGGAAACCAAACAAAAACCCACCAAAATGTTTTCAACTTGAGCTGTGTTGAATTTCTATTTTGGATGTGTTCAAACTCCTTATACTCCTCTCTAAATTCCACTGGGGGCGTTGTGCACTGCCCCAATGACCTTGAACTCCATCAAGTATAGGGATGGGTTGGACGGCCAAGAAGGGCAAAAAATAGAGGGCTGGAAGAATTGGGAAAACCAAGCAAGGGATGGCTCCTCCTCACTCTGGGGGGGTGCAGAACAGGGCAAACAGAAGCTGCCAAACGTGGGAGGAAAGGGGCGCCACATAGAGAACAATCCAGGGAGGACCTGCCTCTGAGAAATCAAACTCAGCAACAACCATGGAGAGGCGCCTGGATTGTGCCTTCTAAACAACGTTAAATGTGGTCATTTGGAAAAATTGCCAGTTTTTATTATTTAAAACAGTGCCAGTTTTATTATGAAAAATGGTATGTTATCTTTGTTTTATGAGTTATAAGTGAGATTAAAAGTTTAAAATACATATGCTTTGAGATTGGAATTTTCTCCTTCCTTCCTCCCTTCCTTCCTTCCTTTTTCTTTCCTCTTTCTTTCCTCTTCTTTTTTTTTTTTTTTTTTTTTTTTTTGGCTCTTGCTTCATCACCTAGGCCGGAGTGCAGTGGCACGATCTTGGCTCACTACAGCCTCCACCTCTTGGGTTCAAGCAATTCTCTTGCCTCAGCCTCCTGAGTAGCTGGGACTACAGGTGCGCGCCACCATACCCAGCTAATTTTTGTATTTTTAGTAGAGATGGGGTTTTGCCGTGTTGGCCAGGCTGGTCTTGAACTCCTGACCTCATGATCCGCCCACCTTGGCCTCCCAGAGTGCTAGGATTACAGGCATGAGCCACCACATCTGGCCGAGATTGGAATTTTCTTTGTGAATTTTCTGTATATGGTCTTTGTCTGTATAAAAAGGACTTTTTGTATTTTTCTGTTTGTTTCTTTTATTATAGGTTCTTTATATTTCAGGCTAGTAACTTTTCACATATTATATTTTGTAAAAATATTTTTATCAGCCTGGAACGTAGATGGCACTAGCTATGGTTACAAATAAAAACAGCTCTTACCATTCTGTAGGTTGGATTTCTAAATTCTTTCTTTGTGAGTGTTGAACCCAGGCAAGAGCAATTATCCCTGCCCACAAAACAGAGGCCCATTTAGGGAGGCATTGGCTGGATATTCTCCAGACTCCTTTCCTCCACACTCCCTTCCCCTGCCCTGCTATGGGCTTCATGCCTGTAAGCTCCATCGGGTCCTCTGGGCCTCTGGCTTTGGTGGGGTTTGGAACAAGCTGCACCCAGCATGGAGGGCAGAGGAGTCTGGGCATGTTCCCCAGCTCTTCCCCAGGCCCAGACATGACTGCCTGGGGACAATCACTCCCTCTCATGCTGTCCCTCCTGCTGACCCAAAGGCCTCCCCAGTCCTGCCGGTGCCTTCCTCATGCCCGACTCTGACACCTACTGAGGGAGGTTCCCATGAGGCCCTGCCCAGGAGAGAATAAGAAACAGTGTGGCCCATCGTCTTCCTCAACAGTTGCCCACAGTATTTCCTCATGGAAATGTGATCGTTTTTCTTTTTTTCCTAACATTTCTGGAAAACTTCTTTTACCATTGATCTACTTTCTAGTATATTTTTTAGGAATGTTCTTCATTTATAGAGTATTTTCATTGTCTTCCACGATTATTGGTAAAATATGCTTACACTGTTGTGTGATTTGGGATATTTATAAGCTATCCTTTAATAGCGATTTCCACATTTGTAAATGCAGTGTAGTGGATGCTATTCTCTTGTTGATGAAAAGAGTCAAACTCTGTAAAATATTTTTAGAGATGTATTCTGAGCCAAATATGAGTGGCCATAGCCCGTGATGCAGCCCTCAGGAGGCCCTGAGAACATGGGCCCAGGGTGCTCAGGGTGCAGCTTGGTTTTATAGATTTTAGGGAGGCGTGAGACATCAATCAAATACATTGGTTTGGTTCAGAAGGTGGGACAACTCAAAGCAGGGGCTTCCAGGCTATAGGTGAATTCAAACATTTTCTGGTTGACAACTCGTTGAGTTTATCTGAAGACCTGGGATCAATAGAAAATGTTCCAGTTAAGATAAAGGATTGTGGAGACCAAGTTTTATTGTGCAGAGGAAGCTCTCAGTTAGCAGACTTCAGAGAAAGCAGGTTGTAAGATGCTTCTTATTGGACCTAAAAGGGTGCCTGGCTCTTGGTTGATTATCTCCTGGATCTGGAAAGGAAGGAAGGAAAACAAAGGGGAAAGTAGATCCCTATAGAATGTGGATTTTTCCCACAAGAGACTTTGCAGGGCAATTTCCAGGTATTGCAAGGAAATATATTTTAGAGTTAAATATTTTGATTTTTTCCCTTTGTCTCATAATGTTCTGCCAGAGTCAGACTGAAAAGTCAGTCACGATATATAGGGTCAAATAAAACCCATCTGATGAGAATTTATGGTTTGTGGGGTATGACTTCCCAGACCTCTTAGATAGGAATTTGGACAAGAGAAAAAATCAGAGCTTAGTTCTCACTATTATGGTTTTTAAAATTACTCAGCACTTGTGTAGTTATATTCCTTTGCATTGTAAACGTACGTTTTCTTTAGCCAGGTGTGGTGGCGCCTGGCTACTCAGGAGGCTGAGAGAGAGGATCACCTGAGCCCGGGGGATTGAGGCTGCAGTGAGTCATGATCACACACAGCACTCTAGCCTGGGAGAGAGAGTGAGACCCTGTCTCAAAAAAAAAAAACCACTTTTTTTTCACCCTTGTAACATGATTTTTAAAAAGAATTATCTCTTAGATTTTCTTCTTTTTGCTGTTCTCTTTTAAATAAAACTTCTTCAGTAAAACTTATTTACGCTATTTATTCATTTTTAAAAAAATAATGAAATCACATAAATAATTTGCTTTTGAGCATAATTTTAACATCATTCTATAACTGATGAATTCTCACTTGCTTTTGTTCTAAATTATCTGTAATTGTCATTTTATATCCTTTTGAAACAATAAATGTTTGGTAGGCTTTTCTACTTTTTCATATTTATGTGTTGTTTTTAAACTTCAAATTAGTGTCTAATTCTACTGCATTTTAGTCAGAATGTGACTTTGTTCAACTTTTACTCTTTGGTAATTTTGAGGTTTTCTTTGGCCTAATTGATACCATACTTAATCTTCAATTGGCGCTTCAAAAATATATTTGTATAACTATTTGCAGGATACAGACTTTTATAAATAGTTTATAATTATATATATATGATGTGTAATTAGGTAAAAATGTGTCAATTGTATTACTTCAACATGTCCTTATTTATATTGTGACTTTCTGAAATTTCTCAGACAAAAACAGTAATCTGTGAGTTTTCTTTGGGGGTTGATGTGTTTAGCTTCATAGGCTCTGAGGCTCTGCTGCTTAGCACACGGGGGCTGCGTCAGCTCGTCCTCGGCGTCCATCATTAGTGGATTGTTGTTTAAATGGTGCCTGCATCTCCCTTAATGCTTGTTGTCTTGGATTCCATTTTCCTAAATGAGTAGGGCCTTTCCTGCTTCCTCTTTGTTTTTGTTGCCTGATTAATCCATGGCTATCTTCAGAATTTGACCTTTGAGACTGGTTCTGTTTGAAACTCAGCTTTTATAAGATCAAGTGGTGTTTCCAAAGCCCCTTGGGTCAGGTCGGAGGGCGAGTTATAGCAGCAAGGGGACTGATTCCTCTGTGGGGCTTTTTCTTCTCATATGTGGATTGTGGCTTGTTTGCCTTCTCATACGTGGATTGTGGCTCGTTTGCCTCTTCTTTAGTATTCGTAATTTTGTCTTATTTTGGATTTAATTTGTGGCCATCACCTCTAGATTTTCAAGCGATTTTATAGTAATGGATTTGTTTCATTCCTCATTAAAGGGATCATGTTCTGATTCCTGCTGCATGATAAGGAACCGTGTTGGCTTTCAGCATCCTCACTCCCCACTCCCAGGAGCTGCTTCTAACCAGGCTCCCCTAGTGCCTGCCTGTGCCCTTCACCAGATGGACCCTGGGCCAGCATTTGTTGGATAAATGGTGGTGAAGGACAGAATGCGTGATCTGCCCAAGCCTTTGAATTCTTGCATGGGTAGCTACACTAACGAAGAATGTCACCTGGCTTTCTCCACTCCATGTGTATTCAGAGCATTCTGAGCTTCACAGCTGAACAAGAATCCACCATGGGCCAGTGACATAGTAGCTGGTGTTCTTTACATAAGGCAGTTAATCTCCAGAGATTGAGTAACTTGCTGAAAACCAATCATCCATTCATGAAATAAAGGCGACATTAGAATGAAGTCTTCAGAATCCCCAGCCCTGTTTTTGGGCTTACCAGAGTGGCAACCACAAGCTCATTTCTCCTGCTGGTTCTTCTCTTCCCACACATGAGGTCCCTTAAGCAGAGTAAGCCCCATGAGAGAAAGCCAGAAAGAGACGCAGTGTGGAAAATCAGCAAAGCAGTAGGTATGAGTGCCCAGTGTGAGGAACAGAGCTCGCACCTAAGGGGTCACCAGGAACCTGAGAACATGCTAAAGGCTAAGAGAACCTGAGAACCAGGAACCTGAGAACACGCTAAGGGCTAAGAGACCTTGAGAACTGAGAGCCTAAGAACATGCTAAGGACTAAGGAGGACCTGAGAACCAGGAACCTGAGAACATGCTAAAGTCTAAGGAGGAGCTGAGAACATGCTAAGGGCTAAGAGAGTCAAGGAAGGGGAACCTGAGAACTGAGAACTTGAGAACATGCTAAGGGCTAAGATAACCAAGAACCTGGGAACATGCTAAGGGCTAAGGAGGATCTGAGAAGCCAGAACCTGAGAAGAACATGCTAAGGGCTAAGGAGGACCTGAGAAGCCAGAACCTGAGAAGAACATGCTAAGGGCTAAGGAGGACCTGAGAAGCCAGAACCTGAGAAGAACATGCTAAGGGCTAAGGAGGACCTGAGAAGCCAGAACCTGAGAAGAACATGCTAAGGGCTAAGGAGGACCTGAGAAGCCAGAACCTGAGAAGAACATGCTAAGGGCTAAGGAGGACCTGAGAAGCCAGAACCTGAGAAGAACATGCTAAGGGCTAAGGAGGACCTGAGAAGCCAGAACCTGAGAAGAACATGCTAAGGGCTAAGGAGGACCTGAGAACCAGGGATCATGCTAATGGCTAAAGAGAACCAGGGATCATGCTAAATGCTCCTGAGGCAGGAACAGGGACAACAAATACCAGCTGTGTATATGAGCACCGATGACTTCACAGAGAACTTCAGGTGGCCATGAAGGTTGGATATAAAACATAAGATGGGCCTGTAATGTGGAATTTTTTCCTTTAACAAACTGGGTGACAATCTAGACTATCTCATATTATCGTGAGCCTAAGGCCAGTGTGTGCCAATGGAGAAGGGAATAGCTACTAAGTGTAAAACATTTTTCATCTTTTTAAAGTACAAAATTCATACGTATGAAGTTTTGACCTACTTCAAGCTGGATGACAGAGCAAAAGTCAATGTGCAAGTTAATTGCTACAACACCACGCGGCATAATGATAAACCCTCTCATTGCCGTAACATACTGCAGCATCACAAACAAGTCCCCAGGCATGGACAGAGGCGAAGCAAAGATGAATACGACAATTTAAAGATACATTTATGAGGTGGTTCCATTTGCATTGATTAGCAATTAGTGAGAAAAGTAGACAAAATACCAGAAAAGTAAATTAACTGCAGTTAAATTACACTCTGACAACATAGAACATGAAATTTCATTAATTAAAAAATGGCCAAGGAAATTATAGCCATGATTTGAGATGCAAAGAACTGCAAAAGCCTTGGTAATTTATATGCCTGTTACATCTGTATCAGTGTAACTTGAAAAGTGATATTGTTTGGCTGTGTCCCCACCCAAATCTCATCTTGAATTGTAGTTCTCATAATCTGCACGTGTCATGGGAGGGACCCAGTGGGAGGTAATTGAATCATGGAGGTGGCTGTCTCCATGCTGTTCTCATGATAGTGAGTGAGTTTTCACGAGATCTGATGGTTTTATAAGGGACTCTTTCCCCTTTGCTCCTTGCACTTCTCTCTCCTGCCACCTTGTGAAGAAGGGTGTGTTTGCTTCCCCTTCTGCCATGATTGTTACGTTTCCTGAGACCTCCCCAGCCATGCTGAACTGAGTCAATTAAACCTCTCCTTTATAAATTACCCAGTCTCAGGTATATCTTTATGAGCAGTGTGGGAACAAAGTAATACAAAAAGGCACTAGAAATAAAAACATGGTGGGTTTATCAATTGAGATAATCAAGCAAAAATGGGATTTTTTTTATAAGCCCCATGCAGGTATCACACACCTAATGTTAGTGATCTGTTCTTGAAAATCAACATCCTACATGGAAACAGTACCTGGAAACCTATTCCATTACTGTATGTGGGAAATTTGTAATGAGTTCCACATCCACTCAAGCCCCAGTGTATTTCCTAAAGTGTTTCTAAATCACACTAAAGACCCATATACAAGTACCAGATGGTCATGTTTGGATAGAAGACACTTCTTGCTGATACCCAGAAGTGGAAATTGTTCTTAGCAAAGTGTATGTTCTATTTGAAGTAATACTGCCTCACTCAGCACCTGCAAAGTCTGAGCTGCACCTCCCTCAGGCTGTTGGGTGATGCCACAGTGCTGTGTTTGGAGACATACCCAGACTTTTTCTGAATACGATTTTGTTCAGAATGTAGCATCAAATTCTGTGAAAGGAGATACACATGCACACGCACACACACACACATACATGTATATACATATATACGTATACAGGTGCTCCTTGACTCATATCTACCTCCTGTGCCTGCCTAGGGAGCCTGGGCTGTTCATATCCCTCATTGTGGAGCTCTGCTGGGGATGATGTCCTTCAGTGTCGTATTTCTAAGAGAGCCATAAGTCTACCTTTGTATTTGAAGGATATTTTCATGGGATATAGAATTCTGGGTTACTTTTTTTTCTTTCACTACTTTAAAAATGTTTTCCATCGTCTTCTGGCCTGGAGCACTTCTCAAGGAGAAATCTATAGTCGCCTTTCCACTGGCATCGGGGGCACTGGATTGAAGTCCCCCAAGATCCTCACTAGCCGTGGGCAGGGCCCCAGGGGTGCCCGGGGAGCTACATCTCGGTTGGGTGTCTGGACAGCAGACTCTGTAGTCCTGAAGTCCAAATGCAGGGTCTTGGGAAGACCCCTCATGGGGAAGTGAAGAGACGGGTTTGGCCGAGGAGAGGTTGGACTCAGTGTGGTCATGACAGAGGCCTCAGGAGCCCTCACCCCTCCTCAGGGGCTGGGGACCAGTGTGGGATGCAGACCTCCCTAGATGGGGTATAAACGTGGGTGAGGCAGACCCCCATGGTGGAGGGCCATTTTGGGAGGGGACGCAGCTGTGTGGCGATGACACTTGCCCCCAGCTGCCTCAGGGACAGTGGTGCTCAGTGGCCTGCCAGAGTTGATGAGACAGAGCTGAAGGTCTGGGGAAACCAAGGCAGCTTGAGTTCACAGGTCAGAGTATAAAAGAGAAGAGTGCACAGAGAGCCCTGGAGATTTTCAGCCACTGCTGAGGATTTGGTAGATGACTGATGACCTTGTGTCTATGAGGGAAAAGAACCATCCAAAAAAATGAGAGCAAACAGTATCTGACATTCACACAGGGTGCGACATAGTGCTTCTTCAAACCTATCAAGACTTGCAAACCTCATAATTTCCAGATAATTGGGTAGAATGCCCACAGAGTCCTGTCTTAGTAGTGGGGAGTAATTTGTCATAGATAATTGCTGCTCTGATACTGCCAAACAAGACTTAAAAGTAAGAACCGAGAGGGTTGAACTGGTCCCAAGGAACTTAACTGAATGCCAGAGCAAAGGTAAATAATATTTATGGGATTGCAAATGTCCATCACCCAATAAGGTAAAATTCACAATGTGAATATATAGACATGGATTATCTGGCATGAAAAGGAGCAGGAAAATGCAACTCATAAAATTCATCAGTGTAGACACAGAACTGACACAGACACAATAAGTAGGAGACAGGAAAATTTCATGGGTGGAATGAATAGCAGATTAGACACTGTGGTAGAAAATATTAGTGAACTTGAAGACACAGCAATAGGAACTATCCATAAGGAAACAAGGAAGGATAATTAAAAAAAAATAAAAAACACCAGTGAGCTATGGGACACATCTAAAGGCCAAATATCTGTATAACTGGAGTCCCAAGGCGGGAGAGACAGGAACAGAAAAATCATTTGAAGAAATAATGAGGAAAATTGTTTCAATATGATAAAAATGATAAACTCACAGAGCCAGAAAGCTCAATAAGCCCCCTAAAAAAGAAACATGAAGACTAAGAAATATCATAATAAAATTTCTCAAAACCAGTGATAAAAAGCCAACCTTAAAAGCAGCCAGAGGAAAAAAAGGTGCATTTCATAGAGAGATGAGATGATGAAGGCCACTGCAGGTTTCTCCTTGAGAATGCTCCAGGCCAGAAGACGATGGAAAGCATTTTTAAAGTACTGAAAGGAAAAACAAACAAACAAACATCAACCCAGAATTCCATATCCCATGGAAGTATCCTTCAGATACAAAGGTAAAATTATTGGCTTTCTCAGAAATACAGACGCTGAAGGACATCATCACCCACAGAGCTCCATGACCAGGGCTGGTAAAGCCGCCGTTCTGGCAGAAGGGAAAGGTGCCAGATGGAAACCAATGAGAGAACACGCGAAGGCAACTGCATCCACCGATAGATGGTGTTTTCCTGTCACTTAAATCACATTTAAAGAAGTTGATTAAACAAAAATGATGAAAGTGTATTGTGAGGTTGATAACATAGCTGTCAACAGAATTCATGTCAACACCGCATCAGAGCTGGAGGGAGAATTGCAAGGATCTATTTAAGGCTCGTATTTCATATGTTAAGTGGTGTGATGTCCCTTGGAGGCAACCTGTGGTCAGTTAAACGTGACAGTTATACACTATCTGTAATTTGGGCTTCTTGCCCTAACGAGGATCTAGACTTAGATGTTGAGAAGGTGAAGGTGGAGCCATGCCCCAGGGCTCTGAGGCAGCCAGTGCCTGGGCGCTCAGGAAAGTACCTGCCTCCACCTCGGACCTAGCCTCTCCCTGGCCTGAGAGAAGCAGATGGCAGCTGACCGCACCTGTAAAGCCTGTTATGAGGGAGGCCTGAGTCTTGTGCTGGCAGTGGGGCATGACGCCGGGGCCTGTGGCGTCTGGACCGTCCACTGCAGCACAAGTCGGACCTGAAGTGATTGGTCATCGCTGAGCATGGCTCTCAGCGGGAAGGGGATTTGGGAGCATTGCTGAGGGCGGCAGGTTCACAGAGGGCCCTGCCCTTGTCTGTGGGCAGCAGAGCCGGACAGCAAGGGCCCCCAGACTGGCCCATCTTTTTAATGGTGATGCCCGTTCTTTTATGGACATAAATGACGCACTCAATTAATTATACAAACTAAAAATAACCAGAATTAAAAGCTCTTTGGTCTGTGTCTAAACTCCATGTCTACGAAATCTTTGCATTTTATTAGAAGCATGGTGTGTGCGTGCAGGCGCACACATACACAGACAAACGCACACACGCACTCACACCCCTCACACACTCACACACACACTTACACAAACTCACACACGCACATGCGCGCGCGTGCACACACTTTTTTTGTTGTTGTTGAAACAGGGTCTTCCTCTGTTGCCTGAGGCTGGAGCACAGCGGCGCTATCGTAGCTTACTGCAGCCTCAAGTTCCTGGGCTCTAGTGACCCTCCTGCCTCCACTTCCCAAAGTGCCAGGATTATAGCTGCGAGCCCCCATGCCGGCCTCACATTATATTCCTTTTTTTTTTTTTTTTTTTTGAGACAGAGCCTTGCTGGAATGTGGAGGTGGGGTGCAGTCACTCACGCAGGTGTTCTTAAACCTGGCTGGTAGAGGCGTCTCCTATGGGAATTATCTTCCTTATTTAGGAGCATGCTCTGGGCCCTTTTGGTCATGTGCAAAAAAGCAAAGGCCTCCGTGGGGGCTGTGAAGCTCTGGGCGGCTGAGTCCTGGGTGCAGAGACCAGCGGCAGAGTCTGCGGGTGAGCTGGGCAGGGAGGGCCATGCCCATCCCTAGGGAGGCCATGCCCATCGTGTCCCAGGCTGAGACGCTGCCCCGTGGCTCAGGCAAGCTCTCCGCCACAGCTGAGGGTAAAGGGGGACAGGGCGCAGGCTCAGGGGGCCACGGACATCCTCTGTGCATGCCCAGGCCTCCACCAGGGCTCCCCATAAACATGGGGAGTCCTGACTCTGTCTCTCCGGGGCCTGTTGGGCGTTACCGCGACTTTTCCAGTGAATCTCCCTGGTTCTGCTCTTCCTTTCCGTGTGGCTGCACAAGCTGGTGATGGGGGCCCCACTGGCAAGTGGCTGCTTTCTCAGGGACTCTGAGCATCATTAGTGGGGGCCACATGTGGCTGACACGTCCAGCTGCCTCCTGGATTTATGCCTTCAGCACGCAGCTGTCCCATGGGGCCCCTGGCCAGCCGTGCCTGGTTCTTGGCCTTGTCCTCGCTGGCCCTACCCCTGCCGCCCTCAGCAGGGTGGGCACCACATGTGTCTGCCCACGGGAAGCGTCCCATGTGTTTGTCCTTCTAGCCTCCGGCGTCCCTGCCCTGCATGGTGCACGCGATGGCGGTGCGTGAATCACTGTTTAACAGCAGGGACTGCAGCGGAGGGGCTGAGAGCACTGCATGGACGTCCCGAGGCTGTGGCGAAGTACATCAACCTAAGGCCTAAAACAATGCACATTTATCAGGCGAGAACCTGGTTCCTGCCTTTTCCAGCTTCTGGGCCGCCACCTTCCTTGGTCTACCCACAAACCCAGCAGAAGCCATGCCAAGCCTTGGGCCCCCCATGCCCACCCGGCCTCTGGCTGCCTCAGCCTCCTGGAGAATTCCTGCTGAGCCTGCAGCCAACACCTGCAGCTTCCTCCCTTTCTCCCCTCCCCTTGTTTCCCATGTATTGCTTTTGCTTCCTGTCTTCTGCTCTCAGCAGGGGTCAATCGTCCATCCCCACAACCACGAGGCAGGTGCTGTTAGCCATCCTCGTGCAGGACACAGGCTCGGGGGCCCGGGAGAAGTTCAAACCCATGGTCATGGAGCAGCAAGGCCAGGCCGGCCACCGAGAGCCCGGCTCCCAGCCCCTTGCATGCACCCAGGCACCACAGGGGACAGAGCAGCTCCAGGCACCAGCAAACATGCGGTTGATGTCTGGTTTCTTTTGCTTTTTCAGGCCCTCAAAACACAGCGTTGGCAGCGAGAGGAGGTACAGTCGGGAGGGCGGTGCTGCCCTGGCCAACGCCCTCCGACGCCACCTGCCCTTCCTGGAGGCCCTGTCCCAGGCCCCAGCCTCAGACGTGCTCGCCAGGACCCATACGGCGCAGGACAGACCCCCCGCTGAGGTGACCCTTCCACTTCCTCCCCGGGCCGGGGTTGGCTTTTCCTTCAGGGTGCAGGTACCTGGGCATGTTTCCTTAGTCGCTGGCTCCTCTTGGCTTTGCGCCTGTTTCCCGGGCCAGCGGGCATCCTGTGAACAGGGCTTCGGTGTTCCTGGGGCCCCTTAGAGCGACACCTGCTCCCAGTCCAGCCACCCCCACAAATGCTTAGTCCTCTGGGTGAGGCTCTGTAGGATCTTTCTTGGGACAAGGTGTCGTGACTCCAGAAAGCCCACCATTTAAACCACAGATGCACACCAGGGAGGTAGAGGAGATAGGTGGCTGCTCTTCACCCTTTGAGAAAGGATCCGGGACAGCAGTGGACACTGAAACCTGACTGAGGTAGACTGAGGGGCCATGAACATGGCTGGAATTAGGGGGCACCAGGTGCAACTACTGCATCCAAGGAAAGCTCCTGCTCCCCGGCAAGCCTGCCCCGGGGGCAGCCCAGGGCAGCGTAAGGGCTCCATCTGCCTGTGGGCATGAGGGTCTGGGCACCAAAACACAAGGTGATGCCCTGGGCACACAGACCCCAGACAGGCTCGGAGGCGAACCCCAGGAGTGTTTATGCAGGGCGAGTGGGAGCTGCAAGGACCCGCATCACAGAGCCACCCAAGACCCTTCACTATGCGAAGCCCACTCAACATCTTAAGGACACGGAATTAGGAATCTCAGTAAATTTTGTAAATGGAAAAGCAGGCATGATTTTTATGACGACTTGTTAGGCCAGAGTTCACAGGTCCCACATTGCCTGGAAAGAGGGAGGGACAAGAGCTGCAGAAATCACCTTTGGAGCCCAGCCCTGCCAGCTTCCTGGGATAGGATTTTGGACCAGGTGTTGAGGCCCAGGATGGCCCTGGGGACATTGGGGGTTTGATGGCGACGCTCACACACTCCTTTTCTGCCAAACGTTAGTTACATCAGCTCTAATTTGACACACTTTCCTTTCTAAGATGGAAGCCATGCTGGTGTGAGACAGGAAAGCCTGAGGACCCTCTGCATCCTCTTGGACTCCACTGGGGTCTCACCAGGAGCTGTGGCCCTGGGATATGTGTGGGAAGCAATGTGGGCCCAGTTTCTATTATGTTCCTGCCATCGAGCCATTGAAATGACTTAAGTTAACTCTGGGCAACCCCCACAGACCTCGAAAGGTAGAGTCCTCCCAGAGGACGCGTGGCCACTAAGCTCAATCCCAGGCCAGCTTAGGGGCTTCCTGGAACCTTGCACCAAGCGTGGGAACCACAGGGTGAGTTTCCACAGAAGTTGGCCCCACAAGGTGGCACGTTCTGTGCAGGCAGGTGAGGAAGCTGAGGCACTTCTGTGTCTTAGCAGGTGGTGCCTGGGGAAGGCCCGGCCTTGGCCCCATGGTTCTCTGGAGCCTTTCCGAGGGCAGCTCCTGGGCAGCCATCTTTGCTGTGGCCTTGCCTCTTCAGGAGGATGTCACAATGACGTTTGAATGCAGAAGCCAGTCTGTCCACGGCCGCCAAACAGAGCCCTGATGCTGGCCCAGAGCCATGCAGGGGCCACGGGGTGCCAGACCCACAGGCCACAGTTGAGAGGCTGCTCAGGAGGGCCCAGTGGCACCTGGGCCATATTTGTGTTTTTCCTGATCATGGACTGTGTTTCCTGGTTGGTTGAAATCACCCCTCATGGTGGAGGGTGGGGGTCTTCAGCCCTCGTGGAAGTACAGGGTCACAGGGCTCTGTGGGCCCCAGGTCTCCCTCTAAGGTTAGGCTCACAATGAAAGGCCAGTCCCAGCCCTGCTCTGTGCCAGGCCCACCTCCCATCAGGACCACTGGCTGGCCTGAAAAACATGCCCCAAAGCCTTCCAGGAGCCTGTGGGAGTCTCTCTGTGTGGGCCTAACCCTAGAGGGTCTGGTCCACTTAACACTATTTTAAACAGGCTAAATTTAAAGTTTTTATTCATTAACTGAGAGCAACTAAGCACGTCTGGTGCGCCAGACATCCTGCTGGATTTTGTGGATGCAGAAGGTGGATTTCATGCAGCTCTGTCCTTGGGTCAGAGGCTCCTCCACCCACTGCTCTGGGGCCAGGGGGAGCCGCTCAGCTTCTGTGCCTCGAGTCCTCAGCTGTAAACCAGGGGTAGTGGCCCTGGAGGTGTCATGAGAGCCACGTGTGAAGCTCCTCATGGAGTGCCCAGTCAGCAATAGCTGTAACCGTAACTATCGTTGATAAAATAATCTTTAAAAAATGAAATAGAAATTAGGTTGAGAGTCTGAACCAGGCTCAGTGGAGGTCTCCGACTCTGATGAGAGGAATCAGAGGGCGCCAGGACACTGGCAAACATATTCCCTCCGCACACCTGTGCCTCGGCACCACAGAGCAGGTCTCAGCACAGCACGGTGGAAACTGGCATTTCTCCCACCCTCTTGAACGTTGGTAATTTAGCACCTCCAGCTCTGAAATCATTGCTTTGTCCTCCTCCTCTGCCCCGCTGTGTCTTTATCAGAAGGGCTGTGGGGCCCTGTGCTCTGCCTCCACTGCTGCTGGGAGATTTCAGGCTTCTGTAACGGCGCCGTGACGTCACGTCCCCAGACGCTGGAAGTGAATGATCAGTAAAGTAACCCACGTGCAGTCCAGAGATGGTTTTAGTAACATACGAGGGAAGGGGGAGGCGTCATTAAAAGTTTCAGAGACTCGGAAGAAGTTTGAGAGAAGGGAAATCAGTTGACACTTTTCTGTGAAGCAGTTTCCTGTCTTTCCCCCCTGACTTGACAGTGGCGTGCTCACCTAGACTGACGTCCAAGGGCCCTCTTCACGGGCTACTGAATAGAGAAAGGCAGGAGCGTAGCCTTGGAGGCTCGTCCAATGTGCCTTGGATGGGCCAGTGAGCGAGTCGTCACCTGCAAACAGCATTTGGTTTCATTCAATGGGAGCCTCAGTTGTTCCATTTTGAACCCATCATCATGCTCCTCCTTCGGTTTCAGTTATTTTATTAAATAGCCCTGGCACTAAAATAAAAGAGTCAGAGTTAGAATGGAATTTGCCTGTGGGACAAGGCGCAGCATGGATTCGCCTCGAGGGTAAATGGAATGGCTGCAGTGCTTCCCTGCCCTCAGCAGCCAGACGTGAGGTCGGCCAAGCAGCCGCAACATCCACACATTAGAAACAAACCGTAGCAAATTGCAGGAACTCGTTGAGAGTGAAGGTCTTTGGTAGATATTGAGCAATTCGTGCTATGAGCCATTGGGAGGTATCCTAGTGATGCCCCATGAGATGGCTCATAGCAGCCCCTGGGGAAAGCAAGTTCCTGCCAGAGACAGGATGCCTTCCTAGGCCGAGCACAGTGTACTGCATGTCCTGGGATGCTTTCCAGGTGCTCAGTGGTTCTGCTGGACTCAGCAGCTCAGTGCTCATTAGGCCAAAGGGCCCGTGGCCTCGTCACACTAACCAGTTGTATTTACTGAAGTCTTTCCATTCCTGGCTTACTGCACTAGGATTCCAGCACCAGCATTCTCAACACACGCCCCGGAGTGCTCTGGAAGCAGCCTTCCCCATACAGCGGGTGAGCGTGGCGGCCTTCCCCATACAAGGCGGCGAGCGTGGCGGCCTTCCCCCTACAGGGGGCGGGCGTGGCGGCCTTTCCAGTACAGGGGGCGAGCGTGGCGGCCTTCCCCATCAGGGGGCGAGCGTGGCGGCCTTCCCCATCAGGGGGCGAGCGTGGCGGGCTTCCCCATCAGGGGGCGAGCGTGGCGGCCTTCCCCATACAGGGGGCGAGCGTGGCGGCCTTCCCCATCAGGCGGCGAGCGTGGCGGCCTTCCCCATCAGGGGGCGAGCGTGGCGGCCTTCCCCATCAGGCGGCGAGCGTGGCGGCCTTCCCCATCGGGGGCGAGCGTGGCGGCCTTCCCCATCAGGGGGCGAGCGTGGCGGCCTTCCCCATCGCGGGGCGAGCGTGGCGGCCTTCCCCATCAGGCGGCGAGCGTGGCGGCCTTCCCCATCAGGGGGCGAGCGTGGCGGCCTTCCCCATACAGGGGGCGAGCGTGGCGGCCTTCCCCATACAGGGGGCGAGCGTGGCGGCCTTCCCCATCGCGGGGCAAGCGTGGCGGCCTTCCCCATCAGGCGGCGAGCGTGGCGGCCTTCCCCATCGCGGGGCGAGCGTGGCGGCCTTCCCAGTACAGGGGGCGAGCGTGGTGGCTGCCTCTGCACTAGGACATCCCTTCCGTTGGGAGCTCGTGACGGGGCCACTGGGGGTTCATCTCTTGGGTTGCGACCCTGCCGCTCCCCAGGGCTGCTGGGTGCATGGAGGAGGAGCATCTTCCACCACTGCCCCCATCTTGCCTGCTCTCCATTTCAAGAAAGAGGAATGGGAGAGGGGCGTGGGCACCGGTCATGTCAAATATTCCACCAGCAGCCAGGGTCCACCTTCTGATAAGTTTGGCTGTGTCACCTTGGAATCTCCTACACACGATGGTCGGCCTCACAGTCCTGGTCTCTACTGTTACTCAGCATAATTATCAGGAAGTCATTCTTTCCCACTCGGAGGTGTCCCAGTTTGAATTAATGAGCTCCGTGGTCATTCCAGCACACAGACATTTAGCACAGCTGTCAAACGGTTATTCAGAAAATGAGCACTTGGTGGCATTTTGGCTTAGGTATTTTTCTTCTTTGTTAAGATAGATGCTTCTCAGTATTTAAAAAAATGCATGAAAACCCAGAACTCATTTTCTTTTCTGTCCAGTGTTTAAATGAGGAGAAAGCTCTTAGTCATCTTGCTAATGAACAAAGACTGAATAAGCACAGGAAGTGCGTGACCAGAGGCTGCAGCGCTGCCGTGCAGATTTTGCTGCCCCGTAAATATAGGGACTTAGAGATCTGGGCCCCGGCTTCTCCCCTCCCCTCTCAGCTGATGAAATATTTTAATTGGAAATTTAAGCTTTATATACTGACGATCTTTGAAGGTACAATCAACTTCCTGTGAATTATTTTATAAATCATTGTTTTCTATGTACCCATCATCAAAAATGAAACTCTAGCGTAGATGGAGAAATATCCTAAACATATTGCCTTTCAGGGCCTTCATGCTGGTGACGTCATAACAGAATTATTTTATTTTATTCCACTGGGAATATAATCATGCTCTTTCTCTTTGTTCATTAGCGAGATGACTCAGAGCTTTCTCCTCGTTTAAACACTAATTGAGCACTTATTGATCACTAAATCAAGGTGTCGTTACGACTTCTGCATTGTGAGGGTGGTAACGCTTCCTGTTTTATTGACTGTGGTAGCACCAGTTCACAGTCCTTGAACTCATCATGCAGAACACCATAAATTCCCTGTCCACTCTGTTACTGAGGAGGTTTAGTCAGAAATTCATTACTTACCAATACCATTAACTAGCTGATTTATCTTGGAAATGTTTAAAAAACATATTTAACATACAAGAAATGGTGCTAGATTAAGGAAATGATTAAGGAAAGTTAGTTTCTGTCCTTTAGGATTTTACAGTTTTGCTGGGTAGGAGGGAGAAAACAAGCAAGCAAAAAATATAATTAAAAAATTAAAGCAAGTGCTGTGATGGAGGGAACACAGAAAGTAAAGGTGCACTCATGCCAGAGGGGGCAGGTGGCCCAGGCGGGCTTCTGACAGAGGGGGCAGGTAGGCCCAGGCGCGCTCATGCCAGAGGGGGCAGGTGGCCCAGGCGGGCTTCTGACAGAGGGGGCAGGTGGGCCCAGGTGCGTTCATGCCAGAGGGGGCAGGTGGCCCAGGCGGGCTTCTGACGGAGGGGGCAGGTGAGCCCAGGCGTACTCATGCCAGAGGGGGTAGGTGGCCCAGGTGGGCTTCCAAGAGGACGGCCTTGGGGGACGACCAGGAGACACCTCCTGCAGGTGTACGATGGACGTAGGGTGCAGAGTGTCAGGAGCCCATTCTCCTCCCACCCCGACCACATGAGTGAGCCCCCGGGAGAAATCTGCCAGGAGACTATCCCCCTCCCACCCCAACAACACGAGTGAGCCCCAGGAGAAATCTGCCAGAGCTGAGGACACAGGAAAAGAGGATGAACTGCATTCCAGAAAGGGATGGATGAACCCATTCCAAGGAGAGGAGACCACAGCTTCTTTCATGCGCATTGGAATGGAAGAAGCAGAAGCCAGTCACAGGAAGTGGGGAGAATTCGGCCTAAATTTTAAGAAACTCTTGAGGTGCATGGAACAGATTTGAGAGACAGGCTGTGCAAAGCGAGTGTCTGCACCCCCGCCTCTTTCCTGTGGGCTTTCGCTGAGTATGTGAGATGCGGCACTAGGGATGGAGGAGGGAGAGGGCTGGGAGAAATCCTGCCAAGGAGCACCAGGCCTCTATGGAGTGCCCCATGTGGCCTTCTGAAGACTGGGGACAAGGGAGCATGGTGGAAAAAGATCTGTTGAATCTTTCTAAGGGTGCAGAAAGCCAGGGTGGGACCGACGGGGAAGAGAAGCTTCAGAAACTCACAAACTGACACTTGGACCATAAAGCAGAGAGCTCCCCCATGGTTCAGAAACCTGGCGGCTGAGTGCAGAGCATAAAGGGATCTCGAGTCTCACTGGAGCCCAGATCCAAGCCTGGGCGAAGAAGGCAACTTAGACCTAAAGGATGGAAAATGTGTACGATGGAAACTCGAAAGGCAGGAAAGCTGGTGTGGTCATGTTAATATTAGACAGAGTGGACTTCAAGACTAAAAGTGTTATTCATGACAGAGACACTTTATGATGACTAAATGGTCAATTCATTAAGATGCTATAGAAAAATGTTATGAACCAATTTCAGAGCTTCAAATACATAAAGGAAATATATGAGAGTACTAAAGAGAGGAACATACAGGTCGATCATGATCATTAATGATTGAAACTCTCCTCTGTCAGTAACTGATTAAACAAATAGATAAAGTATCAGTAAGGATAGAGAAGATTTGAACCACAGCATTAACCAGTCTAAGCTAAGTGATGTTTATAGAATGATACACCTAAAAACTGCTAAACACACATTCTTTTTGAGTATGTTATATAGAATATTTCCCAAACTAGATCAAATGCTGGGCCATAAAATAAGTCTCAATAAATGTCAACAGATCAAAATCATACAGAGAAAGATTTTAAAAGAAAACTGCAGATTATTATTCTTCAGAAATATAGAAACAAAAATTCTAAACAATTTTTATCAAATTAAATTCAACAATATATAAAAAAGAATACTGCATCATAATCAAGGCAGATTTATCCCAGATATGCAGGGTATATCGAACATTTAAACATCAACCAACATAACTCACCATAGTTACATAGACCATGTGATGGTCTCAGTAGATACTGGAAAAAGCATTTGGCAAAACCCAGCATCCATCCATCCATGACGGAAACCTACATCTAAGATTACATCAACTGGTGAAGGGCTGAATGCTTTCCACTTAAAATCTGGCATTAGACGAGGATGTCTGCTCTTACCTCTTCAATTCAACACTGCATTGAAGATCTTTTTTTTTTCTTTTGAGACGGAAGTTCATTCTTCTTGCCCAGGCTGGAGTGCAGTGGCACAATCTTGGCTCACTGCAACCCTCTGCCTCCTGGGTTCAAGTGATGCTCCTACCTCAGCCTCCCGAGTAGCTGGGATTATAGGCACCCACCACCATGCCCGGCTAATTTTTGCATTTTCAGTAGAGACTAGGTTTCACCATGTTGGCCAGGCTGGTCTTGAACTCCTGACCTCAGGTGATCCACTGCCTGTCACATTGAAGATCTTAGCCAGTGCAATAAAACAAGAAGAAATGAGAGGCATTCAGATTACATAACCTTTGTCAAAAATTTGGTGGAACCTACAGAAAAGCTACTAAAACTAGTAAATATAGCAATGCTGTAGAGTGCAAAGTCAGCACACAAAAATTAATTTATTTCTGTATACTAGCAACAATTAAATATGAATTTTAAAAAATATAGTAGCATCAAAAATTATGAAATAATTGAGGTTGAATCTAAAATATGTGTAAGACAATGTACAATGAAAACTACAATACATTGATGAGAACAATAAGACAAATTAATGGTGATATATACATGGTCATGTGTCTAAAGACTCAATAGTGTTAAGGTAGAAATTACCTCCAAATTGGTATCAATATGATACAAAAACACAATCCTTAAAAAAAATTGATAACTAGAACTTTGTCAAAATTTAAAAATTTTCTTCTTCAAAAGAAGACACTTCTTCGAAAGACACACAAAAGATTGAAAAGACAAGCCACATACTTAGAAAAATACTTGCAAATAGCACTTTTTAAGATAAAAAATTTCAGAATGTATAAAAATCTCTAAAAACTAAAAAAGCAGCACATTAAAAATGGGCATTTTTTTTCAAGACAGTGGATTAGAAGCGGTGTTAGCATGCCTCTCCCACTTGGAAAGACAAAATAGTGTGTAAAGATTCACACTGTGAACTTTTTTCCAAGAAGCGACACCAGAACTTGACAGGAAAACTAAAAGAAACCACAGAACCTTTGAAAGAAGTGGCAGGCTGCAGCCTACACTGTGAGCCAAGCAAAGAACTGTAAGCCCCACAGTGTGAGGGGGAGACACTGCCTCCAAGATATGCACCCCCACTGGAGAATTCAGCCCATGGGGGCGGGACCTTAACCCTACCAAGTCCTGGAACTGATTTAGGGAGCAGTGGAGAATATAAAGTAGGAGAAGCAGTAGAAAGAGCCCTGTGTGCATTCCCAGTCTCCAGCATGGATTGGGGAAGCCATTCTGCCTCACAGGGGACCTTGCGGAAGTCTGCCAACCAACTCAGTCAGTGGCCACGGGTTGAGAGAAGCTCCCAACTGAAATTTGCAATCTAATCTTGAGTGGGGACAAACTCCCTTGGCCATAACCCAGGGGGGAGTGGGAAGCACGCTGCAGCCACAAACACAGGATCTGGGAGCCTGGCTTTGCTGCTGGACTGGGATAGATGTGGTCTGAAAGCCACACTTCCTGTCTCCATGATGATTGGGACAATATCTCACATCTCAATATTAGTGTTGAATGTAAATGGCCTAAATCCTCCATTTAAAAGATAACAGATTGGTAGAATGGATAAAAAGACACAAACCAAATATCTGCTATCTCAACATAGTCACCTAACACATAAAGATGCATATAAAGTTAAGGTAAAGGGGTAGTAAAATATATTCCATGCAAATGGAAACCAAAAGTGAGCAGGAGCATTCTAATATCAGATAAAACAGACTTTAAAGCAACAACAGTAAAAAGAGACAAAGAAGGTCATTAAATGATGATAAAAGGGCCAATCCAACAAGAAGATATTACAATTCTAAATTTATATGCACCAAATGCTGGAGCTCTCAGATTCATAAAATAATTACTGCTAGATGTGAGAAGTGAGATAGGCAGCAACATGCCAACACTGGGGGACCTCAATACTTCACTGACAGTACAGGACAGATCATTGAGACAGAAAGTCAACAAGGAAACAATGGACTTAGTCTACACTCTAGAACAAATGGATCTAACAGATATTTACATAACATTCTAATCAAGAACTGCAGAATATACATTCTCCTCATGAGCACATGGAACATTCTCCAAAATAGAGTAGATGAAGAAAATGTGGTACATATACACCATGGAATACTATGCAGCCATAAAAAGGAATGAGATCATGTCCCTTGGAGGGACATGGATGAAGCTAGAAGCCATCATCCTCAACAAACTAACACAGGAACAGAAAATCAAACACTGCATGTTCTCACATATAAGTGGTAGTTGAACAGTGAGAACACATGGACACAAGGAGGGGAACAACACACACCAGGGCCTGCTGAGGGTTGGGGGGAGAGTGGAGGGAAATTAGAGGACAAGTCAATAGGTGCAGCAAACCACCATGGCACACATATACATAGGTAACAAACCTGCATGTTCTGCACGTGTATCCCGTCTTTTTAGAAGAAAAAGTAATGAAACAAAAAAAGACTGTATACTAGGCTACAAAACAAGTCTCAATAAATTTTTTAAAATTAAAATTATATCAAGTATCTTCTCAGACCACAGTGGAATAAAACTAGAAATCCACTCCAAAAGGAATTTTTTAAACTACACAAATACATGGAAATAAAAAAATATGCTCCTCAATGATTTTTGGGTTAACAGTAAAATCAAGATGGAAGTTTACAAATTCTTTGAAATGAATGATAATAGTGACACAAGTTATCAAAACCTCTGGGATATGGCAAAAGCAATGCTAAGAGGAAAGTTCACTGTGCTAAATGCCTATATCAGAAAGTCTGAAAGAGCCCAAAGTGACAACCTAATGTCACACATCAAGTAACTAGAGAAATATGAACAAACTAAACCCAAAGCTGGAAGAAGAAAATAACAAAGATCAGAACAGAGCTAAATCAATTTGAAGGAAAGAAACAAATACAAAAGATGAAACAAAAAATTGGTTTTTTGAAAATATAAACAAAATTGATGGACCATTAGCTAGATTAATCAAGAAATGAAGAGTGAAGATTAAAATAAGCTCAACTATACCACAGAAATACAAAAGATTATTCACGACTATTATGAACACTTCTATGCATACAAACTAGAAAATCTAGAAGAAATGAATACACGAATATATTCCTGCAAGCATACAACCCTCCTAGATTAAATTAGGAAGGAATAAAAACCCTGAACAGACTAATAACAAGCAGTGAGATTGAATCAGTAACTTAAAAATTGCCCATAACAAAAAAAGCCCAGGACCAGATGGATTCACAGCTGAATTATACCAGACACTCAAAGAATTGGTACCAATTCTACTGAAACTATTCCAAAGGATCAGGGCAGAGAGAATCCTCCCTAACTAATTCTATGAAGCCAGTATCACTCTGACACTAAAATCAGGGATAAAATAATGAACAAAAGCAAACTATAGACCAATATCCCTGATGAACATAGAGGCAAAAACCCTCTACGAAATACTAGCTGACTGAACCCAACAGCACATCAAAAAGATAATAAACCATGATCAAGTGGGTTTCATCCCAGGGATGCAGGGATGGTTTAACACATGCAAGTCAGTAAATGTGATACGTCACATAAACAGTTAAAAACAAACACCATACGATTATCTCAATAGATGCAGGAAAAGCATTCAATAAAACCCAGCATCACTTCATGATAAAAACTCTCAACAAACTCGGCACAGAAGGGACTTACCTCAAAATAATAAAAGCCATATATGATAAACCCACAACCAACATTATATGGAATGGGGAAAAGTTGAAAGCATCCCCCCTGCGAACTGAAAGAAGACAAGGATGCCCACTCTCACCACTTCTATTCAACATAGTACTGGAAGTCCTAGCCAGAGCAGTCAGAAAACAGAAGGAAATAAAGGGCATCCAAAATGGAAAAGAGGAAGTCAAACTATTGCTGTTTGCCAATGATATGATATACCTACAAAACCCTAAAGACTCCTCCAAAAGACTCCTAGATTTCATAAACGAATTCAGGAAAGTCTCAGGTTACAAAATCAATGTACACAAATCAGTAGCAGTGCTATATACCAACAATGACCAAGCTGAGAATCAAATCAAGAACTCAATCCCCTGTACGAGGGCTTCAGAAAATAAATAAAATACCTATCAATATACTTAACCAAGGAGGTGAAAGATCTCTATACAGAGAACTACAAGACACTGCTGAAATACACTGTAGATGACACAAACAAATGGAAACACATCCCATGCTTATGGATTGGAAGAATTTCATGAAAATGCCCACACTGCCCAAAGCAATCTACAGATTTAATGAAATTCCTATCAAAATACCAACATTATTTTCATATAGCACCAAAAAATAGCCCAAATAGCAAAAGCAATCCTAAACAAAAAGAACAGATCTGGAGGCATCACATTACCTGACTCCAAACTATACTACAAGGCTAGAGTTACCAAAACAGCATGGTACTGGTAGAAGAGTAGGCACATAGACCAATGGAACAGAATAAAGAACCCAGAAATAAACCCAAACACTTACAACCAACTGATCTTTGAAAAAGCATAGAAAACCATAAACTGGGGAAAGGACACCTGTTTGATAAATGGTTTTGGTAAAACTGGATAGCCACATGTAGAAGAATGAAACTGGATCTCTATTGATGCAGGGTAAGGAGCCCCAAAGTGGGGCTTAGCCCACCAGGGTTCTTGGCTTTGCCCAGGAAAGAATTCAAGGGCAAGCTGGAGATAAAAGAAAGCAACCTTATTGAAAAGGCAGTGTTACAACTCTGGCAGTGTTTTAGCTCTGTGACTGCTCCTGCAGAGCCAGGCTACCCCATAGGCAGAGAGTAGCAGCTCAGGGAAGCTTTGCAGTCATATTTATAGCTACTTTTAATTACATGAGGGTTAAGAGTGGTTTATGCAGAAATATCTAGGGAAGGGGTAGTAACTTTTGGGTCATCAGGTCATTGCCATGGAAAGGGGCAGTTACTCCTTGGTGTTGTCATGGCAAGTGTAAACTGACATGGCATATTGGTGGGTGAGACTTATGGAAACCTGCTTCCACCTTGGCCCTGTTTTAACTAGTCCTCAATTTGGTTCAGTAACCCAGCCCGGCCTCTGAAGTTGAGTCCTGCCTCCTACCTCATTATCTCTTACCTTATACAAAAATCAACTCAAGATGGATCAACAACTTAAATCTAAGACCTGAAACCATAAAACTTCTAGAAGATTAAGTAGGAAAAAATCTTCTGGACATTGGCCTTGGCAAAGAGTTCATGGGTAAGACCCCAAAAGCAAATGCAACTAAAACAAAAATAAATTGGACCTAATTAAACTGAAAAGCTTCATATAGCAAAAGAAATTATCAGAAAACCCACAGAATGGGAGAAAATATTTGCAAACTATGCATCTGACAAAGGACCAACATCCAGAATCTACAAGGAACTCAAACAATTTAGCAAGAAAAAAAAATCCCATTAAAAAGTGGACAAATGACGTGAACAGACATTTCTTAAAAGAAGATATTCAAATGGGCAACAACATATGAAAAAAATGCTCAACATCACTAATCATCAAGGAAATGCAAATTAAAACCACAATGAGATACCACCATACTCCTGCAAGAATGACTATTATTAAAAAGTCACAAAACAATAGATGTTGGTATGACTGTGGTGAAAAGGGAACACTTATCCACTGCAGGTGGGAATGTAAATTAGTACAACATCTATGGAAAACAGAATGGAGATTTCATAAAGAACTAAAAGTTGATCTACCCTTTTGATCCAGCAATCTCACTACTGAGTATCCAAAGGAAAAGAAATCAATATATCAAAAAGGCACCTGTAGATATATGTTTATTGCAGCACAATTCACAATTGCAAAGATATGGAACCAGTCTAAGTGCCCATTGACTGATGAGTGGCTAAAGGTGCAGTGGCTCACGCCTATAATCATAGCACTTTGGGCGGCCGAGGCAGGTGGATCATGACCTCAAGAGATTGAGACCATCCTGGCCAACATGATGAAACCTCGTCTCTACTAAAAATACAAAAAATTAGCCAGGCGTGGTGGCGGGTGCCTGTAGTCCCAGCTACTTGGGAGGCTGAAGGAGGAGAATCACTTGAACTTGGGAGTTGGAGGTTGCAGTGAGCTGAGATTGTGCCACTGCACTCCAGCCTGGCAACAGAGCAAGACTCCATCTTAAAAAAAAAAAAAAAAAAAAAAAAAAAGAAAGAAAATGTAGTATATATATACACCATGGAATACTACTCAGCCACGAAAAAGAATGTAATAATGTCTCTTGCAGCCACTTAGATGGAGCTGGAAGCCATTATTCTAAGTGAAGTAACTCAGGAAAGGAAAATCGATTACCTTATGTTCTGACTTATAAGTGGGAGCCAAGCTATGGGTATGCAAAGGCAGACAGAGTGATCTAATGGACTTTGGAGACTCAGAAGCGGGAGGGTGAGAGGGGAGAGGGATAAAAAAACCTACATATTGGGTACAATGTGCATTACTTGGATGATGGGTGCATTAATATCTGAGACTTCACCACTATTAAATTCATACATGTGACCCAAACCATGCGTACCCCAAAAGCTTTTGAAATTTAAAAAATGGGCAAAAGATTTGAATAAACACTTCACCAAAGAGGATAAATGAGTGACAATTTAATGTGAAATATTCAGTATCATTCCTCATTATGGAAATGAAAATTGAAATCACAGTGAAATACCACTACAAACCTATAAGAATGGCTAAAATTTAAAAAAACAAAATACAAACTGACCATCCTATGTATTGGCAAGGAGGTGGAGGAGCTGGACCTCTCATATGCCACCAGTGGAAATGTAAAACATTAACAACGATTTGGAAAACGTCTTGACAGTTTCTTCAAAAGTGAAATGTTTACTTGCCTGTGATCCCTCCATCCCACTTCTACTCAAGACAAACGAAAGCATGTGTGCATTCAAAGATTTACACACGTATCTTCATGGTAGCTTTCATAGTAAATGCCCACAACTGAAAAAACCCAAATGTCTATCAGAAATGGACAAAGAAATTTTGTTTGATCCACAAAATGGAATGCTACTCAGTAATAAACTGGAGTGAGCTGTTGATGCATGAAACAGCACAGTGAGTCTCATTTCTGTTGACCAAAAGACAAAAGAGGAGCTATTGTTATAATTCCAGTTTGGAAAGCTGTAGAAAATGCAAACTGGGTTATAAGGGACAGAAAGCTGGTCGGGATTGCCTGGAGCTGTGGACAGGGATGGGAGAGGGCAGTGTCTCCAGGGGCACCGGAATGTATTCAGGGTGACGGACGTGTTCATTGTCATGCCTCCTGTACTGTTTATTGTATGTCAATTATATCTCAGTAGTGCTCCAAAGGGAAAAGAGGCAAGCAATCCCATGCAAAAATGTATAAAAACTTTGAACGGATACTTCATAAAAAGATATACAAATGGCCAATGAAGGCATCAAAGGTGCTTAGCATCCTTATTCACAAAACCATAAAGAACAACCACTTCATGTCACTAGATTGGCTAAAATTAAAAAAAAATCCATAAAACCAACTCTTGATGAGGACATAGAAATTCTCAAATTAGGGGGAATGCAATGCAAGCTGTTATAACCTGTATTTGGAAGCTGCTTAAAGGCTAAAGATACGTCTGTCCTTGGACTCAGCAGTTCCCCTCTGGATGTCTATCCAAGAGGAGGGACGCCTGCATTCACAGGAAAGCTGGCCCATGACTGCCCACAGTGGCTCTATCCAGAACAGCCCCAAACTGTCACCACCCAGATGTGGTCAACAAGCCCACCTTCCCCTATCCCTGTTTCTGGAGGAGGGCCACCTAGAGAGATTGTGCAGAGATAGCACAGCTTCCCTCACAGCCCTCTGCTTAGCCATGCCACCTGGAGGAGCAGGTGTGGAGGCACACAGCGATGAGGACCGTGGCCTCCACATGTTGGATGCCACATTCACGATGTCCATTTGAGTTTTTTAAAAGTTTGCCCCCTCATGTGATTGTTCTTATGACCTTTGGTGGGAAGCGGAGCTCTGGTGGAAAATTGGCCCCAGGGCATGGTGTTCTGCTCCCAGCATACACAGTAGCATCTGAGGCAGAGCAGGTTGATGCATGCTGGCCACCGTCATCCTGACTGTCTCCCCTGGTTTCCTCCCAGACAGTCCTGTCCCTGCCCTCCACTGAACACTCACAGTGACAGCTACCACCCACCCTGCACTAGCAGTCCCTCCACACCCAGACCTGTGCTCCATGGAAGCCGACCTGCTTACGGTTCCTCTGTTCACTCGGCGTGTTTGGTGTCTGTCACTCGACAGACATACACAGCCTAGGGAGAAGGGCTGCATCTTAGCTCTGCCCTTTCCTCACTGCAGGATCTTCTTTCCTCATTTGCAAAATGTGGGTAATCATGTCTGTACCATCGAGTCATTGAAAGGGTTAGAGAAAATTAAGGCATGTAAAGCCGAAAACAGCCTGGTGTAGCACTCAGTGAATAAGAGCCCCGTGGCGATGACTGTCCCTCCATCTTCTGGGTGGTTATGAGCCAACTGACCTCTAACCCCAGGCCAAGGTGGACGGGACATGGATTGGAACTCGCTGCTTTAATCATGCCCTGTGCTTTTCACTTGCCAGGTAGGAGGCTTTTGGGTGCAGCTTCTGGAAAGGCCAAAACGCAAACAGGAGCCAGAAGAGTGACAGAAGGAAGAGTGGCGGGCAAAGTAGGGTGGGCTGAGAGCAGTGCTGGCCTCACGGCATTGCGAGTCTCGGAGCAGGGCGGGCTGAGAGCAGCACTGGCCTCACGATGTCGTGAGTCTCAGCAGGGCGGGGTGAGATCAGCACTGGCCTCACGGTGTCGCGAGTCTTGAGCAGGGCAGACTGAGAGCAGCACTGGCCTCATGGTGTCACGAGTCTTCAGATAATTCCAGACTCTCAGAATGCATCATCATTAGCAGATATCCAGGAGTTCACATTGGCACCCCGTGATACTGTCAACTCGCTACAAATTTGTTGATCCCAAGTAGTTTAGGACTTAACCTCTTCAACCTCATAGATTTTGTGAACTCTGAAAACTGTTTGGGGTCTTATTTTTCAGTCTGAGAGCTCTATACCTTGGCTGCAGAGATAGCACCGTATACGCTCGTGTGAGACCCCCCTGCTTCCCTGAATGCAAAAAAGTTATTTTGTCTTGGCGACAGCACTGTTGGTAAGAATGACACCACAATTATTTCCCCTCCACACGAGTGGGCCACTTAGAGCCTGAGCACTGTTAAACACTGACACTTTCTACTGTGTTAAGACAGAGACAGAGGCAGAGATACACAGAGAGACAGAGACACAGAGAGAGACAGAGAAAATAAATGAGCTGCCAGAATCACCTCTCTAAGGCCCGAGACAGAAAGGCACAGTGAAGTCATCCCAACCCCACATTCACGAGCCGGAGCCGGAGCTGCAGCGTTCCCACCTCAGCTCCCAAACCTGGCCGCATCCGGTGCCGGCTCATTAGGAAGCCTGTGAATAGCACTGAGGCTGTGTGCTTTGTCAGGCTGGCAGCAAGCACGCCGTGATCAAGGTGCCTGTCAGTGCTGCCGGCGGGCAGTGAGACAGGGAGAAAACGTGTGTTATGTGGTCAAAAGATGTCCCAACTTGGGCTTCCTAATTTGTTTTGGATCCTCGGTGCAGGAGAATAGCTGATGAGCATGGGCAGAGACCAGTGCACACACAGGAGTCTCCTCCACCCAGAGTCTCCCGGCATGTGGGACTCCCCGGACCTCCAGGCCTTCCTGTCAGCCTGAACTCATAATTGTGCCTTTGGGACTGGGCTGGGTGGATCTCCAGGAGAGGCATGTTTGTCAAAGGAAGAGGCCTGATTTTTAGCTCTGGTACTCCCGGCCCCAGTAAAGTTGGGAGCGAGGAGAGTCACTTCCTCAGCAGTGTCACTGTTTGACAGGTGAGGGGTATGGTGCAGGGCGTGGCTCTGTGAACTGCATCAGCTGGCTCCAGGAAGCAGCTCTGATTTCCTCCAGCTGAAGAGAATCACATTCTTCCAAAACCAGGATTGCTTTTCTGACCCTTTCTAATAGCATTCTTTCAATTACGGTTGTTAATGTCTATGACTCAACTCCTAGTTCAGTCTGCAAGATGTTTGAGGACAGGGCCACATCTGAGTTATTCTTCCTTCATAGAAGTCCAGGGCTTGGCACACAGCAGCAGTAGGGGTTTGATGATGCTGATGGCGGGGGTGACACTGATGGTGTGGATGCTGCTGTGGATGGTGTGGATGATGATGGTGCTGCTGCTGCTGATGATGATGATGGTGGGAAGCTGATGGTTGAGGTGATGATGGCAGGGATCATGTTGATGGTGGAAGTGATAATGGTGGGGATGCTGCTGTGGATGGTGAAGATGATGATGGTGGGGATGCTGCTGTGGATGGTGGGATGATGATGGTGAAGATGATGGTGGTGGGGATGCTGCTGTTGATGGTGGAGATAGTGGAGATGATATTGTTGATGGTGGAAGTTGTTGCGGGAAGTCAGGGACCCCAAATGGAGGGACCGGCTGAAGCTGCGGCAAAACATAAATTGTGAAGACTTCATGGACATTTATCAGTTCCCAAAATTAGTACTTTCATAATTTCTTATGCCTGTTTTTACTGCAGTCTCTGAACATAAATTGTGAAGATTTCATGGACATTTATCATTTCCCCACTCAATACTCTTATAATTTCCTATGCCTGTCTTTAATCTCTTAATCCCATCATCTTCATAAGCTGAGGATGTATGTCACCTCGGGATCCTGTGATGATTGCATTAATGGTACAAACTGTAAAACATGTGTTTGAACAATATGAAATCAGGGCACCCTGAAAAGGAACAGAACAACAGCGATCTTCAGGGAACAAGGGAAGATAACATTAAGGTCTGACTGCCTGCGGGGTCGGGCAGAATAGAGCCTTATTTTTCTTCTTGCAGAAAGCAAGTAGGAGAAATATTGCTGAATTCTTTTCCCAGCAAGGAATAATCCTGGGGAAGGAATGCATTCCCAGGGGTAGGTCTATGAATGGCCGTTCTGGGAGTGTCTGTCTTATGCAGTTGAAGATAAGAGATGAAATTCTCCCTGGTCTCCTGCAGTGCCCTCAGGCTTACCAGGATTGGGAAATTCCAGCCTGGTGAATTCTAGTCAGACCAGTTGTCTGCTCTCGAACCCTGTTTCCTGTTAAGATGTTTATCAAGACAATGCATGCCCAGTGGGACACTCATCAGTAATTCTAATTTCACCCCCTGCCTTGTGATCTTTTATTGCCCTCTGAAGCATGTGATCCCTGTGACCTACTCCCTATTTGTACACCCCTCCCCTTTTGAAATCCCTAATAAAAACTTGCTGGTTTTGTGGCTCAGGTGGGCATCACAGAACCTGCCAATATGTGATGTTACCCCTGAAGGCCCAGCTGTAAAATTTACCTCTTTGTACTCTTTCTCTTTATTTCTCAGACTGGCCAACACTTAGGGAAAATAGAAAAGAACCTGTGTTGAAATATTGGGGGCTGGTTCCCCCAATAGGAAGTGATGATGGTGGGGATGCTGCTATTGATGGTGGGATGATGCTGATGGTGAGGGTGATGATGGTGTGGATGCTGCTGTTGATGATGGGGTGATGATGATGGTGGGGACGCTGGTGGTGTTGGTGGTGATGGGATGCTATTATTGATGGTGGAGATAGTGGAGATGCTGTTGTTGATGATTGGGGTGATGATGGTGGGGATCCTGCTATGGATGGTGAAGATGATATTGGTGGGATGCTGCTGTCGATGATGGGGTGATGATGATGGTGGGGATGCTGCTGTTGATGGTGGAAGTGATGATGGTGGGGATGCTGCTATTGATGGTGGGATGATGCTGATGGTGAAGGTGATGATGGTATGGATGGTGCTGTGGATGGTGAAGTTGATGATGGTGGGGATGCTGCTGTGGATGGTGGGATGATGCTGATGGTGAAGATGATGATGGTGGGATGCTGCTGTGAATGGTGAAGATGATGGTGGGGATCCTGCTGTGGATGGTGAAGATGATGGTGGGGATCCTGCTGTGGATGGTGAAGATGATGATGGTGAAGATGATGATGGTGGGATGCTGCTGTGGATGGTGGGATGGTGATGGTGGGGATGCTGTTGGAGATAGTGGAGATGCTGTTGTTGATGGTGGAGATAGTGGAGATGCTGTTGTGGATGGTGGAGATAGTGGAGATGCTGTTGTTGATGGTGGAAGTGATGATGGTGGGGATGCTGCTATTGATGGTGGGATGATGCTGATGGTGAGGGTGATGATGGTAGGGATGGTGCTGTGGATGGTGAAGATGATGGTGGGGATGCTGTTGTGGATGGTGGCAGTGACACTAATGGTGATAATGATACTGCTGATGACTGCCATTTATCAAGTTCCTCCTCTGAGTTGTGTGCTGAGCAAGGCACTTTTACCTATACTCTCCCTAATCCTCACAGTGGCTTTTAAAGAAAACAGAATTATTTTTCTAGTTTTGCAGGTGGTGAAAATGAGACTTCAAGAGGTTAGATAACTGGTCCAAACTTACACAAGTTACACAGAACTGACAGGATTGGGCCAGTCTTTCAGTGAGCCTTCTTTCCTGCTGGCTTTTTCAGTGTGTGGGCGAGTGGGTTCTGCTTCTCGTCATATGGAAATGCAGTGGGTTGAAGAATATTCCCAGTAGAATATCATGTCAGCTTAAACATCATCAGACTTTGGCAGAAGCTCTCGAATGCTTCATATCCACAGCTGGGCTACCCCAGAGATGCTCAGCCGGATTTCTCTTACACATAGTTTGAAGACTTCATGCACAGGAATGTCCATCGCCTGTACTGGAAATTAGTCTGTGTCTATGCCGTTAGGCTGCTAATTTCCAGGTTTGGGCAGCTACGGTCTTAAAAATTATTCCACATTGTCTTAGGAAACCTCCCTTCATTGGTATGTTGAACTGAGACTGAAAACATCTTCACAACAGGGGGTTTGAAAATGAGTCACAGAATTTTAAACTCAGAGCTGAGAGTAGAAGAAAAAGTCTAATTGGATAGTTTCTCCTCAGTTGAGATGTGGATTTCCTGACTGCTTTAAAGAATATGAAGGTATAGGCTGGGCATGGTGGCTCACGCTTGTAATCCCAGCACTTTGGGAGGCCAAGGCGGGCAGATCACTTGAGGTCAGGAGTTTGAGACCAGCCTGACCAACATGGTGAAACCCCATCTCTACTAAAAATGCAGAAAAGTTAGCTGGGCCTGGTGGCGCGTGCCTGTAATCCCAGCTGCTCAGGAGGCTGAGGCAGGAGAATCACTTGAACCCAGGAGGTGGAGGTTGCAGTGAGCCAAGATCACGCCATTGCACTCCAGCATGGGTTACAGAGCGAGACTATGTCTTAAAAAAATGTGTGTGTGTATATATATATATATATATATATATATATATATATATATATGTGTGTATATATATGTGTGTATATATATGTGTGTATATATGTGTGTATATATATGTGTGTATATATGTGTATATATATGTGTGTATATATGTGTGTATATATAGTGTATATATATGTATGTGTGTATATATGTGTATATATGTGTGTATATATATGTGTATATATATGTGTGTATATATGTGTATATATGTGTGTATATATATGTGTATATATATATGTGTGTATATATATGTGTATATAATGTGTATATATGTGTATATATATGTATGTGTATATATATGTGTATATATATGTATGTGTATATATATATGTATGTGTATATATATATGTATGTATATATATGAAGGATAAGGTAAAGTAAATAATTGTAATAATAGTAGTAGTCATAGCCATTAACACTTCCGTGCCAGATACTATTATTATTATCCTTGTTTTACAGATTACTTAAATAGTGTGCTGAAGCAAAGGTCATTAAGCTCGTAGCATTGGTGGTAGTTTAAACCCAGGCAGCTCCAGAGCCAGTTCCTTTTCCTTGGGGACCTCAAACCGTGAAAGAGCCAGTCAGCGTGAGAATACTTTTCTTTACTGCCCATGTTCCCAACTCTCAGGCCCTCTTGGTTATGGGATGGTCACCTCACCTTGGTGAGAAACACCCCAGTGTCTGCAATCATCTATTGAGTAGCCGGAGTGGCTTGCAAAAACCGATGTTTGCTATTATTTCTACAGGCTCTGTTGTTTGTGCTAACTACTGAAATATTCTTTTTCCTCTTCACCTTAATTTGATTCAGAACATAAACCAAAAATAGATTGTTTATCCAAGTCTACTGCACAGATCACACTCTGCTGTGATTGTGTAATGCACTGAACCTAGTCAGTCCTGCACCTGGAGCTTCCAACTCAACTTTAATTAAAGGCCCTTTGCGTGGAAGCTCCAGGTTACTGCATTCATAGCAATGAGGGGAAAGCCACTTGCAGGCACATAACGAGGGATTTGGACGCAGATCCCCACCCCCCAGCACGGTGGCTGACCAGGTGTTCAGAGACAGCCTTTGCAAGAGGGAGTGCAGGCTGAGCTGGAGATTGACACTTACACCCAATTTGTGGGAAATTGCTAGAGGGGCTGTTTGTTGTGGTGGCATTCACTGTCTCTCGCTCGCTCGCTCTCGCTCTTTCTCACGCTCTTGCTCTCTCACATATTCTCTTTCTTAAGGGAAGAATAGTTGATTTCAGCTAGTCCTTGGACAAATTTAAGCAATTTGGATGATAGCTATAGTCACATCACTTTAGAAATAATAATTAAAATATCTTAGAGATAATGGCTGGGCACAGTGGCTCATGACTGTAATCCCAGCACTTTGGGAGGCTAAGGCAGGCCCATCACTTGAGGTCAGGAGTTCGAGACCAGCCTGGCCAACATGGCGAAACCCCATCTCTACTAAAAACACAAAAATTAGCAGGGCGTGGTGAAGGGCACCTGTAATCCCAGTTACTCAGGAGGCTGAAGCAGGAGAGTCGCTTGAACCCCAGAGGTGGAGGTTGCAGTGAGCCGAGATGTGCCACTGCACTCCAGCCTGGGCGACAGTGAGAGACTCCGTCTCAAAAGAAAAAAAAAAATCTTAGAGATAATGTCCGATTTCCTTTTTTGACAGAAGAAAATTGAGTCTTTAGGGGTCAAGTAATTTACCCAAGTTCATATATGAGAACTGAAATCAGAACCTAATTCAACCTGGCCAGGCGCGGTGGCTCACGCCTGTAATCCCAGCACTTTGGGAGGCTGAGGCAGGCGGATCACTTGAGGCCAGGAGTTTGAGACCAGCCTGGCCAACATAGTAAAACCCCATTTCTACTAAAACACACACACACACACACACACACACACACACACACACACTCACAAAAGCAGCCAGGTATGGTGGTGTGTTCCTGTGGTCCCAGCTACTTGGGAGGCAGAGACATAAGAACTGCATGAACCAAGGAGGCAGAGGTTGTAGTGAGCTGAGATTGTGCCACTTCACTCCAGCCTGGATGAAAGAGGGAGACTCTGTCTCAAAAAAACCCAGAAAAACCAAACAACCCCAACCTCTATCAACCCACTTCCCAACTCCCAGGTTGCTACTCAAAAATCTAACTCAGAGGATGAACCCAAATATTTTCGGAAATAGCCAGACTCAGGAGCTGGACCCCCTTACCTTACTGTCAGTGATGGCTGCACACCCTTAGCTAGTGCCGAGGTGTCCACCTCCACTGACATGACATTGATCATGTGCCCCAAGGAGGTGCAAGTAGAAAATATGAACGGATGGGATTTAAACTGGGGTGTCCACACACCCATGCACGCCTCCAGGGAGCTCAGCTTGTGTGTCCAGGATTCGAAAGTCTCTAAGCTGGAAATTATTCATACTCAGCCTGTCCATGACATTTTGATGAAGCCCAAGTCAGAGGTACAATGTGGGGACTTTTCACATTTTTACAGCTGCCCTAGAGGTGAGGACAGCTGGGCCTTGGTTTATCTAGTGACACAAAGTGTGATGAGGACATGTCCTCTTAACGGAATTTTACTAAATGAGTGAGGAGAAAATATAGACAGAAATCCCATGAAAGACTGTTAGCCAGGGCATTGACTAGTAAATGATGTGATAGGTAATTATCGAACAAGAGACCCTGGCATCTTCCCTGCTGCAGCACACTGCAGTTAAAAGAGCAGGCAGCAAACATGTTTCAGGTCTTCAGTAAAGAAGTTGGAGTGAAGACCTCCAGACAAGGCACTTGAGGCCTCTGCTGAGGGTTGCTGAAAGAGAGATTCAGCTATTGGGGAGCAGCTTTTCAGGGTTAAAATAAAAACCAGTGCAGGCAAAAAATACAAACAGACATTTCTTCAGAGAAGATGTAGGAGTGGTCAATAAGGGCACACAAAGATGCAGCATCATTAGCCACCAGGGAGGCACCGCCGAGCCTCATGAATGTGTCTGGGAGCAGCTCCTCTCATTGCTGTGAATGCAGTAACTCCGAGCTGCCGTGCAAAGGACCTTTAGTTAAAGCTGAGTTGGAGGCTCCAGGTGCAGGACATACTAGGCTCAGTGCATTATGCAAGTGACACAGCACGGTATTGCTTTCCAACTGCTAGGACAACCATAGTAAAAACAGAAGGAAAGTAGCAAGTGTTGGCAAAGATGCAGAGGAACTGGCATCTGCATCCATTACTGGTGAGATTGTTTGTGGTGCTGCTGTGCTGGAAAACAGCTTGGGAGTTCCTCAGTCAGTTAAATGTCGAGTTACCATGTAATATCCTCGAATAAACCCAAGAGAATTGAAAACACATTGATACACAGACTCATAAATGAATACTCATAGCAGCATTATTCAAAATAGCCAAAAGGTAGAAAAAAGCAAATGTCCATCAACTGATAGGTGAATTTTTAAAATGTGGGATATACATGCAGTGGGATAGTACTTGGCTGAAAGAGGAAGGATGTCCTGGCCCATGCCCCAGCATCAGCATGGGTGCACCTGAGGACATTATGCTTAGGGAAATGAGCCAGGCACAGATGCCACACATGGTGTGATTCCATTTACACCAAACGTCCAGAAGAGACTCCTCCATAGAGACTGAAAGCGAATGAGCAGTGTCAGGGTGGGAGGGAGGAATGGGAACACTGCAAAGTCTCTTTTTGGGTGATGCGGATGTTCTGGACTTAGTAGTGATGTCTCACAACTCTGAATACACTAAAAACTGCTGATGTGGGTGAATTATCTCCATAAAGCTGATATTAAAAATAATGCAGGAACAAATATGAAATAGGGACCTGGGTTGGTCAGTGTGAAAATGAGAGTCCTGTTTTGGCTTTACATTTCAGAGATGTCCAGGGCTGTTTAGGACCTTGAACCTGAGACCGAAGGGCATCTTTGTACCCCCAGGGCTGTTTAGGACCTTGAAAACTGAGACTGAAGGGCATCTTGGTGCCCCCAGCTGACGATGGAAATGTGACTCTTGCTCTGTTTTGCTCTCCTTTCCTTCAGGGTGATGACCGCTTCTCCGAGAGCATCCTGACCTATGTGGCCCACACGTCTGCGCTGACCTACCCTCCCGGGTCCCGGACCCAGCTCCGCGAGGACCTCCTGCCGCGGACCCTCGGCCAGCTCCAGCCAGATGAGCTCAGCCCTAAGGTGGACAGTGGTGTGGACAGACACCATCTGATGGCGGCCCTCAGTGCCTATGCTGCCCAGAGGCCCCCAGCTCCCCCCGGGGAGGGCAGCCTGGAGCCACAGTACCTTCTGCGTGCACCCTCAAGAATGCCCAGGCCTTTGCTGGCACCAGCCGCCCCCCAGAAGTGGCCTTCACCTCTGGGAGATTCCGAAGACCCCTCCAGCACAGGCGATGGTGAGCCAGCCCCGCTTGGTGTTTCTTGTTTGCTGACTGTCCTCTGTCCAGCCCCTCCCAGTGACAGACGCACCATGCTCTTCCCACACGTGGGGTCTGCACACCGCACTCCCCCGAGGACGCGTGGCAGGAATGGGGCACCATGTAGGGAAGGGTCCCTTCGGCCCTCATACCCTCTCTGTGCTGGGAAGGAGTATGTGGTCATTTCACGTCCTGGGAACGCAGTGGCCAGTGAGAGGCGGGAGGTGATCCTGACAGTGGGATGGAGAAGGCGCTGCTGAGGGTGTGAGGACAGTGAACACAGCGGCCAGTGGGAGGGGAGGTGATCCTGAGGGTGTGAGGACAGGGAACGCGGCGGCCAGGGGGAGGAGGAGATGATCCTGAGGGTGTGAGGACAGGGAACGCGGCGGCCGGGGGGAGGAGGAGATGATCCTGAGGGTGTGAGGACAGTGAACACAGTGGCCAGTGGGAGGGGAGGTGATCCTGAGGGTGTGAGGACAGGGAACGCGGCACCCGGGGGGAGGAGGAGATGATCCTGAGGGTGTGAGGACAGGGAACGCGGCGGCCAGTGGGAGGAGGAGATGATCCTGAGGGTGTGAGGACAGGGAACGCGGCGGCCGGGGGGGAGGAGGAGATGATCCTGAGGGTGTGAGGACAGGGAACGCGGCAGCCAGGGGGAGGAGGAGATGATCCTGAGGGTGTGAGGACAGTGTGTGTTCCCTTCTCACTTCTTGTTCATCCCTTCCCCAGATTTTATGATTTCACAATTCTACTGCTGAAGCTGATGGATGGGGCGGGCAACATGGCTTGCAGGACGGGTCTGGCCCACAGCTTGTGTCATCCATATCTGTTTTGGAAAATTGACTCTGAACACGTTAAGTCCAGTGTCCTTTGTCGCTGAACTCACCTCTCCCTGTGGCCCAGCATGTGACCGTAGCCCATATTTATGGCGGTTTGCCACATCCTCCGAAGCCCCCTGTCTGGATTTCATGCTGCTCACCATGCACTAGCTGAACAGTGTCGGCCTCGAGGTGACTGCTCTGCCAAGACCGTGGCTTCCGGTGTCGCTACCTGAGTTAAGCCACGTCAGGGCGGGCCCAGGGGAGAAAGGCGTTTGCGGGTTCCTGCGACTCTTTGTGATATGGAGAAGGTTCCGACCCATTTATTTCCCAACAGCCTTTTCCCAAGACCATCCTGCAGTGGGTTCTGATAAAACATGACTTCCCTTTTGGAGATAACAAATACTAAAATTTCACAAACATTGCCTGAGCATCGCGTTATGTGAGCACTCTCTGCTCCTTAAGTGAAGGCTGAATGGGAGCCGCTGAGAGCGAGCATCAGCTTCTCTGCTGTCTGCAGCCGGGAGCTCTCCTGCCCTCGCTCTTTCTTTGTTCATGCAGCCGTTATGGCAGTTTTTAAATAGAAGGAATGTGAAATTGCAATTAGAGGGAAGGACGTGTGACCATTACCGATGCTTTCTCCTTGTTCCTCTCTTGGAGGAGAAGGACGGCGGAGGAGGCCGATGCTGCACTTGAGTGAGTGCTGCTGGAGCATTGATGGTGCTGTTTGCTACGGGAGCTGCCCGCCTGGAGTGGCCACTTTCCCTCCAGCACCTCTCCCTCTGGGACGACGTCTCCTCTGTTCTAAGCCATGCTCTACTCCGAGAAACCCCTTTCCTTGATGGTCCTGCCTCCTGCACTTGCGTGGGTACTAGACACCATCAGGGTCTTCACTGCCTCCTGCACTTTCGTGGGTACTAGACACCATCGGGGGTCTTCACTGCCTCCTGCACTCTTTGTGTACTAGACACCATCAGGGGTCTTCACTGCCTCCTGCGCTTTCGTGGGTACTGAATGCTATCAGGGGTCTTCACTGCCTCTTGTGGGTACTAGACACCATCGGGGGTCTTCACTGCCTCCTGCACTCTCGTAGGTCCTGGACGCTATCAGGGGGTCTTCACTTGCGACCTTGGGTCCGTGTAGCTGCCGAGCTTCCTGTTCTCCTCCAGCTCAGTGTGGCCTCAGCCCTTGGCCACAGGCGGTGAATACATGGCTGAGGTGACCTTCAGCTTCTCATCTCAGCCTTCCTTGCCCCTCCCCGGCACCGGCTGCCCCTCTACCTGCATTCTCCCACCTCTATACTCCTTCTAGTGGGGTCACTTTGGGTCGTCCTCTTCCTTCTCTAACCTCCCTTTTCTCTCTCCTATCCCATCTCCCACAGCTTAAAAAGCCCCATTCACCTCTGTCCTCATTATTGGGAACAGAAAGCAATAAACATCGTCGCCCCCATCAGAGGGAGGGAAACCCAGCTGGAGAGCCGGGTGAGGGTGAGCTCACAGAGAGAATAGGACGCATTCCTGCTCTGCGTGCCTTCCCTACGTGCGCGCCTTCCCTACGTGCGCGCTCCCGCTCTGAGCCCTCCCTACGCGCGCGCTCCCGCTCTGCGAGCCCTTCCTACGCGCGCGCTCCTGCTCTGCGTGTCCTTCCTACGCACCCTCCTGCTCTGCGAGCCCTTCCTACGCGCGCGCTCCTGCTCTGCGTGTCCTTCCTACGCACCCTCCTGCTCTGCGTGCCCTTCTTACGCGCCACTCCTGCTCTGCGTGCCCTTCTTACGCACGCGCTCCTGCTCTGCGTGCCCTTCCTACGCACGCGCTCTTGCTCTGCGTGCTCTTCCTACGCGTGCGCTCCTGCTCTGCGAGCCCTTCCTGCGCGCTCCTGTTCTGTGTGCCTTTCTTATGCACCGGGGAGCTTCACCTCCCTGCCTTGGCGCCTTCTCGTTCCTCCCACACCCCAGGGTGTGGATCTTCGGAACAAGCGTCCTGACCGTGCTCTCTCCACTCTCCCGTGATCCCTACGAGTTACACAATGTGCTTGGCATTCTTCCTGAGCTACCCTGCGATGCTGGTGATATTCTGATAAAAACTGACTTCCAAACTGCACTGTGCGCTTTAGAAAAGCCTCATGTAAAACGGCAAATAGGAAATACGCAGAGAGAATTGAGAACCCCATGCAGGTATCACCTATGAAATACACAGAGAATACTGATCACCTATGAAATATGCAGAGAGAATTGAGAACCCCGTACAGGCGTCACCTACGAAATATACAGAGAATATTGAGAACCCCGTACAGGCGTCACCTATGAAATAGAATTGAGAACCCCGTACAGGCGTCACCTATGAAATAGAATTGAGAACCCGGTACAGGCATCACCTATGAAATACACAGAGAATATTGATCACCTATGAAATAAGCAGAGAGAATTGAGAACTTCATACGGGCGTCACCTAAGAAATATACAGAGAATATTGAGAACCCCGTACAGGCGCCACCTATGAAATATACAGAGAATATTGAGAACCCCGTACAGGCGTCACCTATGAAATACACAGAGAATATTGATCACCTATGAAATAAGAAGAGAGAATTGAGAACCCCGTACAGGTATCACCTACAAAACACGCAGAGAATATTGAGAACCCGGTACAGGCGTCACCTATGAAACACGCAGAGAATATTGAGAACCCCGTGCAGGCATCACCTATGAAACACGCAGAGAATATTGAGAACCCCGTACAGGCGTCACCTATGAAATAGAGAGAATTGAGAACCCCGTGCAGGTATCACCTATGAAACACACAGAGAATATTGAGAACCCCGTACAGGCGTCACCTAAGAAATAGAGAGAATTGAGAACCTGGTATAGGCATCACCTATGAAATATACAGAGAATATTGAGAACCCCGTACAGGCATCACCTGTCTCCCACAAGTGGTGACTCTCAGGCTTTCCTGATGCTCCTCTGCGCCCACTACAGCCCCCTGCTCTGCCCTGGGATGATTCTAAAGCAAATCCAGACATCGAATGATTTCTGAAGATGTGAGGCCCTAGCTAGACAGACATTCTCAACACACAAAGAGCAACTGCACCCGAGCAGGAAGGGAGGACCCTGTGATAATGCCAGGGAACAGAAAACTTCTTTACAGGTCAGAGAACAGGGCCACCCTCCTGTCGCACGGTCGGGTCCAACATGAGACCCTTGCTGTTTAGTCTTCAGAGAGTGGGAGAGAAGACCCACGCGTACCTGCTCCCAAAGAAGCAGTCAGTCAACGAGGCTGCGGGCTGAACGCATATGACAAAAGTTTACCTGGTAAAAGCTTTAAAAAGAGACTCTCTTCCTTCACTTATTCATAATTCACATCTGGTCTCCTTTCAAAGAGCTTTAAAGCAGGTTCAGTGGAAGGCCTATCTAAGGTGGGGTGACGGGGAGGACAACAGGTGACGTGCAGTGGCCGGTGAAGGAATTTGGGGCTCATCTAGTTCAGCGTCTCCAGTTTCCCCACTCGAGACCTGGCAACCATGGACCTTGTTGCTGTCTCCATAGTTTGCCTTTTCCTGAATGTCCTGGAGTTGGAACCTTACAATATGTGGCCTTTTCAGATGGGTCACATGCCTTGAAGATTCCCCCATCTTTTCATGGCTCGATGGCTCATTTCTCTTTAGTGCTGAATAGTATTGTATTATTACATTATAATCCATAACACTCCATTGTATAGATGGGCCACAGTTTATTCGCCTACTGAGGAACATCTTGGTTGCTTCCATGTATTGGCAATTATTCATAAAGCTGCCATAAGCACCCTCATGCAGGTTTTTGTGTGGATATAAGTCTTTAACTTCTACTGGTTAAGTACCAAGGAGTGTAATCACTGGATCACATAGTAAGAGAATGTTTGGTTTTGGAAGCAGCCACCAAACTGTCTTCCCCAGTGGCTGTGGCATTCTGCATTCTGCGTGCCACCAGTGGTGAATGAGCTGCTGTTGCTCCACATCCTCGCCTGCATTGGGTGTTGTCAATGTTCTGGGTTCCGGCCCTTCTGAGAGGTGTGTGGTGGTGTCTCGTTGTCATTTTCATTCACATTTCCCTGATGATGGAGGAAGCAGAGCATCTTCACATGCTTGTTTTCATCTGTGTATCTTCTGTGGTGAGGTGTCTGTGGTGGTCTCTGGGCCATGTTTTAATTAGGCTGTTTGTTTTCTTATTGTTGAGTTTGTAAAGTTCTTGAATATTTTAGATATTGGTCCTTTATCAGATATCAGATATGTCTTTTGTAAACATTTTCTCCAGTCTGTGGCTTGTATTTTCATTCTCTTGACAGCGTCTTTTGCAGAGCATTAGTTTTTATTTTAATGAAGTCCAGCTTACCAATTATTTTATTCATGGATTTTGCCTTTGGTGTTGGATTTTAAAAAGTCATCACCAAACCCAAGGTCATCCAGAGTTTCTCCTCTCTTACCTTTAAGGAGTTTTATGGTTTTTCATTTTATAATGAGGTCTGTGACCCATTCTGAGTTAGTTGTGAAAGGTGTAAGGTCTGCATCTGGAATTGTTTCTGTACATGTGGACATCCAGTTGTCCAGCACCATTTGTTAAGAGGCGATCCTTTCTCCATAGCATCACCTTTGCTCCTTTTCAAAGCTCGGCTGACCTCATGTATGTGGACCCATGTCTGGGCTCTCTGTTCTGTTTCATTGATCTGTTTGTCTGTGTCATCAACCCCACCCTGCCTGGATTCCTGTGGAGTTGGAGTGAGTCGTAACAATGGGTGTAGTGCATCCTAATGATGGGTGCTGTTGTCCTCCGCCTTTGTTCTTCTTCAGTATTGTGTTGGCTGTTATGGGTCACTCGCCTCTACATATAAACTTTAGAATAAACTTGCTTGTATCCAAAAAATGACTTGCTGGGATTTTGACTGGGATTTCATTAAATCCATAGATCAAGTTGGAGAACTGACATGCTGACAATATTGAGTCTTTGGGAGCCAGTCATAATCCTGAAAGACACAATCCTGAATGCCATAGTTCTGAATGTTAAGATCCTGAAATATCAAAATCCCTAAGGTCCCTAAAATCCTGAAAATCACAGTCTCAAAATATCAAAATCCCAAAAATGTAATTCTGGAAAAAATTATTTAAAAGACATTTATTTACATTTTTAAAAGGGAATTTATTTGCAAAATATATAAAATCGTGACAAAACACTTCATAGGCCATTTTACACAATAAAATAAGCAATAATAACATTCGTATTTTTGCAGACATAAGCCCTCAGATATCTTGACGACAGTTGCATGGGCATCACACTTATGAGCAGATGAACTGTGTTTATGAAGACATAGGTCAGGAAGGGAGATGTATAAAAGCATGTCCCTCTGCTTGGTAATTGTGTGCACCCAGCTGTATAACTGCAGGCATCTGAAATACCCTGATGAACAACCTAAGGCTTTTGACAAGATGAGTCAAAAACCCTGATGGGTCACTGCTGCATAAACAGTCGAAGAGCTGAGATCTCAAGAAATTGTATCTTTCGCAAATGCAGATGTACAAAAAGGACATTCTTCATTTATTGAGGAAGTTGCAGTGTTTTTGCATTGAGAACCAGGGAAGCTGATGATGTAACTCTCAGTCTGAAGACCCAGGGACGGCTGGTGTGAGTCCTGGAGTCCAAAGGCCGCCAAACCTGGAGCTCTGATGTCCAGGGCAGCAGAAGGAAAGTCTGCCCCAGCACTCAGAGGGAGCCTAATTCACCCTCTGTGTTTGTTCTCTCTGGGCCCCAGCTGTTTGGACAGTGCCCGCCCACCAACACTGAGGCAGACCTTCCCCCAGCCCTCTCAGACTCCACCCCAATCTCCCTGGAGACACCTCCCAGAAACACCCAAAATGAAGCTTTACTGGATTTCTAGGTATTCCTTAACCCAGTCAAGTTGACACTTAAAACGAAGTCTACAGTTTCACCCCTTGTCAACTTGGCACTCACACACAACTCCTTAAGTTATGCTTAATTTCCAAATAAAGACAATAACAAGCTAATAGCTCCACCCAGCAGGATGCAACTCTCCTGTGGTTATGATTTAGGGGATTTTAAACATTAGCAACACTAGACTTTTGGGATTTAGACTCTATTTAGAGATTTTGATATTCAGATATTTGGGGATTTCACTATTTGGGATTATGGCAATTGGGACTGTATCTTTTGAGATTATGATCCAAACCCATGTCCTGCTAGCCATGAGCATGTAATATTTATACGCTGCTTCTCCATTTCTTTACTTTTGCTTTCTTTCATCAGTGCTGTAGTTTTTTTTCATATAGATACGGTACTTGTGTAATGCCATACTTTCAGCTCAAGACTCTGATGACAGCGAAAGCGTTTTGGAAATCACTTTAGGAGATGCATCAGACACCGTTTTCTAAATGAACCAATGACAAATAATGTGTGGGGTGTCCACTGTTGTAATCCTTGCTCATTGATCAAACACCAGCCACACTGAACGGGAAACAAAACCGGTAACCAACCTGTTAGAACCCTTTCTTTCATCATCTTGGTTCTGCGCCCTCCAGAGCCTGGATGGGAATTACAAGTCCCTAATTCACATCATGACGACTGACTTTTGGTTCTGAATTTCACATTGCAACCTCATCCCAACATACCTGATATTTCTTCTATTCAGGTGTCTTATTATACTATCGCTTGTATGGCCAAGGTAATCACGGGTCTCCACCCAGCCAGCCTCTGTCCTAAGATGGGGCCCGTGGTGTTCATGTGGGAAGTGCACTCGGAAACTCATGTGGAAGCTGGAAGAACTTGTTTCTGCTGCCGGCCGTGCAACTCTCCAGCCATGCAACGCTTCGCGTGGTTATTCCCAAGTTCACTCATTCATTCAGAAAGCACTTGCAAAGTCCCGGCCAATCACACGGGCTCCTGATTCTCCCAAGTTCACTCATTCATTCAGAAAGCACTTGCAAAGTCCTGGCCAATCACACGGGCTCCTGATTCTCCCGCGTTCACTCATTCATTCAGGAAGCCCTTGCGAAGTCCCGGCCAATCACACGGGCTCCTGATTCTCCCGAGTTCACTCATTCATTCAGGAAGCCCTTGCGAAGTCCCGGCCAATCACACGGGCTCCTGATTCTCCCGAGTTCACTCATTCATTCAGGAAGCCCTTGCGAAGTCCCGGCCAATCACACGGGCTCCTGATTCTCCCGAGTTCACTCATTCATTCAGAAAGCCCTTGCGAAGTCCCGGCCAATCACACGGGCTCCTGATTCTCCCGCGTTCACTCATTCATTCAGGAAGCACTTGCGAAGTCCCGGCCAATCACACGGGCTCCTGATTCTTCCGAGTTCACTCATTCATTCAGAAAGCCCTTGCGAAGTCCCGGCCAATCACACGGGCTCCTGATTCTCCCGAGTTCACTCATTCATTCAGAAAGCACTTGCGAAGTCCCGGCCAATCACACGGGCTCCTGATTCTCCCGAGTTCACTCATTCATTCAGAAAGCACTTGCGAAGTCCCGGCCAATCACACGGGCTCCTGATTCTCCTGAGTTCACTCATTCACTCAGAAAGCACTTGCGAAGTCCTGGCCAATCACATGGGCTCCGCTCCCAGTTCTCTCCCCTCATCCAAAATAAGCGTGTTCTGGTCCTCTTCTCCTTCGAGCCTTCCGTGACCCTGAGGTCCTGCGTTGGCTGGTGGGGTGCCCACTTCCTTGTCGTGTTGGTGGTGGGAATCCCAGCCTGAAAACCCTCACAGAGAAGGGCGTGTTCCCCGCAGCCCAGTCTCAGGAGGGCACTGAACCAAAGCTTTGACTTTTCACGGTGACAGCAGTAGATTATAACACAGAAATAACTGATACCAATGCTTCTGTCACTTTGGAGAAAATATGCCCACACTTTTGGGGTCATTTTCACTTGAAAGGAAGCACCTGCTGCCTTTTCGTTTTTGAAGAAATTCATTCATATTTGAATGCATCCCAGTGCTGCTCAGTGCTCTAAACCCAAGCACGCCTCTTGGCTTAAAAAAAAAAAATTAGAAGAGAATTGGCCACCTAATCACTGGCACACAGAGGCCGCCTCTCACAGGCTGCTCCAGGAGGAAGCCACTGATAAATTGTTAATCTCGGATCCATGCCCCTGGCTGGAGTTCACGAGCACCCTCTAAAGCAGGAGGAGAAGGCACCTATGTTATCAAAGTGCCTTTCATCCTAGCGAAACAGTCCCGGGCTCAGTGTGCACTGCCTGAGGCCTTTCTTCCTGTGTGTCAGCACACCGTGGAGTCAGCAGCAGCGCACTCTCTCCCAGGGGAGCAGGCGCAGGAGAGGGCACCCGGGGTGCTGGGGGGGTCACTCTGTGGCTTATATAGCGGGAACAGGGTTCGTCTCACTGCACCTTGAGGACACACCCACCTGCTCAGCAACCCTGACGTGGATGCGCCCAGTGCGGGGTGGCAGCGGCCGTGTGTGGCTGGCAGCCTCGGACCTGCGTGTGGCTGGCAGTCCCGGACCTGCACTGCTCGGCTCCACCCAGCTCATGTCTTCTCCCAGGGGGAGGAGGCTCCCCGACTTCTGCACTAGTGCAGAGTCACTGCTTTCAGATTTGGGAGAAGTAAGAGTCATAAACTGCCCCCATGTGAGAAATCTCTTCCCCGGTGTTTGGCTGATGTCCTTACAGACTCTGCTTAAACACCTCTGAGGTCACTGCTTTCCTGCCAGGTCCATGCTGCTGTAAGCCAGCTGCATTTGCTGGAAAGATTTTTACTTTGAGAATTGGGTTGAAATTTGCCTCTGTCTGACTAGGAATTGGCAGGGCACCTAAAGGCACCTCACTGTCACTGCCCAACCCCTGAGGTTTTCCTCCCACCACCTTCTGCCATGGCTCCAAGGGGGAGGCCTTCCAGAGCCACATGGAACAGGGGTGCTCTCTGCTGTGTTAGCACAATGGGGAGGCCTTCCAGAGCCACATGGAACAGGCGTGCTGTCCGCTGTGTAAGCACAATGGGGAGGCCTTCCAGAGCTACATGGAACGGGGGTGCTGTCCGCTGTGTAAGCACAATGGGTAGGCCTTTCAGAGCCACATGGAACAGGGGTGCTCTCCACTGTGTTAGCACAATGGGGAGGCCTTCCAGAGCCACATGGTACAGGGGTGCTGTCCGCTGTGTTAGCACAATGGGGAGGCCTTCCAGAGCCACATGGAACAGGGGTGCTCTCCGCTGTATAAGCATCCTCTGCATATGATGTCATCCTTCCTGTCACTTTTCCAAATCTCCCCAGTTCCAACCTGAACGCTGGTGGTTAATGGAGACCGCTGATTACATGGTGATGCTTCCGCTCTGAGGGCACAGGGCAGGTGTAGGGAAGGCACTGGGGGAGCCTTTCCCCTTCCCACGGGTGAGTGCGTCACAGGCTGGAACTGGGGGCTCGAAGCCCCAGGGCGTTCTATGCAGCAGTTGGTTTGCTTTGGGTCTGATCATGCCGAGCGTCTGACTGCAGCTGTGTGTTCACCTGCCCTCTCCACCGGCATTTCTAGAACTTTTCGAGGTAACTGTTCCCATTACGAGGGCGTTTCTGCAGATGTCGGCTTAGCTCATTTAGCGAATGTGGGCAGCTCCGAAGTCCCAACCCTCTGACATCTGTAAAACATTTTCTCTTCTGGTCTTACCTGCCACCCAGTCCACGGTGAGCTGCGTTACCTGTCGTCCGTCAGTTCACGTTCTGAGTGTGCAAACTCACACTAACATGAACCTAAAGGAAGCAGTCTTTAGAAAGCCATTTGACTGCCAATCCCCACACCCCACTGAAGTCATGTCATTAATGCCAGAGCTAATTGGATATATTTTTTTCTTCTTTGCCTCAGTATTGCATTCAATAGAGAAAGTGTCAGACTGGGTGAATGCTGAGCCCTGTGAGTGCAAAATATTGCGGCATGACAGTGCAGGAGAAGCTTCATCCCAGGCTGCAGCATGGGCACTTTTCATTAGTCAGGGAGAGATGCACACTACTCAGCTGTGATTCCTTACCCCCTCATATTGGAAGCAGAATATATTTTACTACACTTGTGTTGTTTCCAGTGAAAATAGACAACATGCTGGCATATGATTATGTCAGTTTCTCCCTGTGGAAGCCCAAATGAGGAGAGAATGCGATAATGAGCTCCTACTGAATTTACCTGAATCCTCTGCAAATACCCAAGTTTTGGACCCCAGCAATTAAATGGGCTGTATGTCCTCTAAACCAAAGGAGCACAGTCCATTCCCCATGATGGTGGGTGATGGTGATGATGGTGGTGATGATGATGGTGTTGATGATGGTAATGATAGTGTTGATGGTGATGATGATGGTGATGGTGATGATGGTGATGATGGTGATGGTGATGATGGTGTTGACGGTGATGATAGTGCTGATGGTGATGGTGATGATGGCACTGGTGATGGTGATGATGGCAATGATGACGGTGGTGATGATGGTGATGATAGTGTTGATGGTGATGGTGATGATGATGGTGATGATGGTGATGGTGATGATGGCAATGATGATGATGGTGTTGATGGTGATGATAGTGCTGATGGTGATGGTGATGATGGCATTGGTGATGATGGTGATGGTGATGATGATGGTGATGGTGATGATGATGGTGATGATGGTGTTGGTGATGGTGGTGCTACTGATGGTGATGATGGGTGTTCAGATGTGGCTAACTGTGTACCTTCATATATACATGGTTGTAAAGGCACTTAGGAGCAAAAGCTGTTGTGCATGATTCCCATTGTCTTTGTGAAAACAATGTTGTGGCGAGGTTATCTGCAGGCTGTTGCTGATTGTTTAAAGCTTGTACCATTTTGTTTGGAAGGCCCTACAATGACATATAATTTCAATAGGCCTGGCTGTGGCAGTTGAGAATGCAGAGTCATGTGAGCTGATCTCTTACTCCAGGCTTTACACATTTAATATCCTGACATTTTGTGTAATTGCCTTATGAGAGCCCAGTTGGAGCACTGAAAGCTACTTAAAATGTCATTATGAACTGGCCAGATTGCAGAATTACGTGGTGCAGTTGATGGAACACAACGTTTTACTTTGATATTCTTGTTATCTGTGCTCTGTGCTGCCGCCCTTCTTCAACCCACCAGGGCTCACTGGATGCTGCAAAACATACTTCCTCATTTCTCTTCATCTTCAAATGGCAGGTAGTGGATGCTTCTGAGATAACTCAGCATGTTCATAAAATGCTGTGTGTGTGGTTTGTAGAGGTTACATGGGAGGGGATCCCTAGTATGCATTAACTGTTCTCCCATAAGCTGCCCAGCAACTTAGAATTTTCTCTTATATACTTATGATTTTTTTTAAAGTTATTTTTCATTAATGATAACCTAAAAAGTTTCTTTTTCAGATGAGGGGAAGTAGTTTTTGGAATTGTACTTTATTATTCCATTTTGAAGGTGGATGTTTCCTATTATAGTGATTCTAAGAGGCCCACTGAAAATGCCTCCTGTTCTCTGATCTTTACCATAAAGAACATGAAGTTTTATTTCAGGGCAGTTGTATTTCTGCTCTCCCATCCATTTAACAAGACTCGAACCAAAGGGAGTCAAAGGAAAAGGGATGCGTAGCAGCCATAAGAGAGAGTTTTTCTGAGTTGTTAAATGTTACAGCGGTGTTAGAAGAGGGGACACAACTTCCTGTCAACAAATACTGAGCATTAGCAGGTAGTAGACAACACACTTACTATATTTCATTTTCTCAGCAACCCATTCGAGTGGGAGTTATTGATTCAGTTTCACACAGAGGGCTCATGAGGCTGGAAGAGGCTGGATGGGTTTCCCCGAGTCCCAACTGTGGTGAATGGTGGGGTGGAGTTTGAGCCCGGTTTGGCTGACTCCGGAGAACACCTGTCTCTGCGTTACGCTGCCTTTTCTGGAAGGCAGTGAATCTTTTAGGGTTTCTGCCCTGACATTCCCTGCCTGTGACCAGCAGGACTCTCATCCCACCTGCACTGGCACAAGACCAAACATGGCAGTGTGGGTGCCTGCCGGGCTCCTGAGGGCCTCCCAGCCCAGCCCGGACCCCACACCTTGAACGAACCCTCCCATGGTTCCTACAGCATGGCTGTGGGGCCACTATCCATTTAGGTCCTTTTCTTTCTGTCCCCCCATGTCCAGTCTGTTGGCAGACCCTGCTGTACCTGCCTTCCGAGCGAGCACACCCAGGGTGCCCCCTCCTCCCCACCAGCCGGCTGCTCTCTGTCCCCCCGACCACCACCCCTAACCAGATCTGACCAGACCTGGCCTCCTGCCTCTGACCTTGTCTCAGGCCTGCAGAGTGGTTCTTGTAAATTTGTCAATCAGATGATATCCCACTGCTCAGAGCACACCACGGGCTTCTCATCACACTCAGTAAAAATCAAAGCTGTTTGCCTGGTCTGCAAGACCCTGCATATCTGTGGCACCCCCACCCACCACTCCTCTCCCTCCGTGTCCTGTTGAAACGGGAAAAGTTCCCTTATTCCCCTCACAGGGCGTGCGATGGGGGAGTGGCTCGCTTCTTCAGTGCCCCGCTGCTCAAACCTCTAGGGGAGCTGACAGACGGGTGGGCTGTGGGCTCAGACCCCATGGCAGTGTCTAGGGGTGAATGTTTACAGCTCCTAAAGCCCCAGTGGGCATGTGTTACAGGGTGCTCTTTTGGTTTCGCTCCTTTAATTTTGCCGTCTATAGGTGGCTTGTGTTAGTCAGCTCAATCAGACCCCTTCCTTATCACAAGGACAGAGGGCTTTCTGAATGCTGGGTTCTTGCCTTAGTGTACTGGAAGAATCAGATCATATGTGGGCTTGGAGAGTAAGTGCAAGGTTGTTTTGAGTAGAAGTAGCTCTCAGCAGATGGGGGAGCCAGAAGGGAGATGATTTTCCCCTGGAGTCCGAATGCTTGATGGCCTGGGCTCTCCTCAGACTGCCCCGGCCACACTCGGCATCGTTCCGCTGGTCGATGGTATGCTGGTGTCTGTCGGTCTGCTCTTGTCCCCCCAGTCGGTGGCCTGCTGGCGTGCTGGTGTCTGTCGGTCTGCTCTTGTCCCCCCAGTCGGTGGCCTGCTGGCATGCTGGTGTCTGTCGGTCTGCTCTTGTCCCACTGGTTGGTGGCCTGCTGGCGTGCTGGTGTCTGTCAGTCTGCTCTTATCCCATCAGTCGGTGGCCTGCTGGCGTGCTGGTGTCTGTTGGTCTGCTCTTGTCCCACTGGTTGGTGGCCTGCTGGCGTGCTGGTGTCTGTCGGTCTGCTCTTGTCCCACCAGTCGGTGGCCTGCTGGCATGCTGGTGTCTGTTGGTCTGCTCTTTTGCCAACGTGCTCCTCTTGACATCCAGCCACTTGTGTGTGTGCCTGCCAGGGTCTTGGGGGTTTTTATAGGCACAGGATGGGAGTGTGGTAGGGGCCAGGGTGGTCTTGGGAAATGCAGCATTTGGTGGTGAAGGCAGGAGTGCCTGTCCTCACCTAGGTCTGTGGAGATGGAGCCCCAGCCAGGGACCTGCCTTCCTCAACCCAGCACTTCCCTTCACACTTCTATATCATTTAAAGGGACCAGCTCTCCCCTTCCCAGCACTCCCATATCACTGTGAACTCTCCACGTGGGGCTGCATTCTGGACACTTTGGCCTCCTGTCTGTTCTTCCAACCCAACACGCCAGGCAGCTTCTGCCCACGGCCTTAGTGCTCACTGCTACTCCTGCCTGAAGACAGCTTCCCAGGCCCCACTAGGCCCATGCTCACCTCCCTCAGGCCTCTGCTGAAACTTCACCTTCTCAATGAGGCTTTCTCTGGCAGTGCGGTATGAAAGAGCAGTGCTCCAGCCCCCGATCCTTCATACTCTGGGTTATTTCTTCGCAGCATCAATCACCACCACATATTCTGTGCATTCATGGTTTTTTTTTTTTTTTTTTGAGACAGAGTCTCACTCTTTCACCCAGGCTGGAGTGCAGTGGCGTGATCTCGGCTCACTGCAAGCTCCGCCTCCCGGGTTCACACCATTCTCCTGCCTCAGCCTCCTGAGTAGCTGGGACTACAGGCGTCTGCCACCACGCCCGGCTAATTTTTTTGTATTTTTAGTAGAGACGGGGTTTCACCATGTTAGCCAGGATGGTCTTGATCTCCTGACCTTGTGATCCACCCGCCTCGGCCTCCCAAAGTGCTGGGATTACAGGCGTGAGCCACCGCGCCCGGCCGCATTCATGGTTTTTATTTGTTTCCTGTTCCTTCTAACATAGATGGAAGTCACACAAAAGCAAGGACTTTGCTCATGGATTTATCTCTGCGCCTTCAAAGGTAGCTGGTGCAAAGGAGATGTGCAGTAAATATTTGTGGCAGGAAGGAAGGAAAGAATGCAGCTAGCAAGGGAGGGAGGGAGGAAGATTGGGGAGAAGGAAGAAAGAAGGGAAAGGAAACAAGAGGGAAGAAGGAGGGGGCGGGGGAGTATTTCACCTCCTGAAGCTCTCATCTGTCCCTGAAGGGGAGGGCGTGGCTCATACCACCCACCACCACCACCCCACCACAGGCAGAGTAAGAGGCTGCCTGCAGATCGCCTGGAGTAGGACGTGCGGTGAGGAGCAGAAAGGCGGGCGGTGTGGGCAGGGAGAGGCAGGAATAGAAAGGCGGGTGGTGTGGGCAGGGAGAGGCAGGAATAGAAAGGCGGGCGGTGTGGGCAGGGAGAGGCAGGAATAGAAAGGCGGGCGGTGTGGGCAGGGAGAGGCAGGAGCAGAAAGGCGGGCGGTGTGGGCAGGGAGAGGCAGGAATAGAAGGTGGGCGGTGTGGGCAGGGAGAGGCAGGAGCAGAAAGGCGGGCGGTGTGGGCAGGGAGAGGCAGGAATAGAAAGGTGAGCAGTGTGGGCAGGGAGAGGCAGGAATAGAAGGTGGGTGGTGTGGGCAGGGAGAGGCAGGAGCAGAAAGGCGGGCGGTGTGGGCAGGGAGAGGCAGGAATAGAAAGGCGGGCGGTGTGGGCAGGGGTAGGAGCAGAAAGGCGGGCGGTTTGGGCAGGCAGGGGCAAGAGTGGAAAGGCGGGCAGTGTGGGCAGGCAGGGGCAGGACAGTGACAGGGCCTGGCTTCCCGCATAGGAGGCAGCATGAGGTGCTGAGAGGAACAGACATTGCTGTAAGCAGGGTGGGATGCACAGAATAATATTTCCCAGCTTCTCGGTGTTGTGTGGGGCCCATTTGCTGCAAACCAGTAGGATAATTCCACCAGCACGTTGGGTTGGAAGAACAGAAAGGAGGCCAGAGTGGCTGGGGTGCAACCATCATGGGAGAGTTCACAGGACACGGAGGGAGAGGAGTGCTGGGTCGCGGTGCTGCAGATACGCAGCGTCTCACAGACCAGGAAAGAAGAGAGCTTTGCAGATCACCATGATCACCCACATTCTTCCCTCTGCATGACAGATCTCACCTCAGTGACCCCCCTGGGTTATGTTCACAAGGGTGGAATTAGAGGGGCAGGAGATGACACCGAGATCTTAAGGAGAAAAGGTCTTTCCATATAGATGCTCCTTGACCTTCTAGAAATGCCCACTTGTTTCTGGGCTCCAGGAGCTGGTGAATACTGGGACTCACCTGGGTTAGCTTTGCAGTGAAGGTCAGTGCAGGGGACACAGGAACATCCGCCTGCTGCGTCAGTGCCAGGTCAGGGCGGCAGAGCTGCCACTTTTCGAGCTGCTGAGGGTGGACATCTCAGCCCTGCATGTGGAGGGCGGAGACTGGGGTACACCCTTGGTGAGCCCAGGTACTCAGAAATGGAACATGCTTGTCAGCTGAATGTTCTGGTTACGTTAGCCTTTAGCAGAAACAGCCTGGATTCAACTTGTTTAAAAATCTCTCATGAATACATCCATCTATTTTTCTGCCTTGGCCAGTGTTCCTGAAGCATGAAGGTGGGTCTCACACACACTGCCCCGCTTGAGGCAACAGGAGCCTGCAGGGAACAGCATTGTTGCCGGCCAAGCTTCAGAGCTCAGCAGAACACCCACGGCAGCCTTCTGCCCCACGGCCTCTTCCCTCAGATGACTCTGTTTTCTTATCATTCATGCCCTTGATGCCACACTACGCCACCTAAATCTGATGTGTCTGTAATGAGGCTTAACAAACAGCAAAGAATTGTGTTGCTTACTTTCTATTTTTATTTTTCATATGTTTTATTTATTTTATATTAAATTTAAAATATATTCTTGCCACTTTTTGTTCAGCATAACTTAGATCCCAAAAATTCCACAGTAATTTTTTTGTTTTTTCAAGAGACATCACTTGGGTTTATCTTTTTTTTTTTTTTGAGATGGACTCTTGCTCTGTCACTCAGGCTGGAGTGCAATGGCACAATCTCAGCTCACCGCAACCTCCGTCTCCCATGTTCAAGCAATTCTCCTGCCTTAGCCTCCTGAGTAGCTGGGACTACAGGCATGCGCCACCACGCCTGGGTCATTTTTGTATTTTTAGTAGAGATGGGGTTTCCACCATGTTGGCCAGGCTGGTCTCGAACTCCTGACCTCAGGTGATCCACCCACCTCGGACCCCAAAGTGCTGGGATTACAGGCATGAGCCACTGCGCCCAGCCGGGCTTATCTTTTTAAAAATCAGTGAGTTAATTGGATTGCCTTTGTTAGAGATTAAAAATAAGGATTTTTTTTTTTTTTTACCTCTTGAGAAAAGGTAACATCTTATACATTTTATGTTTTAAGAGTTTATACTGAAAAGACACTGGTTAGATTTAAGTTTATGTCAATGTAGTTGTTAATTTCCAGGGGTTAAATATAGGCAGTGATTTACACATTGATGACATTGCTTTATAAAAGTTTGGAGGTCTTTTGGTTGGAAATTGGGTTCCCTGTACTATAATTGGTGCCAGCTTGGAGAGCAGGTCAGCCCAGACACTCGTGCACTTGAGGAGGAAAGACGTGTGGCGTGAGATGGGGTGTCACTGAGGGGGAAAGACACGTGGCGTGAGATGGGGTGTCATTGAGGGGGAAAGACGTGTGGCGTGAGATGGGGTGTCAGTGAGGGGGAATGACACGTGGCATGAGATGGGGTGTCAGTGAGAGGGAAAGACACGTGGCGTGAGATGGGATGTCATTGAGGGGGAAAGATGTGTGGCGTGAGATGGGGTGTCATTGAAGGGGAAAGACACGTGGCGTGAGATGGGGTGTCATTGAGGGGGAAAGACACGTGGCGTGAGATGGGGTGTCATTGAGGGGGAAAGACACGTGGCGTGAGATGGGGTGTCCTTGAGGGGGAAAGACACGTGGCGTGAGATGGGGTGTCATTGAGGGGGAAAGACACGTGGCGTGAGATGGGGTGTCATTGAGGGGGAAAGACACGTGGCGTGAGATGGGGTGTCATTGAAGGGGAAAGACACGTGGCGTGAGATGGGGTGTCATTGAGGGGGAAAGGCATGTGGCGTGAGATGGGGTGTCATTGAGGGGGAAAGACACGTGGCGTGAGATGGGGTGTCAGTGAGGGGGAAAGACACGTGGCGTGAGATGGGGTGTCAGTGAGGGGGAAAGACATGTGGCGTGAGATGGGGTGTCAGTGAGGGGGAAAGACCTGTGGCGTGAGATGGGGTGTCAGTGAGGGGGAAAGACACGTGGCGTGAGATGGGGTGTCATTGAGGGGGAAAGACGTGTGGCATGAGATGGGGTGTCATTGAAGGGGAAAGACACGTGGCGTGAGATGGGGTGTCATTGAGGGGGAAAGACACGTGGCGTGAGATGGGGTGTCAGTGAGGGGGAAAGACACGTGGCGTGAGATGGGGTGTCATTGAGGGGGAAAGACACGTGGCGTGAGATGGGGTGTCATTGAGGGGGAAAGACACGTGGCGTGAGATGGGGTGTCATTGAGGGGGAAAGACACGTGGCGTGAGATGGGGTGTCATTGAGGGGGAAAGACACGTGGCGTGAGATGGGGTGTCATTGAGGGGGAAAGACACGTGGCGTGAGATGGGGTGTCATTGAGGGGGAAAGACACGTGGCGTGACATGGGGTGTCATTGAGGGGGAAAGACACGTGGCGTGAGATGGGGTGTCATTGAGGGGGAAAGACACGTGGCGTGAGATGGGGTGTCATTGAGGGGGAAAGACACGTGGCGTGAGATGGTGTGTCATTGAGGGGGAAAGACACCTGGCGTGAGATGGGGTGTCATTGAGGGGGAAAGACACGTGGCGTGAGATGGGGTGTCAGTGAGGGGGAAAGACACGTGGCGTGAGATGGGGTGTCATTGAAGGGGAAAGACACGTGGCGTGAGATGGGGTGTCATTGAGGGGGAAAGACGTGTGGCGTGAAATGGGGTGTCAGTGAGGGGGAATAACACGTGGCGTGAGGTGGGGTGTCATTGAGGGGGAAAGACACGTGGCGTGAGATGGGGTGTCAGTGAGGGGGAAAGACGTGTGGCGTGAGATGGGGTGTCAGTGAGGGGGAAAGACACGTGGCATGAGATGGGGTGTCATTGAGGGGGAAAGACACGTGGCGTGAGATGGGGTGTCATTGAGGGGGAAAGACACGTGGCGTGAGATGGGGTGTCAGTGAGGGGGAATGACACGTGGCGTGAGATGGGGTGTCAGTGAGGGGGAAAGACCTGTGGCGTGAGATGGGGTGTCAGTGAGGGGGAAAGACACGTGGTGTGAGATGGGGTGTCATTGAGGGGGAAAGACGTGTGGCATGAGATGGGGTGTCATTGAAGGGGAAAGACACGTGGCGTGAGATGGGGTGTCATTGAGGGGGAAAGATACGTGGCGTGAGATGGGGTGTCGGTGAGGGGGAAAGACACGTGGCATGAGATGGGGTGTCATTGAAGGGGAAAGACACGTGGCGTGAGATGGGGTGTCATTGAAGGGGAAAGACACGTGGCGTGAGATGGGGTGTCATTGAGGGGGAAAGACACGTGGCGTGAGATGGGGTGTCATTGAGGGGGAAAGACACGTGGCGTGAGATGGGGTGTCATTGAGGGGGAAAGACACGTGGCGTGAGATGGGGTGTCATTGAGGGGGAAAGACACGTGGCGTGAGATGGGGTGTCATTGAGGGGGAAAGACACGTGGCGTGAGATGGGGTGTCATTGAGGGGGAAAGACACGTGGCGTGAGATGGGGTGTCATTGAGGGGGAAAGACACGTGGCGTGAGATGGGGTGTCATTGAGGGGGAAAGACACGTGGCGTGAGATGGGGTGTCATTCAGTCTCTTCACAGGATCTTAATGGTGTATTTTCCCTGTAAACTGTTTGCTTGTTCTATCCATTGGTCAAGTCTCTCTGGCCTCCAAAACATTTTAGTGTGTCTGTGCTGGTGTGAGAACAATGTTGTAGCCCTCAAGAAAATGAAGCTTTTAATTTTCTATTGTTTCTTTTTTCTTTCTTTTTTTTTTTTTTTGAGGCAGAGTCTCGCTCTGTCGCCCAGGCTGGAGTGCAGTGGCGCGATCTCAGCTCACTACTAGCTCCGCCTCCTGGGTTCACACCATTCTTCTGCCTCAGGCTCCTGAGTAGCTGGGACTACAGGCGCCCGCCACCACGCCTGGCTAATTTTTTGTATTTTTAGTAGAGATGGGGTTTCACCATGTTAGTCAGGATGGTCTTGATCTCCTGACCTCGTGATCCGCATGCCTCAGCGTCCCAAAGTGCTGGGATTACAGGTGTGAGCCACCAAGCCCAGCCTATTATTTCTTAGAATAATGTTTGTTCCCAGGCTTTGATCACAATAGATGCCCAATACAGGTTGGTGCAATCAATGGGTAGGTTAGTGGGTGGAGGGATGGACGGAGACTGGGCTTTGACTTTAATGAGAGGTTCATATTTTTTTAAATATAGGTTAACATTTTGGTTAATATTTTGGCAGAAAATAGTTTCAAAATGCATAATCTTGAATTAGATCTTGAGCAAGTTGGAAGGTGCCTGTCAGCTTGTGTGACTGAGCATCTAAGGGGCTCTCTGACTGTGTTCCTCACTTCTCACCTGAGGATCACAATGAGCTGTGGCGAGAGCTTCTCATGGAGAACCAAGTATTTGTTTTCAGAATGGATGGGAAAGGGGGAAAAGAGTGGAAAACTAAAATGATTTCTCATCCTCTCCTTGTTTCATGATAATAGTTATAATTTATTAAGCACTTACAGTATGCTGGGCCCATGCCTCACTTGTCACCATTTTACAGATATGGAAACTGAGGCATGAAGAAATGAGCGAGCTTGCCCCAAACCACAGACCATGAGCGCTGGGGCCAAGACTCCGGGAGCATGGTCAGCCTTTCTTCATGGGAGTCCAGCCTGGCATCCCCCAGGGCAGGGCAGCACAAGGATGGATGATCGGATTGATGGGAACTTTAAATGTGTCTAAGGTCCTAGCTGCAATGATGGAAAAAGAAATGTGAGCTAACACCCTACAGATTCTAGAATAATCAGGCCTGAGAAAGTGTGCAGGCAGCTGCAGCCACGGCAGGGGAGCCCCTGTTGGTTCAGTACTGGCAGCTCCACGCCAAGCCTGGCCGCGTCTGGCCAGGGTGCTCTGGCTTTCCCGCCGTGCCTGATGGCCTTTCTGCTCACGTTGCCATTTCTTCCTCCCTTCCTGGTCCACCATGGAGCCTCAGTTTCTCAAGGGTGGATGCCTGCCAGTTCCCCAAACTCTACATTCCCAGCTGCTCTCTGTCGATACAAGTAGGCTGTTCATATGGTTGAGTGTGGCGCTCACTGTACCACGCTGTACCGGGCACTGCCGCCCCTTCTCACGATGATGTGAGGGAAGTCTTGCCAAGCCGTGGTATTCTGGAACCTTCTCACCGTGATGTGAGGGAAACCTTGCCAAGCTGTGGTATTCTGGAACCTTCTCGCGATGATGTGAGGGAAGTCTTGCCAAGCCGTGGTATTCTGGAACCTTCTCACCGTGATGTGAGGGAAACCTTGCCGAGCTGTGGTATTCTGGAACCTTCTCACGATGATGTGAGGGAAGTCTTGCCGAGCCGTGGTATTCTGGAACCTTCTCGCGATGATGTGAGGGAAACCTTGCCGAGCCGTGGTATTCTGGAACCTTCTCGCGATGATGTGAGGGAAACCTTGCCGAGCCGTGGTATTCTGGAACCTTCTCGCGATGATGTGAGGGAAGTCTTGCCGAGCCGTGGTATTCTGGAACCTTCTTGCGATGATGTGAGGGAAGTCTTGCCGAGCCGTGGCATTCTGGAGACGTGGCTTGCTGTTCAGTTCCTCCTTCAGAGCAGGCACTTGGCCTCTGTGTGGGTTTGAGAGGGGAATAAGCATCATTTTGCAAAGTTCAGGGTGGGTCGACACACCTGTCTTTGTGTTAAGCAGGACTCATCAGTGTTGACAGTGACGGTGTTTGCTGTTAGAAACACAGACCGCAGCCTCTTCCCTCGGGGTGGTGGGAGAAGCGCCAGCCTGCCCTGGAGGGAGAGGGTGAGCGCTCCACCCCGGGATGCCTGCTGATGTCCCCCTTCTCCTTCCCCTTCCCCTTCCCCTTCTCTCGCTCTATCGCCCAGGCTGGAGTGCAGTGGCACAATCTTAGCTCACTGCAACCTCCACCCCCAAGGTTCAAGCAATTCTCCTGGTTTAGTCTCCTGCATAGCTGGGATTACAGGCGCCTGACACCATGCCCAGCTAATTTTTGGTATTTTTAGTAGAGATGGAGTTTCACTATATTGCTCAGGCTGGTCTCCAACTCCTAGGCTCAAGAAATCCGCCCACCTTGGCCTCCCAAAGTGCTGGGATTACGGGTGTGAGCCACCGCGTCCGGCTGATGTCTGCTTTCTCTTTCTTTTGGCATTTTCCTGCTGGCAACACTGTAGCCACTCTGAATTGAATACCCTGGCCTGTGCACATCATTTTTATAAACCTTGGGGGGCTCAGAAAAGTTTATTTGTGGATCAGTATGGCAAAACATGATTCATTTTCACTGGAAATGCCGAATTCGAGAACATTTAACCTTCTTTATTGAGAAGTCACATGATTTTTATTCTCTCACCATTTGTCAAAATATCACAACCAGCTTTTCAGCCCCCTTAGGAAACACAGGGCCTTGCAGAAGAACGGTTAATGGAACTCTGTCCCAAACTTGTCCCCGCACGGACCACGTCACCTTCTCTGGAGCTGCAGTGGGGTCGTCTGGGCAGGTGGTGGCCCGGGGCTGCAGTCCTGGGGAGCTCCGGCTGCGGGGGGGACGGTGGCCACTCTGCTGCCTGGGAGCTCAGGAAGGCGGTGTCTACAGATGCAGGTGGAGGCTCCCAGGCCTTGTGGTGCCTGCTGTGCCAAGCTAGTGTGTGGAGAGTCCTTTTGTCCTTTTGGGAGGGCAGAAGGGATCTTTGGACTTGGAAGTGAATTGTTCTACCACACTTGGAGGCCCTGCCACTTCCTGCGAATCGTGACATCAGAAATAATGGACTTTGCCCCAGACGAGGCCTCTGGTCAGGTCGTTACTCTGGGGCCCTCCTGCCCCACTCACCTGATGAGGAGGCCGCTGGGCAGCCGAGCCTGTGTTCATTGGTTCGTGTCCACAGGAAGGACCTTTCCTTAGCAACCACCACTCATTCCTCACCTCCCTGTTTCTTTCCCTCCGATGAAATTCCATCACGGGGACTGGTGTCCACCGTGAGCTATGGCCGGGCCGACTCTGACACACATCTTGGCTAGTGCAGGCATGTGTGGAGACATCCCTCGCCTCCTAAGCACGGAGGACGCCGACTGCTGGGGACAGCCATGCCCAATGCCGAGGGCCCTTCAGGTCTCCCTGCAGCTGTGCCGGTTCCTGCCGCAGGCTCCGGTGCCTCCTGCCAGTTCTCTGGGGCTGTTAGTTTTCTGGGCTCCGCCTGGTGGAGCCCGGGACCCTTCAGAACTCAGGCTCTTGCCTGTGGCCGCCTACTTTTCCAGACACAGCTCTTCCTCCCGATCCCTGCACTTCCTTATTTCCATTTTCTTTGGGATGAGTGAGCCCTTTGTTGCCAGCATTGGACCTGTGGACGTGGACGAGCGAGATAAGACTGTCGCGATGATAATCGCTGGGAAAGAAAAAGATCTGTGGTGGGAGGAGACTGCAGTGAATGAGAATGAAAAGGTTGCTCTGGGCTCGTGGCTCGGTGGCTCGGTTGCGAGGCTGAGATGGCTCTTCTGATTCTGAAAGCTGCAATGAGCAGCACATTTTCAAAACAGCACCGAGGGCTGTGGTATACACGCACCTTTAATTCCGGAGCACATCTTTTATCTTCTCTGTGAAACAACGTGAGCCTGTCAGCGTGGAAGGAGCTGGGGCATGGGTGCCGTTGACCTGGGACTGTCCAGCCCTTCAGCCCTTTGTCACCTGCAGACAGGAGTAGCGGTGAAGGCAGGCTTTGCTGCGGTTTTAGGCATGTTTTTGTTTGTGAGAAAGTGAGATGTATTTTCCTGAGTTTGTTGCTGGAAGCTTTCTTTGAAGGTAGCATTCCATCAGTGAATGCATGGTGAGGGCTGATGTGTGGGGGTTGGTGGGCCCTGGGGGTGTGGCGAAGGGAGGCTGGCCCTCCCCTCCAAGGCTCAAGGCTAATGAAAAAACAGAAGAGTACGCGGCCTCCATGCCAATCCCTGCGTTTCCCTTCTTCTGTTTTAAACGGCAGGTTTCATTATGATTTAGGACGGCAAGCCCGAGAGATCTGGGTACAGCTGCTGTTGAAACAACAGTTTGTTACTTACAGATTTTGAGAGGAGGGGGCAGGCCACGCCATGGGTCGATACAGGGATGCGCCAGCGTCAGTCCGGAGGCTGGGCGAGGGCAAGGCAGGGTCGTCAGGGACAGGACTGCCCAGCTTGAATAGTTCCAGCCGCTCCGGGGCCAGGGGCTGCCCGTGTCTGGTCCTTGCCCCAGGGTGACTAGGGCAGCGGCCTGGAGTCTGAGCCCACAGAGGCGGAGGCGGGCGTGGGCTCCGGATCGCAGGGTTTGCATGTGGAAAGCCTGCGTGGAGTGGGTGACTGTTCACTATCTGGGAATTGGCTGTTCGTGGGAGGGGCAGCCCCCAGGGTCAGCAGGGCCCCAGATGTCAGAGCATCAGAAATGTGGGGTTAATACGGACACTTCAACCCGAAGGTAAAGAAGCCGCCACTGTCTGCCGAACAATTCAGAGGCCTCAACGTCGGCCAGAGCGGGGCACTCGGCCACCCCAGCAGGGGACATCGGTGGCAGTGAACGCCCAGCACGCTCCGATCAGAACGCCCGTGTCCGTCACACATTTCGTGTACAGATTGACTTTAAAGGACTCTGTCCGCTTCATCCCATGCTAAACTACACATAATGCTGTCTCAGAAATGCCTGTCATGGACGTTCAGGCCTTTACATCAGAGGGTCTTAGTCATCAACAGCAAGTCTGGAGTGGCGCTGACAGGACTCAGGTTTTCAAAGGGGAAAATCAGAGGGTCATGGCTGTGACCCTTTCCATGCGAGACCCTGGTGGGGGATGGGGTGCAGCAGAGAGTGTTCAGAAATGAAGCAAAACACTTCAAAAAATGTGTCCTTACAGCCGTGTAGCAAGACGCCCCCTGAAGAACCAGCTTCAATTAATGGGCAAGAGAGACTGCACTTAAAAAATTTTCACTCAAAGAACCCACCACAGGCCATCGGCACTTGTGTTTGGAAAGTCATGCGAGTCTAGGCGGCCCCAGACACTGACTCCTGTCCTGCGTATGCAGTGAACGGGGCACGTGGGGACCGGGTGCCGGCCCCGCTGCCTCGGCATGGACTAGACACAGCCTGCGCTGTGGAGAGAGGACGGGACGTGCGGCTGAGTGAACGGGGGTGCCACAGGCAGTGCCACTGTCGAGCCCTGTGCAGACACTGCAGGCTGCAGCCCAGGCCTGGTGATGCATTTGACGCAGACAAAAAACCTAAAATGCCTACATTTCTTAATTTGTAAAAAGCAGAAATAATTCCTCCGCTTCTATTGTAGAGGATTGTGCCGAGATCCCTCTAGGGCAGAGGGTCGCAGTGGGATCCCTCTAGGGCAGAAGGTTGCGGCGGGACCTGTCTAGGGTGGAGGGTCGTGGTGAGACCCCTCTAGCGTGGAGGGTGGCAGCGGGACCCCCCTACAGTGGAGGGTCGTGGTGAGACCCCACTGAGGTCAGGACATTCTGTGTCCCCTCTGCGTCACTCTGCCGGTGTCGTTCGGGAAGGTAGAGACGTGGCCATGAGCTATTTTACATAAACCTTTATGAGGACAGAGATTTCAACACTGAATACAAAAGAAAGTCAGGTTTTCCTTCAAAGCTCGGAAATGGGCCCATGAACCTTCTTTAGGGCAGAGTCTTTATTGCTGCTGTTGAGGGGGAGTATACACACGGCGAGATGCGCAGACCGCAGGTGGACACGATGACGCGTTGGACGCATGTGGGCCTGGAACCAGCGGCCACGCTGCACGGCACACCCTCACACCCGACGCTTCCTCCTGCCCCAGCCCCACCTGCAGGTGATGCGGCTCTGGTTGCCCTGGGCAGACCTCGCCCATCCTTGAACTTCATCTTCTGTTAACAGGATTCTGTGGATTCTCTGGTGACCGGCTTCTCTCACTCAGCCTGACTGGTTCTAGGTCTGTCCCCCTTCTCGTCTCTGTGGTTCCTTCTGGCTCAGTGCTGGTGTGGATGTGGCCTCCTTATCCGCTCTCCTGCTGCCGGGCACATGGACTTTAGACTCTGTCTGTGGAACTATGAGGAGTCAGGCTGCTACCCACAGTCTCATTTAACTCTCATGGTTACGGGTTTCACTTCTCTCGGGTAAATACTTACGAGTCCAATTTCTGGGTAATACGGAAGATGTCCTTTTGGAAAAGACTTTCCTTTCTCTGTTGAAACGCCCTGGCGCCTTTGAAACAGTCTCCTCGGAGTTGTCACTGTGCCACTTCCTGGACGCGGTGAGGAGGCTTCAGCTCCCTCTAGCCTCTTGTGCCATCCAGTTCATGCCTGCAGCTGTTTTATGAACCCTACCTTAAAGTGGTAATAATTTTTCCTTGCTAACAATCAGTTGTTTTTTAGATAAAGTAAGAGGAGAAAAGAAGACGGTCTTTCTTGTTTATGTAACCACATATTTACCCTTTCAGGAGCTTTTTGGCTCCTCCCGCAGCTCTGGGCTTCTGTGTGGTGGTGTTTCTCTTCAGCCTGTGTGCAGGCCCACAGGGACCCACTGGCTCAGCTTTGTTCACATACGTGATATGAAAATGTCTCTCCTTTACCCTCTCGTTTGAAGGATATTGTCATTGGATATAAACTCCTGGATTGAATGATTTTTCTTTCAACCCTTCAAATGTGGCATTCATTATCTGTAACGTCAAATGCCTGACTCTGCACATTGTATGAAATACGTTGTTCTTACAGGACATGCAGGGTGTCTGGCGGCCTCTGCGCTCCTGGGACCCTTTCCATTCTCATGTGTGGAGCGTGTCTTCCCCCCGCCCCGCCCCCGCTGCTTTCCAGGAATCTTCTCCATCTCTGACTTGCAGTAGCTCAGCTGAAGTCATGGCGTGGTTCTCCTTGCATTTTATTATCGTGGAACTTAGTGACTGTCTTGAGTCCCTGAGTGACAATCCTTCCCAGATTTGAGAGACTTGTGGGCTTTCTTTCAGGTGTTTCTGGTTCCTTTCCCACCCCCCCGTGCCCTCCTGACTCCGACGGCTTGGATGCCCCAGGGGTGACTGAGGTTCTGCAGAACGTCTCCCATTCTGTTCTTCCAACGATGATCGCTTCTATGATCTGTCTTCAGATTCACAAACCGTTTCTTCCGTTATGTCCACCCGTAATGGACATAAATTTTAAATTTCAGACGCCGTGCTCTTCACTTACAGAATGTGTGTTGGATTCTGTTTTAATTTCCCCACTCTGCTGAGCAGCGGGTGCACACATCTCTCCGCGGTTATGGCAGCTCCACAAATGGCCTTGTCTCCTCGCTCTAATCATCGACTGCCCTATTCTCAATTTCGGGTTCTGTTTTTCTGCCTCCTCCTGCATCTGTTGCTGCTTGTGTGAAGTGGGGGCCTAGACCCTGCCACCTTCCTTTAAGGGGCTTTTCCGGCAGCAGTTACTTTCTTGGACGAGGCTTTGACCCTGTGTGGCTGTGTTTAGATGTAATTAGAGTTGGTCCATGCTGGGCAGGGTGTGCTGGGCAGGGTGTGCTGGGCAGGGTGTGCTGGGCAGGGTGTCCTGGGCAGGGCGCTGTCCTTGCCAGGCATTGTTTCTCCTTCTGCCAAGTGAGGGGGACACAGCTCATCCCATTCTTTTATCCTCTGGAGGACATGGTGAAGTTGCCTAGCCCATCTCTCTTCCTGGCTTGGTCATTCCAGTGTTTTCTGGAAGCTGTGCTTTCCATCCTCCTGAGCGCGTGGATGAGTCTGTCCTTCCATTCTGTGGGTTTTCCACCTCTGGGGAACTGAACTAGTGATGGTTACAGGGTCAGGTGGATTTGAGATTCAAGTCCAATATCCCAATCTTCTCTGAGCACTGGCCTGCGCCTGGCCCTAGGTGGCCACTGCCTTGGGACGCCGCAGACGCCCACCACACCCCTATGGTCTGGAGGCCCTCACCTTTGCATTCGTCCACCCACAACGTCCTTGTGTTTGTGTGTGTGCCCCTAGGAGCACGGATTCATACCCTCCTGAAGGACCTGCAGAGGCAGCCGGCTGAGGTGAGGGGCCTGAGTGGCCTGGAGCTGGACGGCATGGCTGAGCTGATGGCTGGCCTGATGCAAGGCGTGGACCATGGAGTAGCTCGAGGCAGCCCTGGGAGAGCGGCCCTGGGAGAGTCTGGAGAACAGGCGGATGGCCCCAAGGCCACCCTCCGTGGAGACAGCTTTCCAGGTGACTGCAGCGCCATGGGTGCCCACACCCAGGGGTGCTGCGGGGAGGGGAGGCCTCAGGGCTGTGCAGAGACTGCTGGCTCACCAAGTGCAATGTGGGCTTTCTGCTGGGGAGATGGGGATCTGTATTAATGATTTTTATCTGTTTGAACTTTTGCCTCTAAAAGCTTTCTTAACAGACTAAGCCTACCAGAGCAATTATGTTGAATGGCAAATTGCTCTCTGCGAGGAGGTTTCACTCCTCCATGCTGAGGCTGAGTCAGGAAAACAGGCGTGATGGGAAGTGTTGTGTTTGGACTGTGTACCGGTGAATATTGTCAAATATTTGAATAGCAGAGTGAGAGGGGATCATTCAAATGTCTGCTTGGGGCGTGCATTGGTCCTCTGAGGCTGCTGGGGAAGCAGAAGGCAGCCCCTCAGCACCACTACCCCGGCAGGCATCCGGAGCCCTGTGGAGGCCCCATGGGTCAGCCAGGACTTCTGCAGCCTGATGGCTTCTCACAGCGTGGAGCTGCAAGAAAGCACCTAGCTCAGCTCCCCACACATGGCAGCCCCACAAGTACGTGCTGAAAACCAAATGACAGACGTGCCCCTCTCTCTGCACGGGTGCAGAGGGGGCCTTGCTGGAAGCTGGAAGCCTGACTTGGCTGACAGGCAGGGTGCAGGGGAGTAGTGGAACTGCACCCCGGGAGGGCCTGTGTTAGGTGGTCGCCCAGTGGTTGAAGGAATCGGGACCCGCACCATGGCTAGGAGGGATGCAGGAGGCCCTGGTGTGCGTGCTGTCTCCAGGGGCACTGTTCAGGTGCCATGAGTCACGCACCTTTGGGCACTGAAAGTAGGATATTAATTAATTTATTTATTATTTTATTTTATTTTTTGAGATGGAGTCTCTCTCTGTCACCCAGGCTGGAGTGCGGTGACGTGATCTCGGCTCACTGCAAACTTTGCCTGCCGGGTTCAAGTGATTCTCATGCCTCAGCCTCCCAAGTAGCTGGGATTACAGGTGTGCACTACCACGCCCAGCTAATTTTTTGTATTTTTAGTAGAGACGGGGTTTCGCCTGTTGGCCAGGCTGATCTCCAACTCCTGACCTCATGATCCGCCCACCTTGGCCTCCCAAAGTGCTGGGATTACAGGCGTGAGCCACCGCGCCCAGCCGGGGTACCTATTTAGAGAGAAACGCTGACCACAGTGAAATAACCTAAGTCAGTGGATTCTGAAGCCATCTTAATTGTGAGGTGGTTTTGGCGAAGGCTTCACTTTGCTTTTTCATGACGTGAACTGCTCGGTACGATGGGGTTTTTTTTTGCCGTGAGTTAACTTTGTCGATCACGTGAGACCCCCAGAGCTGGGTGAGGTCATTGTGGCTGCCTTCACGTCTACCATTTAGCTCCTCAGTCCCCTCCGCTCTCGCGAAGTTTACAGAATGCCATTTTGTGCTATAAACAGAAAAGGTTTACTCTATGGCAGGACTTAGGCCAGCGTCATCACACCTCACCTTTCGTATGGAGGGGTCTGCAGGGTCACCCTTTTTATGTCTGTGGCACCCTGTGATGACATTCTTGATGAGGGTCTTGGTAACACTGGTGTCTTTTACAGATGACGGAGTGCAGGACGACGATGATAGACTTTACCAAGAGGTAAGATGACGTCTCTGGTGTTTGTTTCATGTTAAATGTGGAAGTTGGTGATCTTTTTGTTCATGGTGTGGGAACATTTATGAAATACAAAAGTTTTTTTCCCAGAAAATTATGGAGAAACCCCTCATAATCTCCAAATTGAAAAACAGTATAAAGAGAACATACAAAAGTGTGTATATTTGGATACGAAATATCTCTTTTCAAATTATAACCTAATTTATCCATGGTAGAAATATGAAAGTCGTGGTAAATGCAAAGAAGAAAATTAATTTTTCCTGGAATTTCCCAGCCAGGATTATCACACGGCAGCCTGTGCCCACTTTGCACATTTGATGCCTCCTGCATGTGCGGATTCCTGAGGGGTTCAGCTCACTCACACCTGGCTGTCCCGTGTGGCACCTCTGGCCACATGTGGCCATCTAAACCTATATTTAAATTGAATAAAATTAAATAAATGAAAGATGCAGTGCCTTGGCCGCACTGGGTTCAGGTCGGCGGCACGTTAGTCGCATGTGGCTCAGGGCCAAGGCGCTGGATGCCACAGGAAGAGGACGGTCCACCATCCCAGAGCCCCCGTGGGCACTGCTGCTCCGGAGGCAGTCAGAAGAAGGGCCCAGTCGCAGGCGATGTCCACGAGCTAGACACTGGCCTTCCCTGTTAAGTCTTTTAGCCTCTTAGTTTCTCTCCCTTTAAGAACCTTTGGTCGTGAATACAAGGCCGAAGGATGAAGAACCGTTCTAAGCAACAGCAGTGACATTGCATGGTTCTGGGAAACCCAGTTTTGGGGGTGGAGAAAGAAGAGTCTTTGGTTAGTCATTCTCTCCTCAGATTCTCTTACTGGTTAGTGGTTCCATGCCTGTTGGCAAGTGCAGGAAGAAAACATCAGCAGTTCTGGTTTTGAATATCCATCAGAAATGATGGGACCTGCTGTCTGAGCTGTGGAGGGAGAAGTGGGGCTGAGAAACACATTTCCTAATTTAGGGAGTCGGGGAGACCCAGCCCTCCCACCTGAGGGGCAGGGAGCGCTCTGGGGGGCTGCCGTTAGCCTAAGACTCCCTGACTTTTAGACCACAGGCTTTTCATCCTCCATGCGTGGAATTCTGACTCAGTTCTCTGTTGTTTGGGGTGTATTTTCAAGCAATTCTGTTTCTCAAAAAGGGTATGTGAGTGTTGTATTTTCTGACTTCTTATTTATTTAAAAACATCTTTCTTTTTCTTCTCACATGAAACACAATTTAAGTGACAATATTATGCTTTTTCCTAGCTCTGTTTAGTAACGTCAACGGCTACATCCTATTGTCATTGAGGATCCAAATTTGAGCAGTGTTTTTATCACACTACTATTTTGTTTAAATTTTAAAAAATACAAAAGGAAAAGTTGTAATTTGTAGCCAAAATGGGAATAATTGCCTCTATAGTCCTTCCTTAATTTTCTTAAAAGTGTGTTTTGGCAAAGTGAGTTGTAAAGTGAATCAGATTTTCCTGTTTACATCTAATATAATATTGAAGATATAATTTCATGGTTGGAAAAAAACCCTGCCAAGTAGACATAAGACTTTTGGCATCACATGCACCAGGAGGTGTCCGTGGGTTGCCTGGTATGTGCCAGTGGCAGGAGCAGACCCGGTCTTTCCTAGGAAGCAGTGTAGGGTGCCTGGGAGGGCAGTGCGGCCCAGGGGTGGAGATCATGTCTTTGATGGCCCTTAGACCTGAGTTCCAATTCTGGATCTGATAATCACGACTTTTGTGATCTGGTACCAATAATTTGATATTTAACCTCTGTAAACTCCAGAGTCTACAAATTAAAGGTGAAACTCACCCTTTATTTATGGGGTTGGAGTAGTAATTACATGAGAACCCACACAAAGCAAATCTGTACCCGGTGCATAGTCAGCAGAGGTGCCAGGGGGTTCCGAGGGATGGCTTGTCCAGGAAAAGGGGATCCGGCTGGGAGACTGTAGCCCGTGTGAGGACCACAGATCCCTCAGGTATCGTTAGAATCAATTACACATCCCTGTGATGTGCCCACTTGTGGGTTAATCGCTTTGTGCCTCCGTCTCCCCTTCTGTGAACTGGGGTTACTGAGGGTGCCCCACCCACAGGCTTACGTGAGGACTCAGTGTGTTCATGCAGATAACGCATTTAGTACAGTGCCTTTGTGTGCTGGAAGAGCTCAGTCGTTGCAAATTTGTTATTATTATTATTATTATTTAGTGTTCATTGCTTCTAGAGGGCTGGGGTGGGATCTTGATATCACACAGTTTATTTTTAAAAATATCAATGCCAAAGACCTACACAAACTCTACAAAATCTGATTCTTCAGAGAGGTGTGTGTGTGAGCATGTGTGTGAGAGGGAGCGGGAGGGAGGAGAAAACAGCACGTAAGTGATTCGGATACTCAGCGCCCTCACACCTCATGCTCGGCTAGACATCATTCTAAATATAGACTGCACACACTTCGCCTTCCTCCCACACTCTCCTTCCAGGCTGCCCATGTCATCCCCACAGTGACTCTGTCCCGGGCAGCCCTTGATTGCATGTGTCACATCAGCATTCCTTTCGCAGACGTCCCTCACGGAATGTCCTCTCTGTCAGGTCCATCGTCTGAGTGCCACACTCGGGGGCCTCCTGCAGGACCACGGGTCTCGACTCTTACCTGGAGCCCTCCCCTTTGCAAGGCCCCTCGACATGGAGAGGAAGAAGTCCGAGCACCCTGAGTCTTCCCTGTCTTCAGAAGAGGAGACTGCCGGAGTGGAGAACGTCAAGAGCCAGACGTATTCCAAAGATCTGCTGGGGCAGCAGCCGCATTCGGAGCCCGGGGCCGCTGCGTTTGGGGAGCTCCAAAACCAGATGCCTGGGCCCTCGAAGGAGGAGCAGAGCCTTCCAGCGGGTGCTCAGGAGGCCCTCAGCGACGGCCTGCAATTGGAGGTCCAGCCTTCCGAGGAAGAGGCGCGGGGCTACATCGTGACAGACAGAGAGTGAGTAGCAGCCCTGGCTAAGCTCCTGTGTGCCGAGGGAGGGCTTGTCCCAGCAGGCTGGAGGTGGGGCGCCTCCTTGCTGTGGCGGATGCATACGCTTTTAAGTGTCTTCAACTGAATAATGGGGTGCAGGCATCCCTGGAGTCTCAGGCGCGGAGGGCAGCCAGGTGCCTGGACAGTGGCTCCTCCTGATGCTTCTGAGCTGGGCTCCAGAGCTGGAGAGCCGTTCTCTGAAGGGCATCAAACAAAACCAAACCAAGCAAATCCCTTCCTGGGTTTTTGGTCCTGACTGGTCACCTGCAGGCCGCGCCTCTCTGCGGGTCAGAATCACCTTCAGCGGCGGCCAGGCAGGGTGGGGTCTCGGGGCAGGTAAGTGTACAGCAAAGCCTGAGCACGGCCCGCGCGGGAATGCGGGATGGGACGCGGCCCTGGAAACTGCTGCACCCCGGACTCCTCCTGCCTGTTAGGAAGGACTCCAGGTGCTTTATCTGTTTTGCACCAAAGTGGCCCAAATATCCTGGCGTGGGCGCCCTTCAGAAGGAAGAAGGGGCTTCACAGCAGCGAGCCTCTTTCCCCGCCCTCATGTCGATCTGAACTTAACGAGTCTCAGAATTCAGACATCACGGGCCCAGCAAGGCACAAGTGGCTGGCCCGTTCTCAGGTCACCCCGTTAATGAATCTGACATTTGATGCTTTGCTTTGTACAAGTGTTGTGTTTTCTTCAAGTGATAGAATTGGTGTTTCAAAGAGAAGGACGTGTCTGCCTGGATGTACACACACCCACACGTTTGTATGTGTGTGTATATGAGTGTATGTTGGGTAGGTGTGTGTGTGTATGAGTGTGTATGTTGGGTAGATGTGTGTGTATCTGCATACGCATGTGTGTGTATATGAGTGTGTGTTGGGTAGATGTGTATGTGCGTGTGTGTATAGTGTATGTTGGGTAAATGTGTATCTGTGCGTATGTATATGAATGTGTGTTGGGTAGATGTGTGTGTATCTGTGTGTATATGAGTGTGTAGGGTAGATGTGTATCTGCATCTGTGTATATGAGTGTGTATGTTGGGTAGACATGTATCTGTGCATATGCATGTGTCTATATGAGTGTTGGATAGATGTCTGTGTATGCATGTGTGTGTATATGAGTGTACGTTGGGTAAATGTGTGTGCATCTGTATGTGCATGTGCGTGCGTGTGTGTATACGAGTGTGTGTTGTGTCGATATGTTTGTGCATATGTATGTGTGTATGAGTGTGTGTCGGGTAGATGTGTATTGGTTTGTGCTTATTTGCATGTGTGTGTATGAGTGTATGTCGGGTAGATGTGTATTGGTTTGTGCTTATTTGCATGTGTGTGTATGAGTGTGTATGTCGGGTAGATGTGTATCAGTTTGTGCGTGTGTGTGTGTATGAGTGTGTATGTCGGGTAGATGTGTTATCCGTATGATGTGCATCTGTTCGGGTATTTCGTTGTGTGTATCTGTGCGTGTGTGTGTATATGTGTGTGTGTTTGGTAGATGTGTATCTGTGTATGTACGTGTGTGTGTATGTGTGTTGGATAGGTGTGTGTATCTGTGCATATGTGCGTGTGTGTGTGTGTCAGGTAGATGTGTATCGGTTTGTGCATATTTGTGTGTGTATGAGTGTATATGTCATAGATGTGTATCTATGCATATTTACATGTGTGTGAGTGTGTGTGTTGGGTAGATGTGTATCTGTGCGTATTTGCATGTGTGTGTATGTGTGTCGGGTAGATGTGTATTGGTTTGTGTATATGCCCATGTGTGTGTATGTCAGGTAGATGTGTATCAGTTTGTAGGTATTTGTGTGTGTGTGTGTTGGGTAGATGTGTGTATTTGCGTATTTGTGTGTGTGTGTATGAGTGTGTATGTCGGGTAGATGTGTATCGGTTTGTGCGTATGTGCATGTGTGTGTATGAGTGTGTTGGGTAGATGTGTGTGTATCTGTGCATATTTGCATGTGTGTATGAGTGTGTGTCGGGTAGATGTGTATCGGTTTGTGTGTATGTGCATGTGTGTATGAGTGTGTATGTCGGGTAGATGTGTATTGGTTTGTATGTTCGTGTGTGTGTATGAGTGTGTATGTCGGGTAGCTGTGTATCAGTTTGTATGTACCCGTGTGTGTGTATGAGTGTGTGTGTCGGGTAGATGTGTATTGGTTTGTGTGTATAAGTGTGTGTGTATGAGTGCGTGTGTCAGGTAGATGTGTTTCAGTTTGTATGTTCGTGTGTGTGTTGGGTAGATGTGTATTGGTTTGTATATACGTGTGTGTATGAGTGTGTGTGTCGGGTAGATGTGTATTGGTTTGTGCAAATGTGCATGTGTATGAGTGTGTATGTGGGGTAGATGTGTATTTTTATGATGTGCATCTGTTCAGGTATTTGTGTCTATGCATATTTGCGTGTGTATGTATGTGTGTTTGTTGGGTGTGTGTGTATGTACGTGTGTGTATATGAGTGTGTATGTCAGGTAGATGTGTATTGGTATGATGTGCATCTTCGGGTATTTGTGTGTGTATGTGTGTATGTGCGTATGAGTGTGTGTTTGGTAGATGTGTATCTGTGTATGTGCGTGTGTGTATAAGTGTGTGTGTTGGGCAGGTGTCTGTATGTACGTGTGTGTATAAGTGTGTGTATATGAGTATGTCAGGTAGTGTGTCGATTTCTGCATATGTGTGTTTGTGTATATGTGTGTGTTGGGTAGATGTGTCAGTTTGTGCATATGCATGTGTGTGTATGAGTGTGTGTGTCGGTAGATGTGTATCGGTTTGTGCGTATATGCATGCGTGTATATGAGTGTGTGTGTTGGGTAGATGTGTGTGTATGTACGTGTGTGTATGTGTGTGTGTTGGGTAGATGAGTATTGGTTTGTGCATATGTGCATGTATGTATATGAGTATGTCAGGTAGATGTGTATTGGTTTGTGCGTATGTGCATGTGTGTATATGAGTGTGTGTTGGGTAGATGTGTGTGTCTGTATGTACGTGTGTGTGTATGAGTCAGGTAGATGTGTATTGGTTTGTGCATATGTGCATATGAGTGTGTATGTAGGGTAGATGTGTATTGGTTTGTGCATATGTGCATGTGTGTATATGAGTGTATGTGGGGTAGATGTGTGTATCTGTATGTACGTGTGTGTGTATGAGTGTGTGTGTTGGGTAGAAGTTTGTGCATATGTGCATGTGTGTATATGAGTGTGTTGGGTAGATGTGTATCTGTATGTACGTGTGTGTGTGAGTGTGTATGAGTGTGTGTGTTGGGTAGAAGTGTGTGCATATGTGCATGTGTGTATATGAGTGTGTGTGTCGGGTAGATGTGTATCAGTATGATGTGCGTCTGTTCGGGTATTTCTTCCTTGGTGAAGAAGTACCTCTTATTTTGAGGATCATTCGCACTGGAGGTGGGAGCTGCATGACAGCTAGAACCCATCTGTCCTGCGGGCTCTGCGAGCCTCGCAGTGCTCGGGCTGGTGCTGTCGCTGTGCTGCAGATGCTACATTTCATCAGGGAGAATTAGCTGCATATCATAATTGGGCAGAAATATTTTATCTTGAGCTCAAACCGCAGAGTGTGTATCAAAGCCAAATTAAAATTTAAGATGATTTTCAGCTGTAGGTGATTATCTTAGTTGTATCTTTAGGTAAGTTGTAAGCAGCAGAAACTTGAAGCTTACACTAAAATATGGACTCCATTTTCTCAAGACTGCTTTACATAAGTCAGGATGAGCTTTCCCGTTTCCAGGCTCTTTGCTTGGAGGAGGCGTCCCACGTGTCTGTCTGTGCCCTTGCTCTCCTGTTTGTAGAGTCAGGAACTTCTCATGGCTGTTCATTTCTTTGCTCTCAAGCCCAGTGGAGAATCACAGGCAGGCCCTAAGTGATGTGTTCTGAGGCTGCGTGTCTGCACCAGCAGAGCCAAGGGGAGGCGCCTGCCTCAGCACTGGGTGACGCAGACCATTATCATGACCGATTCCTATGGGTGGTCAAACGCCCTGTGCTGTGGACGTCTCCCTCCCTAGGAAACACTGCTTTGTGTGTGGTGTGGGTGTTATGTGATGTGTGTGTGGTAATGTAGTGATGTGTGGTGTGTGTTGCATGTGGTATGTGTTGCATGTGTGTTGTGTGTAGTGTGTGTTGTATGTGTGGTGTGTAGTATGTTGCATGGTGTGTGTGTGTGCTGTGTGTTGTGGTGCACAGTGTGTTGTATATGTGGTGTGTGGTATGTAGTATGCTGCATGGTGTGGTATGTGTTGCATGTCTGTTGTGTGTAGTGTGTGGTGTGTGTTGTTTGTGTGTGGTGTGCTGTGTGGTGTGTGTTATGTGTAGTGCGTGGTGTACAGTATGTGTGTAGTGTGTGGTGTCCTGTGTGGTTTATGTGTTGTGTGTGGTGTGTAGTGTGTGGTGTGTAGTGTGGGGTGTCTGTTGTGTGTCGTGTGTGGTGTGCTGTGTGGCTTATCTGTTTGTGGTGTGTAGTGTGTGGCGTGGTATGTGTTGTATGTGTGTGGTGTGTAGTGTATGTGTGTAGTGTGTGGTGTGCTGTGTGGTTTATGTGTTGTGTGTGGTGTGTAGTGTGTGGCATGGTGTGTATTGTATTTGTGGTGTGTGTGCATGGTGCACAGTGTGTTGTATATGTGGTGTGTGTGGCACATAGTGTGTTGCATGGTGTGGTGTGTGTTGTAGGTGTGGTGTGGGGTATGTTGTGTGTGTGTGTGTGTGTTTGGTTGCCTGTGTCTCCTCACTCTGTGCTGGAGCCCTCTTTTCTCCTGAAGGCCCCCATGTTGTGTTCGTGGACACTGTGTGTTTCCCTGCAGGTGTCCTGGGGACTTGAGCCACCCTTGCAGGGGGACGGCCGCCCATCCCTGCCCCGGGGTAGGAGAGTGCCCCAGAGAACCAGTGATCTGGTCATTTTAAGGGCTTTCCAAATGGATGCCGAGGTGTTCACCCGGAGAGCAGGAGGCCGGTGTGGTTTGCTAGGGAACCTTCAGAGCCGACAATCCTGTGCCATTGCTGCTAATGGGCTCACCCTGGAGGGAAGGACAGGAGGGCCCCTGTCTGCAGCAGCCTCGCACTTTCTGGGGAAGGAGACCTATCACATTGGGTCATTTCCTGTCTGTGCTTGTGACTTTCCAGTAGAAAAAAGCTAGGGCTTTTCTTTGCATTCGAGTTTATTTTCTTGTAGTGGGTTTGCCGGCCATGCCTTTTGGACTGGAATATTTACCTCCTATGAGCAGTGGGTTAAAGAAAAAAAAAATCATCATGTTATCTTGGCTGACTTCTTTTCTTTTCCTTTGCGACTTCAACTGGTTGGAAGCTATCTGGTGAAGACAGCACAGCTTTTTGTCAGCAATTTGTACTGCTTGAGCAAGGTGTGATGCACTAGGTGAGGTCTCCTCTCTTCTTGCAAGGAGATTGAGGTTTTTGCCCTATTATCAGACTAATAATTTGTGATTCTCTTGGGCAAGTTTTCACCAGATTTCAGCTTAAACCTTAACAGATCAGCTATTAATTTCCAAGACACAGATGGCATTCTTTAAAAAAGGGGGACTTTTGTACATTTGGTTGTCCCACAGAAAGGAGAGGAATGTGGTTTAGAACTCGGTGTCACCTCAGCATCCACATGCTCTTGGTGCTGAGGTTCAGATGGGAGGATGGTAGGGCTCGGCTTTTCCAGGCATGATTTTCTCTCTCACATTTTCTGATGGACACAGTAATCCTTTGCCATTTACATTTTTATCCTTTTTACAAACTAGAGGGATTCTTGAAGACTGGACGAAGGGCAGGACAGCCGCCCCAGTCCTCCAAGGACAACTTTAAAATGATTTCATGTTAGGTTTCCAGAAGGAATCACAGGACGGACACCAGGTATAGGGAGGAGGGAGCCCCTTACCTCTCAGCAAAGAGGAACCTGCCTTCTAAATCCAGAGGCAAGAGCTTCAGAGACCACGGCTCACACACACATGCCTCTCTCTGCCTACCCCAGACCCCACTGGATTGGGATGTATTCTGCGGAACGACCACGCTGAGCCAGTGAGGTGGATTTTGGGGAAGTGAAACCTGTAGTCAGGAAAACATGGGAGCTGAGGCAGAGGCTTGAGTCTGGGGTGGCGGCCACAGTGCTGTTGGAGAAGGTGGCCTGGGCCCTTGACCCACGGAAGTCCGGCATCCAGGGTCAGGGTCCCACGGCAGCCCCGAGACCTAGAATGTGGCAAACGCCCCTGTGCTTGGGTTTCCTGGTCTCTGGAGTGGCAGCCGCAGTGTGTGGCTCCTGGACTGTGGAGAGATGAACGGGGCTCAGGTGGAGCAGAGCCCGGGCCACGTGCAGAGGATGCAGGGCGCAAGCAGAGGAGGACGCAGGGTGCACGCAGAGGAGGACGCAGGGCACAGGTGCACGGATGAGCAGCCTCTGTCAGCAGTGGGAAGAACACAGTGTTGCTTGAAAGAGGAGGAGCCAATGGATTTCCACGAGGGGAAGCTGGAGAGGTTGGAGCCCTGAGTCTTGCGGGGAGGCCGGCTGAGGGAAGAATGTGCAAAAAGTGGCATGGGGCGGCGTTGACCTCTCCGATGCCTCTCAATGCTAACAAGGGAGACAGCTGCAGCTGAAATGTTTCTTCCTTCAAGTGTTTCTTATGACAAAACTTTCTTGCACCTCGGAGAAGGCAAGCAGCAAAATGGCAGATGGTACCGGGCCACCGTTAGGGGCTGCTGCGTGCTCACCTCTGTGGGGGTTCAGTTGGAATGTGGAATTCAGAGAGGCCAGTGAAGGCAGGGATCCGCCGGCCAGGGAGAGGAACTTTGGAACCAGAAGTCTGGAAGGAGGTGGGGGCTTCGGTCTCTCCATCTGCCACCCTCAGTGAGTGCCCTGGCCCTGCAGGTTCCCCCAGCCCCTTCCTCGGCTCACTGTGAGATGTGAAATGTGAAACCCACCGAGTGCTCAGGAACCACTGCCCGCTCTCCGGGGGCTGGTGTGGCGGAGAGGAAGTTCCGCCGCCCGCTGTCCTGGGGGCTGGTGTGGTGGAGAGGAAGTTCCGCCGCCCGCTCTCCGGGGGCTGGTGTGGCGGAGAGGAAGTTCCGCCGCCCGCTGTCCTGGGGGCTGGTGTGGCGGAGAGGAAGTTCCGCCGCCCGCTCTCCGGGGGCTGGTGTGGCGGAGAGGAAGTTCCGCCGCCCGCTGTCCTGGGGGCTGGTGTGGCGGAGAGGAAGTTCCGCCGCCCGCTGTCCTGGGGGCTGGTGTGGCGGAGAGGAAGTTCCGCCGCCCGCTGTCCTGGGGGCTGGTGTGGCGGAGAGGAAGTTCCGCCGCCCGCTCTCCGGGGATGGTGTGGCGGAGAGGAAGTTCCGCCGCCCGCTGTCCTGGGGGCTGGTGTGGCGGAGAGGAAGTTCCGCCGCCCGCTGTCCTGGGGGCTGGTGTGGCGGAGAGGAAGTTCCGCCGCCCGCTCTCCGGGGATGGTGTGGCGGAGAGGAAGTTCCGCCGCCGCTGTCCTGGGGGCTGGTGTGGCGGAGAGGAAGTTCCGCCGCCCGCTGTCCTGGGGGCTGGTGTGGCGGAGAGGAAGTTCCGCCGCCCGCTGTCCTGGGGGCTGGTGTGGCGGAGAGGAAGTTCCGCCGCCCGCTGTCCTGGGGGCTGGTGTGGCGGAGAGGAAGTTCCGCCGCCCGCTCTCCGGGGCTGGTGTGGTGGAGAGGAAGTTCCAATCCTAGTGGCTGCCCAGGAGGCCTCACCGCTCAGGAGCCCCTCAGGGGTTCAGCGAGAAGAGCGCATCACGAGAACCAGCAGGGTGCCAGGACGGGGTGCAGCCGAGGTCCGGACTGATGCTTCCTGCTCGTCCTTCCTTGTTAGAGTAAAGGAAACCCTGAGGATGCTGAAGATGGATTCTGTGTTTCTGGCGCCAGGGCAGATTTCAGGGGTTCTGTTTTGTTCTTCAGCCTCCACGCTGTGTTGTGACTTCCTGTTCAGAAAGCGCAGTCCTCACCTCTGTAGAGGCCCCTCCTGAGGGCGGACATGCCCTGCCTTGTCACTTGCTCCTCTTTGCTTTGTGGTCTTAAAAGAATATCTGTAGCATGATGGATTTATTATCATTTAAGAAGATTTCAGGTGGTGTGGGGTTATAGCCCCGATGGGTAAACATGTTCACGGTTGCTTGTACATTAGAAGAGAAGAAGGCGAGAAGGAGTGGCATGGGGGTGGGGCAGGAAAAAGAGGAAGAAGAAGTAAACAAAAACTCTCCCAAACCTCAGCATCCCCGACAGTCCAGCCCATCCTGCTGGGAGCGGCCGTGGGAAGTACGCGAGGCAGGGGGGTGGCCGTGGGAGGGACGCGAGGCAGGGGGCGGCTGTGGGAGGGACTTGAGGCAGGGAGGTGGCCCTGGGAGGGACTTGAGGCAGGGGGTCGGCCGTGGGAGGGACTTGAGGCAGGGAGGTGGCCCTGGGAGGGACTCGAGACAGGGGGGCAGCCCTGGGAGGGACTTCAGGCAGGGAGGTGGCCCTGGGAGGGACTCGAGACAGGGAGGCGGCCGTGGGAGGCACTTGAGGCAGGGGGGTGGCCATGGTTGGGCCTGAGCCATGTCTCGCCAGCCCGGCAGCTCAGTGGGCTCTGTGCCCCACCCGGCTCCCTCCATGGCCAGCTGTCTCCCCTCCTATGGCTCCATCCATGCTGTCTCCCCTTCTCCCCTCTTCCCTTCTCCCACCCTGGTCCAGGCCATCTGAGCCTCTTGCCTCCGCACTGCGGGGCCTTCTCTCTTGCGCACCAGCATCACGGCTCTTTCTTTCTCACCCGCCGTGCACGTTGAACCCAAAGAGGACTCGACAAAACCAAATCTGGCCCCGTCACCCTCTCCTGTTGGAATCTGGCTGTGACTCCACTGGTCCTGAGATACAGACCCCAGCCCCAGCGTGGCCCAGGCTGACCAGCAGCTCTGCAGGTGCATCTTGGGGACACTCCACCAGGCCCTCCCTCCGCCCCGGCAGCTGGGCTCCTGCAGAAGGTCCCAGCTCTGCACCTGTCCCGTCTGGGAGGCAGCTTCCTGTTCACGTCTTCTCCCCATTCAGAGAGGTCTGTCCACACCCCTCTTTCCCAAGTCTCTTTGTCACCAATTTTCCATTATGTTTCTTCAAGACTCTGAGCATCTGGCCAAACCATTGGCCATGGCCTATTAATTTGTAATAATCACACATTTGGCTATTTCTCTTTCCAAGCAAAGTAAACCAGATGTACAGCCTATAGTTCTGCCCATTGGAGAATTTCCCTTCACCGCTGTCCTTTTAAGGATGTTCCAGAAAGGGGCAGTAGTGCTGCAGTTGTCCACTAACGTGGGGGCCTGCATATCATGCAGAACCATCTGTAAACCAGGCCCAGGTCTTCCTCCGTCAGCTGATTTTAGGGAACTCTCCAGGAGACTGTAGGTGCAGGCTGGGAGAGAGAAGGCAGCATAGCGGGAGTGGGGACCGTTGGCATTGGCGGCACTTCTTTATGTAACTTGTGCCTTTAGGGCCTACTTAGGCCCAGACACATACCACTTCCATTTGATGATGGAATGCTGCTGTGTACACCCAACTTTCTGGCTTGGTGGGTCGGAAAACATTCAGTTCATGATGGGCAACTCAGGTCCCATGGTAACTTGGTGGTCCATGTCGGCACGGGATCTGAGGTCGAATCAGATTAGAGAACCAGCTCCGCCTGGGTCGGCACGGGATCTGAGGCTGAATCAGATTAGAGAACCAGCTCCGCCTGGGTCGGCACGGGATCTGAGGTCAAATCAGGTTAGAGAGCCTGTTCCGCCTGGGTCGGCACGGGATCTGAGATCCAATCAGATTAGAGAACCAGCTCTGCCTGGGTCAGCACGGGTTCACGGCTCCTGCTGGAGGCACTTCCCGATCCTATTTGGCACACTTTTTAAAGGTGACGCTATATAGACCTTCCGTACCTAGATCTTTAGTTAGCTGCTGGCATTTAAAAAGTGTTTATAGTGAGCAGTACAGTCTCATCCTTATGCCAAAAAATAAGTTGTCAGAATACAGTGGTTTTCCTCTATTGATTTTCTGCCTGGAAGAGTCGATGGTGTGGACAGCCCCACTAGCAGTGGTCCAGGGTCGTTGGCCTGGGTGCGGCACACGAGCTCCGGGGCTGCATGGCGGTCCGCAGGAGGAAGGTTCAGTTTGGGTGCACAAAGCATCAAAACCTCCTTCTCCCAGACCCTGACATTAGACTCCTGCAGGAAGAGAGTGGGCGTGCAGGGGATCCAGGGTGGAGACAGACATGGTGTCGGTCACTGCGGCGTCGGTCACCATGGCGTCGGTCACCGTGGTGTCTGTAGGATACTGTGGCGCCTGTCAGTCACCACGCGTTGGTCAGGGCACCTCCCCAGCCCACTGTTTGCCACCCTCGAAGCGTTGCTTCTCTGCATGGGGGAGGTTCCCGTGGGCTGGAAACATTTTAACTACTTTATAAGATGATTTAAATAGAATAAATTTCATGGTTTGTTTTAATGATGAACAGGGATAACTAGAATAATTGGTTGATCCCAAGAAACCTCGTTTATCTATTGGTTTTGAGTATTGTCTTATCAAAAGAGTTTATATCAAAGTTGACTCATTTTCCCTTCACATTTGGCTCCCTAGCTCCTGGTGGGTTTTGCAGTAAATAGTAAAATGTCCCAGATCGGGCTGGTGAAGCTGCAGAAGCACAGAGCATGGTCAGCAGGAGGGTCGGTCATGGCGGGTCCTGTTCTTGGCTTGATTTCATCTGGCCCACAAGGAAGAGGCAGTAACAAGGCTGCCAAAATGAGACGTGGAGAAGTTTTATGCAGGCTTCCTTCGGTTTTGTTAAGAACAAGTGTAGGTCGCAACAGGTCCCCGGGCTCACCCCACCTTTCTGGGCACCTACGTTGGAACATAGCCTGAATGATAAAGTGTTCCGTTTGAGCTTTTCTCCTGGGAGTTTCCTAGTAGTGTAATTTTGGGCAATGACTTTAGTTTCTCTAGCCTCGGTTTCTCTTTTAAATGAGGCCAATAATAGTGTGTTCCTCAGGGGTCTGCTGAATGCCAGATCCCACCGCTGTGTGGGGCCTCAGTGTGGCGTCCAGCACAGGAGCTTCCCAGAGTTTTTACTACTCTTTATATTTCCGACCCCTACGTACTTTTCACTAGTCTGATTTTTAGGGGTGACACTCCCGTAGTCATTTTCTGCTCATGCGTCCACCCGTGCACTCATTTCGGGGTGATGTGGATGCCACACGGAAGACCCAGCACTGTGCCGGGGCTGAGAGGACACCGTGGAAGAGGGACACTGTCACTTCTTACTCTGAGCCTCCCTCCAGTGAGTGCTTGCCGAGGCCTTAGGGCCTCCCATGTGGCTGATTCAGTAGATCCATAGGAACAGGCTTGTCCAACGTGGTTGAGCTTAGAGACGTCACAAACTTGCCACTGTCCTTCAGAACTGAAAGACTCTAGAGAGAGGAGACGCCATCTTCAGCTTTGAAAGTCCTTTCCACTGCCCTCACAGGCACTCCTAGCTCTGACCCTGACCCCATAAAAGTTCTCATGCCTGTTTCTCTTCTACGGCAATATTAGTGTCCAGGTATTGAGGGTGGAAGCCGCCACATGCAGACACAGCACGTCGCACCTGCTGGATCCTCCCACTCATTTTCAGGATGACGTCCAACTGCTTTCTAAGGAAGTTCAGGCCTCGGAATGACAGATGATGGCTGTGGCTTTAGAGATGAAATAGGAATGGCTGCGTGATCATTGTGAGCACAGTCAGCCCTGTCTTGTTTGTCTGCTTTACAGAATGGAGCCAGCACTCTTCTGCTTTACAGAGGAGCCGTGATGCCCCTGCCCACCTGGCCGGCACTGTCACCCTTGCCAGGCTGAGGAAGGAAGGGAGTGGACTGCACGTCCCGTACACTTTGTATAACTGGGGACACCTTGGCTTGTGGAGGCAGCGGGTTCACAAACACATTCTGGGCTTGTGGACTTCCTTGTTGTGTTCAGGGTGTTGTAGGAGTCTTGTGGATGCTTCTGTTGGTTTCCATATTGGAGCATGGAGGGCAGAGGGCTGGGCCCAGGATTCGTGGTGGAGCCCCTCCCATGTCCTCATACCATCCCCTTGGTTTGAAACATGCTAGAAAAGGAGACTCATGGAATTTGGTAGCAAACATTGATTGGGAAGTTGGCTTATGCTCCGCAGGGGGCAGTAGGCTTGGAAGAAACAAACTCAGATGACACGTGGCTCCTGCCCTCAATGAGTTTGCAGTTTGTAGGGGGAGGCAGGATTAAAATATGAAAGTACTGGAGACCTTTTAAAATAAGTCATGAGCTGAGTGGTGCTGATCAAAGCACACAGGGAGTTTTAGGGAAAGCCTGAAGAGCAGCAGTTTCTGTCTTTGCTGATTGGAGTGGTGTGGTCGGTCCTAGCCTTCTCCACCTGCCCTTCTGCACCTGCCCTCTTCCTAATGGCTCCAAGGATGGGGAGGCCCAGGGAGGCTGGGGTGCAGGGGGCTGAGGCAAGGCAGGTCAGCGATGGGAGCAGGTAGGCTGGCCCTTTGGAGCAGTCACCACCAGGCCCAGGCAGAGAGAAAAGCCCAGGCTGCTGGGGAGCACAGGAGCCGGGAGGAAGGAACCTGCAGCCACACGAAAAAAAGGAAGGGCTCATCTGGAAGCATCGCACTTGCCTGCCAGGAGGGTTTGGCTTGGAGCAGGGAGGCTGGTTGGATGCAAGTCTGGAGTTCCCAGCAGCCTGGGCTGGTCTCAGCCGGGGTGGAGCTGAGCCGGCTGTGGTGGGTCATTGCTCTGTCCAGCTGCAGCCTGAGTTTGTCTTTGTAGCCCCGCCTGGCTCCCTTCCCTGTTGCCTCCCTTCTGGCCCAACATCTGGCCATTCTGACACTTTTTCTGGCACCAGTGCCCTTCACAAGCTGTTCAGATGGCCCTGGAGGATGTTTTGGGACAGGAGCTGACCTGGGTTAGAGCAGACATCCAAAATGTACAGGAAAAGAGAGGACATCTGGGACCCCTCCCCTTCCAGCAGCCACTCTTTAAAGGAAAATGGCTTGTTTCTCAATTGTAAAATTACACAGAATGCAGCCTTGAAAAATCCACTTTAAAGAACACGCCACAGGCTTTCCTTGGAGACAGGGAGCAGAAAGGAGCTTTGCCAGGGATCCAGCAGGAACTTGGCTCAGCTTTCTCCGTGAGCCACAAGGAGTGTTCTGCTGAAATAGAGATTGGACGAAGGCTGGTACACTGCCTTGGATGTGGGGAGCAGCCACACGTCATGGTGCTTTTATACTAATCACCTTGTTTCATCTTCCCAATTTCTTGTATTTTATTAACATATAGATAACATAAAGTTTACTGTCTTACCCATGTTTAAGCATAGAATTCAGTAGCGTTAACATTTGTGCTATTGTGCAACCATCACCGCTGTCCATCCCCAGAGCTCTTTTCATCCTGTAAAACTGAAGTTTCATCCCCATTAAACACTACCCTACCCCAGCCCCTGGCAGCCTTCACTCTACTCTGTGTCTCTCTGAATTTGAGGATTCTAGGAACCTCACATGGGTAGACACACAGAATTTGTCCTTTTATGCCCAGGTTATTTCAGTTACCATCATGTTTCAGGGTTCATCCCTGTTGTCGCATGTGTCTGAATTTCTTCCTGTTCAGGGCTAAATAATATTCTACTTTTGGTGCAGGCCACGCTTTGCTCCTCCATTTGTCCATCACTAGGCCCTTCAGTTGCCCCCATGCTTTAGTGATTGAGAATAATGCGGCTGTGAATGTGAGGCACTAACATCTCTTTGAGACCCTGTTTTCAATTCTTTTGGGCAAAGTAGTCTCCCCCTTATCTAAGGGGGAGACATTCCAGGAACCCCAGTGGATGCTTGAAACTTCAGATAGTGCAGAACCCTATATAAACTATGGCTTTTCCTATACATACATACCTATGATAAAGTTTAATTTATAAATTAGAGTATGAGATTAACAACAGTAGTGATAAAATAGAACAATTATAACAATTTACTGTAATAGAAGTTGTGTAAATATGGTGTCTCTCTCTCTCTCTCTCTCCCTCTTTCAAATATCTTCTTGTACTGTACCTCAGGTACCTAAAACACAGAAAACAAACTGCAGCTAATGGGGGACTACTGTAGATACCAAGGAGTGGAGTTACTCGATCAAAGTGCAATTCTATTTTTCATTTTTTTGAGGAGTCTCCATACTCTTCCACACTTGATATACCGTGTTACATTCTCACCAACAAGGCACAGGAGTTCCAATTTAGCCACATCTTTGCCAACGTTTACTATTTTCTGGGTTTTTTTCTTCTTACAGTGGCCATCCTGATAGGTATGAGGTGGTATCACATTGTAGTTTTGATTTGTGTTTTCCTAATGATTAGTGATGTTGAGCATCTTTTCATGTGCTTTTGGCCATTTGTATATTTTCTTTGGAGGAAAATGTCTATTCAAGTCCTTTGCCCATTTTTAAATGGTATTGTTTGTATTTTTGTTGTTGAGTTTTAAGAGTACTCTATACACGCTAGGTACATTATGAGGTTTCTTAAATAGTGATGTAAATATTTTACTTTCCTTTAATAGTCAAAATGAGAAATTTTACGTTAAACTAAAAATGTAGCAATAATACACTCACAGTGCTATCTCTTATATTAAAAGAAGATATTGGCCAGGTGTGGTGGCTGATGCCTATAATTTCAGTACTTTGGGAGACCAAAGTGGTGGATTTCTTGAGCCCAGGAGCTTGAGACCAGCCTGGGCAACATGGCAAAACCCCATCTCTACAAAAAATAGAAAAGTTAGCAAGGCATGCTGGCATGAACTTGTAATGTCAGCAAATGGGAAGGCTGAGGTGGGAGGATCACCTGAGCCTGGAAAGGTTGAGGCTGCAGTGAGCAACGATCATGCCACTGCACTCCAGCCTGGGCGACAAAAAAAGAAGACATTATTGACATGCTTGAAAACAAAGACTGTCATGTTTATGCTTATAGTTAATGCAAATAGATATCCCTTGTTGTGTACTATAGAAATAGTCCTTAAAAGATCTGTGGAATATCATATTTTGCTAATCTCTGTCTTTTGATTGGAGAGTTTAATCTATTTACATTTAAAGTAATTAATGATGAGGAGGGACTTCTGTCATTTTAATATTTGTTTTCTATGTGCATTATGGATTTTTTGCCACTCATTTTCTGCATTACTATCTTCTTTTGTGTTTAGTAGATTTTTAAAAATTAAATGCCTAAATTCCTTTCTTCTTTTTGTACGTATTATGTAGCTATTTTCTTTGTATTTATCATAGAGGATTAGATTTAACATCTGAAAATTACAACACTAACTTAAATTTATACTAGCTTGACTTCAATAACATACAAAAATTATGCTCCTTTATGCTATTTACCCACCCTTTTTGGCTATTGATATCACAAAATTGCATCCTTATACATTGTATGTCCCAGGATATAAACTAATAATTGTTTAAAATTTATTCGTTTCTTAAATTATGTAGAAAACAAAATGTGGAGTTACAAACCAAAGTTATAATACTAGTTTTAACTAGTAATTGTTTTTAAGATATGTACTAGTCTCTTAAATCATATAGAGAACTAAAAGGAGTTACAAACCACTGTTACAATAATACTATATTTTATAATTCACCATATATTTGCCTTTATTGAGATTTTAATTTTTTATATGGCTTTGAGTTATTGTCCAGTGTCCTTTCATTTCATCCTGCAGGGCTCCTTGGAATATTTCTTGCAAGGCAGGTCTAGTGATAACAAACTCTCTCAGCTTTGGTTTATCTAAGAATGTCTTAATTTCTTCTTCACTTTTGAAGTGCAATTTTGTTGGATATAGGATTCTTGGTTGACAGGTTTTTTTTTTCTTTTCCTGTAGCACTTGGAATATATTGGTTCACTGCTTTCTGTTCTGCAAAGTTTCTGCTGATAATATTATTTGGAAAGCCTGGTGTGTGATGAACTGCTTCTTTCTTGCTGCTTTCAAATGTAAGAGGAGAATTCTCTGTTTGTCCTTGTCTTTTAACAATTTAGTTAAAATGTGTCTCTGAGTTAATTTTACTTGGAGTTCACTGAGCTTCTTGGATGCTTATATCCATGTCTTTCATCAAACTTGGGAAGTTTTCAGGTATTGTTCTTCAAGTATTTTCTCTGCCCCTTTATCTCTTTTTTTTCTTTTGGGCACAATTTCCTCTCACAATTCATATACTGGTTCTCTTAGTGGTATCCCACATGTCCCTTAGGGTTTTGTCACTTTTCTTCAATCTTTTTTTCTATTTCTTAGACTGAATAATTTCCATTGTCCTATCTTCAAGTTCACTGATTCTTTATTTTTCTTGCTCAAATCTGCCTTTGAATCTCTCTAGTGAACTTTTTAATTTCAGCTATTGTATTTTGAGCTTCAGAATTTCTTTTATATTTTAGGTTTTCTCTTTGACATTTTCATTTTTCATACATAATTTTTCTGACTTTCTTTACATCTTTCTTTTGTTCTTCAAGCATTTTTATGACAATTGTTTTAAAGTCTTTGCCTAGTACATCTGCCATCAGGTCTTTTTTTAGAGACAATTATTGTTGACTTACCTTTTTCCTTTGAATGGGCTGTAGTTTCTTGTTTCTTTGTTTCTTGTTTCTTGCAATTTTTTGTTGAAAACTAGAAATTTTAATCTAACTCTGGAAATCAGATTGTCTCTCCATAGGTTTGCTATTTTTTGTTTATCTTTCTTTTAAATTTTTTGTAGGCTGTCTTTGTGCCAAGGATCAGCCTGAGGTGTAAACTTGTGGTATTATCTGAGCCTTTCCCTGAGCATGTGTGGTGACTTTCTAATTTTCCCTGTATATTCAGTTACTTTTGAATATTCTGGTCTTTAATTTCTGGCTCCCAAAAGCGGAAAAAGAGAAAAATGAAGGTGGGAAAAATGGGTGTTAGCATTTTAAATCCCCTGTAAGTCATTTTGGCCAGAGGGGGAGGAGCAACAACAATGAGGAGGTGGCCAAACAATGGTGCCCTCCTCCTTTCCTGCACCTCTGTGATGAGAAGCAGCAATCAGCAGTGAGATTGCAGATTCCCAATATTTGGAGGACAACATCTGTATTGCCTGTTCTGGCTCCTGCCAGTGTGTGCAGGCTGCTCCAGGAACATGTGCACAGCTGCTTGCCACAGGGCTGAAGGTGAGTAGCGGTAGCTCCTACTGTGATGAAAGCTGACATTGACTGCAAGGTGTATCCAGACCTTCCACTAGAAGTCGGAGGCCTTCATTAGGCTTCAGAGTTCAAGGATCAGTTACATCAGACAGATCCTACTAGCACAGTGTTGTCAGGTGGGAGACAGATTCCTGGTGTTTCCTACTCACCATCTTCCCAAAACTAATTCATGCTTTACTTTAGTTTTACAGAAACTTTATAAATTGAGTGGGGTTCATTTAATAGTTTACATTTTAATGATTTTTAAAATGTTGGATTTTTTGCTGTTTTTGACATTCTCGTGTTCATTCATTCATGCAGTTAATGCCAATGTAGAATCTACTTGTGGAATGAGTACTTGTGTCCATGTGCAGGGAGAGGTGCATGGTGCAGTAGCCAAAGCCTACCCCACGTGGGTGAGGTCCTTACTTCACCGCTCCATGCAGGGTGTGCAGAGCGGGCCTGTCTTATAAAACTCAAGTTCCCAGTTACTCACCTGAGCGAACCAGGCTCCTTCCCTGTTCCATCTGAGGGTGGCACAGGGTGGAGTGTGAGGGATGGGCTCAGTGCAGACAGTTGAGGGCCCACCCAGTCTTGTCATATCTTCACCTGATGCCTTGAAGGCAACACAGACTCCGTGTGTTTGATGCTGACCTCAGGATCTTTCCTCTGTCCTGGGGCTGTCCTGAGTCCACTCGCAGTGCTATAACAAAGCACCATGGATGGGGCAGCTTAGAAGCAATAGGAATTTCTTCCTCACAATTCCAGGGGTTGGAATCCAGATGCCAGTAGATTTTTGGGTTCTTGGTGGAGGCACACTTCTGGGTTGCAGATGGCATTTTCTCACATGAAGGAAAAAGATCTACAGAGCCTCTTGTAGAGGGCACTGATCTCATTAGGAGACTCCACCCTCATGACCTGACCACCTCCCATAGGCCCCTCCTCCTCACACCTTCACCTTGGGGCTAAAGATTGGAACATACAGATTTTAGGGGTCACAATTAGTTCATAGCAGCCTGCTTCAGAAAACAGCATCTGCTCTGCTGTCCCTTCAACCCTGCAGAGCCCACCTTTCTCACTCACAGTTCTGAACACCTTACCCGCTGACACATCGCAGTCTATGACCATGTCCACTTCAGTCACCATTACCACGGTCCATGCTGCTTGAGCTCATGTCTCATTGAGACAATCTGGAGGCCACCAGCTGTTTCCCTTCTGTCTCCTCTGGTCTCCAACCTGTTCTTTATCCAGGGGAGGGAACTTTTGTTGTTGTTGTTGTTGTTATTTTGGATATGGGGTCTTGCTCTTTCACCCAGGCTGGGATGCAGTGGTTATTCACAGGTGCAATCATAGCTCATTGCAGCCTTGAGCTCCTGGACTCCAGTGATCTTGGCTCCTCAGCCTTCTGAGAAGCTGGGACCAGGAGAGTGGGACAGTGCCCTTGCCTAGGCCCTGTTGATAGCTCGCCATTGTATTTGGGATAAACTCCAATCCCTTAATGGGTGAGGAGCACCCATGTAGTTGGCTCCCTTCCTTCTAGCCATCCGTGCCTCCCCTGCCCCTTCTCTCAAGTTCTCTGAGTGACTGTGCTACCCGAGGGCATTTGCTTGCTGTTTCCATCCCTGCGTCTGCCTCTCGCGCTCTGTGCCTTAGACTAGTAACACGATCCATTCTCTCAGCCCTGTGGTAGTTCTTGGGGACCCTTCTGGGGCTCCCTTACCCCAGCCTGGACCAGGCTCCCATGTAGGCCCCAGGGCCGTGGCCGGTGGCTTCTCTTTTCCCTGGGGTTTGCCATGGGTTTTTTAATGCATATTCTTTACCGTTGTTCCTGCCAGATTAGAGGCTGCCGGGGGCCGCTGGCTCCTCCTCCTCTCTCATCTCTGCTTCCATAGCTCCTGGCTCAGCCTGGTACCACAAGTGCTCAGGAAGTATTTCTTAGATGAAGAGTAGAGCATTCCCGCGGCACGTCTTCCACATCCCTCCCAACTGATGTGTAGATTGCCTGAAGCTGAGCGACCTACGTTAGTCTAGGGTTGGAAGTCATGTGGCTTTGTTGCTGATTTTATGGTGTGGGAGTTTGGCCAAGGGGTTCCCAAAGCAGATGCCTGAACAAGTGTCAGCACCAGTGGGAACCCACGAGAAACACAGATTCCCAGGCCTGACCTGTGGCCTCCTGACTCCGAAACGCTGGAGGGTGGCTGGGGCATCTGCATTCCTGGTGAGTCCTTGGCCCATCCTGGTGAGTCCTTGGCCCACTCAGGTCCCAGAGCCCTGGACTGGGCAGGGAAGGCCTGTGGTACGTGGATGCAGCCTCACCTTTCCATTGCTGTAACCACTCCCAAACTGGACCAGCTGTCACCTTCACCTACAAAGGGTTTTTTTGTTTGGTTTGGTTTTTTTATTTTAAATACACTGTCCTGGGCTCCAGTTGCAGCCACACTGGCTGGGCAGGACAGGCATGGGCCTGGACACCCTCCCCAGGTGGCTCTGAGGGGTACCCAGATGTAGGGGCCACCGGTCTCCCTGGAGGTACCGGGCTTTTGGGACAGGCTCAGCCCCTGAGCTCAGATGTGGCTCCTCCCTGAGTGGAAGGCGGCCTGTGCCCCAGCTGGTCCCGGATTGCTACGTGCCTCGAAGTCCTGGCCAAGGATGGTAGGCTGTGTCCCTGGTGGCCACAACAACAGCTTGTAGCGTCGACGCCATCAGATGGCTTTCTTGTTGCAGGTGCGAGGCCCATGAGAATCCACCTCAATGCGTCTCTCTGTCCCCAGGAAGGATTCATAACCCCCAAGAACTACCCTCTCTCTCCAGCTAGTGCAGCTGCGCTCTGAGGCTAGACTAGTCACGGCATGCGCCTGCTCATGAGTCTGAATCTGCAGGCCCTGCTGAGGTCCTCTCCCCAAGGGGTCCCTGAGTGTAAGTCATGGATAGAGAATGCCTGGGGTCTCCAGCCCTGGTGCCAGTTCTGTTACCATTGTCCTACTCCTGCCTAAGGCCTCTGCCTGCTCTGGGCACACACAGCCATGCCCTACATCCAGCACCTTGTCTCATCACTCCTATCCCTATGCTAGCATCCTAGACGTCTTCCAGCTTAACAGAAACTGCCCCTCTTGCCCCCAGAACCCTGGGCAGCTCTTACAGTGTTGGCCCCATCTCTCCTTTCCTACTCTCCATCCCTCCAATGCTGAACAGGCTGCAGGTCCCTACAGCCTTGCAGAAGAGCTCCTGTGAGGTCAGCCCACAGCCATCATGACCCGCTAAGCTCGGCCTCAGCTCCCCATCCTCATCTCTCTGGACCAATCTGAGGCCCGGCCCTTCTCCTTCTTGGAATTCTTGCCAGCTCGCTGCTTGCCTCTGTCACAGTCCTTTTCATTCTCTTTTGCCAGTTCCCCTCATTGCCCTAAATGTTGGGGGGCCCTCAATGCTGGGGGGCCCTAAATGCCGGGGGGCCCTCAATGCTGGGGGATCCTAAATGCTGGGGGGCAAGGCTCCGTCTTAGGTGCTCCAGCTTCAGTCACCCTCCTGAGGCCAGTGAACACCTCTGGTCGTACAGCTCCCCGGTCTCGGCATTCATGATGCACTGCCCCCAGCACCCAGCCTGGACGCCCTGCTGTGGCCTCTGACCTCTGCACTCACAGGCACATCGCCCCTCAGTACCCAGCCTGGGCACCCTGCTGGGGCCTCTGACCTCTGCACACATGGATGCACTGCCCTCAGCACCCAGCCTGGATGCCCCGCTGGGGCCTTTGACCTCTGCACTGACAGACACGTCGCCCCTCAGCACCTAGCCTGGACGCCCTGCTGGGGTCCCCATGTCCACGTGTGCAGGATGTAAACTCCTGACTCTGTCAGCACCACTCCCAGCTGGGCCTTCCTGGGGCTTCTGCCCATCTTGTGTTTTCCCAGTGCCAGCGGACTCCACCGGCATGGCCTCAGATGTCCCTCCAGATCCCCAGGCTCCCCACCGGACAGCCGTGGTGGCCAGCTCAGGCCCCTGCCCCAGCTGACGGCCTCCTGCACTCGTCTCCAGGCCATGTCCACCCAGCTGCTCTGTGACTTCACCTCCTCACCATGTGGCACCGCGGCCCCCTTGCCTTCTCTGCTCACTGTCTGATACCCTGTTTCCAGCTCCTTCACCTCTGTTCAAACGGGGCCCCACTGGAGAGGCCTCCTATAGCCCACTTTACAAGACAGTCTCTCCTCTCTGCCCTTCCCTCCACAGCCCTGCATGCCACTTCTCTACCCAGCTGTCTCCTCCAGAGAACTTGTCAGCCGACAGGAGCTAGTCTGCCTGGGCTGCTGGCGCACACTTCCAAAGTGGGAAATCCATCTTCTCCCTGTCCTGGAGGCTGGAAGTCCAAGACCCAGGTGTGGGCAGGGCTGGTTCCCCTGAGGCTGAGGAGGGTCTGCTCCCAGCCTCGCCCCTGCTGCTACTGGCCTGAGATGACTTCAGCTTGTGGGTGGTTTCTCCCCATGTCTTTGCGACACCCTGTGCGTTTGTCTCTGAGTCCAAACCCTCCTTTTATACGGACACCAGTGATATTGGCTTAGGGTTCACCCTATTGACCTCAGCTTAACTAAATCTATGATAGCCCTATTTCCAAATCAGTTCACATTATTTGGGTTTTAGGATTTCAACATATGAATTTTTAGGTGACATAATTCAACCCATCATAGCATGATTGATTTCTATTCACCAGCATCTCTAGAATGTGAACCCCTCGAGGGCAGGGCTGGTCTTGCTGTTCATTGCTGTATTTGGAAGCAGCTCCTGGTGCCCTGCAGGCATCCTGCACGCTCACTGGATGAGGAATGCAGGCGTTTTGGTCTGCTGGGGTGAAAGCCTTTGCGGTACAACATGCTTTTACATAATATTGTAACTTAATACTCCATTAAAGTGGTACTAACAGGATTTCACAGGCAACTTGTGACTTTCAACCTGAATGCTGGCCTTCAGGATGAGTCATCAAGCTGCAAACCACCCTGGTGACGGCTCTTGCCTCTTGACGGACAGGTCCCCAGCCAGGTGGCCTTGTGGGGAGTCTGCGGCCACAGTGCCTTCCGGGAGTGCCCCCGCCCCCTGCCCTGAGTTGCTGCCAGTGGGCTGGCTGCCTGGTTTCCATGCTCACACTTCCATTGGGTAGTTAAATTGCCCCTCACTGGGGCCTGGTTCACATCAGAAATGAGCCCATTAAAAACAGATGCTTTCTCCATGGATCCGCCCCATCCTCAGTCAGAGTCCCAGCATCCGCCGCACCTGCCTGTCCCTTCTCCCTTCTCCCCTTTATTGTATTTTCACTGAAGGCTGAGAGGAGCCAGTCTCCACACGGTGGGCCACTTGCGATTCCCACAGCCCCGTCCGCACTGCACTGTTTGTCTTGTTGCTGGAAACTCAGGTGACTCCTTGTGCCTGAGGGGGCAGCTGACCCCAGGCCAGGAGAGCAGGGTGTGTGTGGGGACCAGGGAGCGGGGCTGTGGGGCCACAGGGCTTTAGTTCTCCAGGACTGCTGGCTCTGTGGTGACTGCTCCCCATCCCTGCTGTCATCCGCAGCCCCCTGCGCCCCGAGGAAGGAAGGCGGCTGGTGGAGGACGTCGCCCGCCTCCTGCAGGTGCCCAGCAGTGCGTTCGCTGACGTGGAGTAAGTACGGGGCCCTGGGGTTTCTGTTTGGCTCCTGTTGCTTGGTCGCAGAGACTGGGTGGGAGGGAAGGAGCTGCGAGCCCATGGCTCTTGTTAATTACATGAGGGAACCTGTTTAGAGAAGTGAAAGGTGATTTCAGCAGCTTTGGTAAGTTATTTAGAGGCAGTGGAAACCAGTGTTTAAGGGGAAGGATGAAAATCTCCTGAAGGACAGTGTCGCTGCAGCCAAGTGTCAAACCTTTGGTGCTGTAACCACCGAAGGCTCTAGAACATTCTGCACATGTCCTATGCCAATGTGTGGGAGCCTCTGGAGGGCCCACCCCAGAGAACACTGTGCAGCGTTCATGAGCACCTGCTGTGGACACGGCCCTGTCCCTGGCTGTCAGGAAAATGCGCTGCCCTTCGGAGACCTGGCTTTGGATCCCGAGTCTCTGCAGCTTCCATGGCAGGCATGGCCATGGTCTCAGCGTGACCTGGTTTAGAGAGTTGTGGGCATGAGGCATGCAGGGCTGGTGGGTGAGTACACACAGGGGCAGCCTCTTACCTGTCTCACGACAAGTGCTTGAGGAACCATGCGTGCATATGTGAAGCTTGGAGCAGAGATGGCTGAGTGCAGAAGCTGCAGGAGCTCCCACAGCGCACAGCTGGGTGTGGAGAGGTCAGAGAGAAGAGGGAGGGTAGAGTGACATCCACAGAGGACGTGAGACAAGAGGCCGGCCCGGGCTGTGTGCCCACCTGCCTGTGGACCGAGGGGTGCCTGCCTACACGTGTTGTTCACTCACTGGCCCCTTCACACGGGTGACATCATTCACTCACTGGTCCCTTCACACAGGGTGACTTCATTCACTCAGTGACTCTTCACACAGGTGACGTCATTCACTCACTGGCTCCCACAGAGTGACGTCATTCACTCACTGACTCTTCACACAGGGGTGACATCATTCACTCACTGTCCCCTTCACATAGGGGTGACGTCATTCACTCACTGACTCTTTACACGGGTGACATCATTCACTCACTGGCTCCCTCACACCGGGGTAACGTCATTCACTCACTGACGCTTCACACAGGGGTGATATCATTCACTCAGTGACTCATCACACAGGGGTGACGTCATTCACTCACTGTCTCCCTCACACAGGGGTGACATCACTCACTGAGCCTTTCACACAGGGGTGACATCATTCAGACACTCTTCACATGGGTGACGTCATTCACTCACTGGCTCCTACACGCAGGGTGATGTCATTCATTCACTGAGTCTTCACATAGGGGTGATGTCATTCACTCACTGGCTCCTTCACACAGGGTTGACGTCATTCACTCACTGGCCCCTTCACACAGGGGTGATGTCATTCACTCACTGTCTCTTTCACATATGGGGTGACATCATTCACTCACAGAGTCTTCACACAGGGGTGATGTCATTCACTCACTGTCTCCTTCACACAGGGGTGATGTCATTCACTCACTGTCTCCTTCACACAGGGGTGATGTCATTCACTCACTGTCTCCTTCACACAGGGGTGATGTCATTCACTCACTGTCTCCTTCACTCAGGAGTTATGTCATTCACTCACTGGCTCCTTCACACAGGGGTGACATCATTCACTCACTGAGTCTTCACACAGGGGTGATGTCATTCACTCACTGTCTCTTTCACACATGGGGTGATGTCATTCACTCACTGTCTCCTTCACTCAGGAGTGATGTCATTCACTCACTGGCTCCTTCACACAGGGGTGATGTCATTCACTCACGGTCTCCTTCACACAGGGGTGATGTCATTCATTCACTGTCTCCTTCACACAGTGGTGATGTCATTCACTCACTGACTCTTCACACAGGGCTGATGTCATTCACTCACTGGCTCCTTCACACAGGGTTGATGTCATTCACTCACTGGCCCCTTCACACAGGTTGACCTCGTTCACTCAGTGGCTCCTCACAGCAGATGCTCACTGGGCACCTGTGGCAACCTGGCCTCGCACCAGGAGCTGGGCATCCCCTTTGAGATACATGGGCCCTGCCTCAATTCTGCCATTTATTAGGAAAAGACAGAAGAGTGTATGGGTCATTAGCATGGAGGGCACTAGGGGACATGCATGAGAAGCACCCCAGCCAGCCTGGGATCAGAAGTTTCTAGAAGTAGAAATCTGAAGGACACATGGAGGCGTCCCAGAGAGAGATGTGACATGCAACTCCACACTGCTCACTGTGGCCCACACCGTTCCTAGGGTACAGACATATGCAATGAGCAGGTTCAAGGAAATGTCCATGGACAGGAAAGATGTGGAGGGACAGGGGGCTCCATACATGCCAGGGCTGCTGGGGTTTCCCTGAAATGGGGTGGTCCGGTGGGCAGGCCAGGTAGGACTGCTCAGCAGGGACAGAGAGGCCATTTAGGGACCCAGTATGTAGAGTGAGAGGACCCTACAGGGTGAACACAGTGAGATGGTCTGACTAGAGCTGAGAGAGAGCAGCCCTGAGGCCACCTGGGGAAGGTAAAGGAGGGAGCAGGTGCAAGGCGGGTGTGGTGGCAATGGGAGCACAGAGATCCAGGTGAGGGGGGGCTATTTGTGGGGCTATAGTGGGTGAGTGGGCTGTAGAGATCCAGGTGAGAGGTGGCAGGTGCATGGGGCTTTAATTGGCAGGCTCATGCAGACATCCAGGTGAGCAAAGGGTCACGTACTCAGGGCTGCAGTGGGCAGGTGGTTTGCAGAGATCCAGGTAAGAGTGGGACCAGGCACAGGGTGAATGCAGTAGGAAGGGGCTATGCTGAGATGCAGATGTTTTTTGGGGGGCAGGTGTGTGGGCCTGCAGTAGGCAGCAGAGGTGCAGAGATCCAGGTGAGGGAGGGGGCAGGTGCATCAAGTTGCAGTGGGCAGGGGACTTTCCCAGATCCATGTGAGAGAGGGGGCAGGTACATGGGCCTGCTGTGGGCAGACGGTGTGCAGGGATCCATGTGTGAGAGGGGGCAGGTGCAGGGCAGATGCAGATATCCACATGAAAGAGGGGGCATGTTCATGGGCTGCTGTGGGCAGGGGACACGAGAAGATGCAGGTGAGGGAAGAGAGCAGGTACAGCGTGACTGCAGTGGGTGGCCACTGGGTGACTTCTGCCTGGGAAGCAGGATTTGAAGAATTGTAGAAAGGCAGCTTCAAGGATGAGGGTAGATCTGAGTGCAAAGTGTGTGTTGATCTACACAGTGTGATGCCTGCCCATGGAAACAGGCAAGTAGGGCCTCAGGCAGAAGTCCTGGTGGCCCCTGGGCAGTCAAGTGTTTTCCCTGTGGCTCACAATGGGGAGGGCCTGTTGTTCCCAGAGTGGCCTGGGATGTTTGGGCATCTGGGGTTCTGGAGGTGGCGGGTGGGCAGGGGCTGCAGCTGTTTCCCACCTGGTAGGAAATACTTCAGTGTTTTAACTTCTGATGTGACTGAGGGTACTGGAAATGTATGGAGTGGCTTTCAGCACACCAGGGACTTAGGAGGGGGGAGGGTTTGAGGGAGCTTCCTAACAGGTTTGATTGATAGGTTTGTTTCAGGTACCTGGATGACTTCTAAGGGGTGCTGTCCAGGTGACTTAGGGGACAGATCTGGGTAGGTGTATATGACATAACCTTAATGTACAGTGGACAGCAAGATCCCAGTTTCTGATGGGATCAGGAGATGGAGGTAAGGGAAGAGAAGGGGGGCAGCAGCGATGTGGGGCACGTGGACCCTTAGGTGTATGTGAGAACAGAGACAAGTGTGCATGTTGGCACCACCTTGGTTTCTTGTGAGGTAGCTCCCAGTCAGTGTTTTGGGTTCCTAGGGAAGAAATATTAACTCTAGGGAAACCACACAGGACAGATTTCACAGAGGTTGAAAATAGAAGAAGCTCCCAAGACCTGAAAGAGCTGAGATGCTTCCAGGATCTTAAAATCTTCCTCTTTATGCTGAAGGAGAATTAGATAATCTGGTTTTATGGGATCCTGGGGAAGTGACTTTTCCTCTCTGGGCCATAGTTTTATATTTTGAAAATTAGAGGGGTTTGCCTACTTCATCTTTAGTGATTACTCAAGGATTAATCTTCTGTGAACCTGTGACCTGGGACACTAGTGAAAATCATGTAACAGGCACTCTATCACCTTCGGGGAGCAGGGCACAGATAGTGTGACAGGGTTATATCCCCAAGGGCAGACTCCACAGGTAGGCGTTTGTGTGGAGAGGCTCATTTCATCAGCCCCTGGAGACATCCTCTTTATCAGTGTTTTGGATATTCCCAAAGTGGCACACTTCTGAGCAGTGATAAACAGTGAGTCAGAAAAGGTGGAAATAGCTTCTTCCAGATGATACACGGAGGTGTGTGTGTGGAGGCAGGGAGGGAGCTAAGAAAGAAGCTGGAGCCAAGGATGGAGGTGATGGTGGAGCTTTGGAGGAAACTGCGCTGGAGCTGGGAGGGAGCAGAGGTGGAGGTTGGGATGGAACTCAAGAGAGAGGGAGATGAGCTGAGATGAAGCTCAGAAAGGAGCTGGAGATGCCACTTGTAAGGAATAAGGATAAAAATGAGATAGAGCAGAAATGGAGCTGGGGGGAAGCTAGAGGGAGCTGCGGGGAAGCTAGGTGGATGGGGCTGGGATGGACTGGGATAGAGCTAAGATAGATCAGGGAAGGAACTGGAAATGGAGATGGGATGAAGCTCAGAAAAAAAGCTGAGATGAATCTGAGGACAGAGCAGGATGGAGCTAGAATGGAGCAGTGATGATCTAGGATAGAGCTGAATGGAGTTGGAATGGAGATGGAAGGAGCTGGGAATAAAACAGAAGAGAGATGGGGATGGAATTCAGTGGAGCTGGATGAAGGAGGGGATGGAACTGGATGGAGCTGGGATGGAGCAGTGATAGAGCTGGGTATACAGTAGTATGGAGATGAGATGGAGTAGTGATGGAGCCGGGTATAGAGTAGTATGGAGATGGGATGAAGCTGGGTGGAGCTGCAATGGAGCTGGATGGGGCTGCATGGCGTAAGATGGAGCTAGGATGGAAATTGATGGAGATAAGGATAAAGCAGGGCATGCATCTGGATGGAACTGGATGGAGATACAATGGAGATGGATAGAGCTGGGATGGATTTGTGGATGGAGATGAGGTGGAGCTGGGATGGAGGTGGATGGAGCTCCATGGTCTGGGATAGAGTTGATGAATCTGGATGGAAGTCTATGGAGCTTGGTTCAGCTTGGGATGGAGTAGGGATGGATAGGAATGGAGCTGGATGGAAGTTCATGGAGCTGGGGATTATTGAAGCCTTGGATGTACCTGGGGTAGAGCTGGGATGGAATCTGCTGTAGCTGAGTGGAGATGGGATGGAGCTGGGATGAGGGTGAAGCTAGGGTGGAGTTTGATGGAGCTCAGTGGAGTTGGGATGGAGCTGGGATGGAGTTTGACGGAGCTGAGCACAGTTGGGATGGAGCTAGGATGAGGATGGAGCTCGGATGCAGTTCAGTGAAACTGAGTGGAATTGGGATAGAGTTGGGATGGAGCTGAGGGTGGAGTTGGGATGGAGTTTGATGGAGCTGAGTGGAGTTGGGATGGAGCTGAGGGTGGAGTTGGGATGGAGTTTGATGGAGCTGAGTGGAGTTGGGATGGAGCTGAGGGTGAAGCTAGGGTGGAGTTTGATGGAGCTGACTGGAGTTGAGATAAAGCTGAGGATGGAGCTGGGATGGAGTATGATGACACTTAGTAGGGTTGGGAAGGAGCTGAGGATGGAGCTGGGATGGAGTTTGATAGAGCTGAGTGGAGTTGGGAAGGAGCTGAGAGTGGAGCTGGGATGGAGTTTGATGGAGCTGGGATGGAGTTTGATGGAGCTGAGTGGAGTTCTGATGGAGTTTGGATAAGGGTGGAGCTGGGATGGAGTTTGATGGAGCTGTGTGGACTTGGGATGGAGCTGAGGGTGGAGCTGGGATGGAGTTTGATGGAGCTGAGTAGAGTTGGGAAGGAGCTGAGGGTGGAGCTGGGATGGAGTTTGATGGAGCTGTGTGGAGTTGGGATGGAGCTGAGGGTGGAGCTGGGATGGAGTTTGATGGAGCTGAGTGGAGTTGGGAAGGAGCTGAGGATGGAGCTGGGATGGAGTTTGATGGAGCTGAGTGGAGTTGGGATAGTGCTGAGGATGGAGCTGCGGTTGGTGCTGGTTGGAGCTGGGATGGATTTTGGGATGGAGCTGGGATGGTTGTGATCATGGGTGGTTGTTGGCTCTTCCTCAAGCTCTCCTCCACTACTGACAAGGCCTCCATCAGTCCTGTTCTCTCTCTTTTCTCCCTTCTGTTCTCCTCTCTGTCCCTGCCTAGGTGAGCCCTATAGTCTTCATCTCCTTTTTCATCTTGTGAGGGGCCCTGCTGCTGATCTTGGTGTCTTACTATTTCCTCATCTATGACTTTTTTATCCATCCACAAATCCCTGATTTTCACAGCGGTATCTTTGCTCTTAAGTTGTCTTGATTCTTATGTGTCTTCCAGGGCCTTTCTCAGGAGTCTTTGAGCCTGAGATTCACCTGACCTCCATTGTCTTCATCCTGGCCTTCCTCAGGCCTTCTGATGCCTCAGACTGCTCTGGGGAGGGCATAGTGAGGAAGCACAGAAAAGAAATCTCAGGCAGGATGCCCTGATGCTCCATTGCCTTAAATCTGTCTCTAGGCCAGGCACGGTGGCTCATGCCTGTAATCCCAGAACTTTGGGAGGCTGAGGCGGGTGGATCATGAGCTCAGGAGTTCAGGACCAGCCTGGCCAAAATGGTGAAACCCCATCTCTACTTAAAAATACAAAAATTAGTCGGGCATGGTGGCAGGTGCCTGTAATCCCAGCTACTTGGGAGGCTGAGGCAGAGAATTGCTTGAACCCGGGAGGCAGTTGTTGCAGTGAGCTGAGATCGCGCCACTGCACTCCAGCCTGGGCAACAGAGCAAGACTCCATCTCAAAAAAAAAAAATAATAATAATCTGTCTCTAAGAACCAGAAGGAAATGTGTCCAGGCTGCTAACCATCATGGGCTGAGTGGGATGATCTGACTTCATGGGCATTACAAAGAGCAGTGTGCTGTGGCCCCCGACACCATTGGTGTCCATCACATCAAGTGGGGGCCTGCACTGACCTGGCACAGAGCAGGACATGTAAGAAGGGGAACACTCATCCCTGCCCCTGAGCTGTTTGAAACCTGGCTCATGAGACAAACAAATCGGACAGTGCTAGAGAAGGTTCTGGAACTGCCAGTGACCTCAGACATTCTGAGTACAACTCATGCTAGGGAAGTGAGGCTGGAGAGGAAGGGAATCTCCTGGGGCCCAGAGAGTGGGCCCTGCCTCGGACATCGCTGCTCCATGGGCACAGCCACGTTAGTCCAGAAAGTGCAGTTTTCCTGATGGTCTTTGAGTCTCACCTGTGTGCAGGGCTCTTCGCGTTCTTTTTCCTACTGCTGTTATTTTAAGGCTTTTTACCTCTTACTTTGAACTGGAAGGAGCCACCTGCCATCAAGTGTCCTGAATGGTTCAAACTGCATTCCTTTCCACGAAGGATTCCATCCCAGGCCTGTATCTTTGGCACTATCCCTCCCTATGGCCCCCAGGAAGGCGCCTAGTTTTAGGACTCAGGAACTCATCGTGGGCCCAGGCCATGCGCACAGGGAGGATGAGGCCACAGGTGGTAAGTGGGAGCCTCACACTGACTGCAGCCAATGACCGCAGGCCCTTTGTTCTAGGTGCTCACGCCTGCTTCTGCTGTCAGACAGGGACGGGTGCATGTCTGGACACCCAGGCCTTACTGGGTCCTGCTGATGGCTTATTTCAGAAGGAGGGGTTCCCCATGGACTGATGCCCCAGCTCCTGTCCCGTCAGGCTCCCTGTCTAGGACTCAGCTCTGATGCCGCTGAGGAGCATGAGGTACTGTCCTGGGGGTGTGTCCTCCCGGGTCTGCAGTGCCTTCCCTGCACCGTGGCCCCCAGAACATTAGCCGTGTGCTGTCTTTCTCCCCAGACCATCAGCTCCTCAGTGCCTATCTATGTCCTGAACCCGGCTCAGTGACTGCAGAGAAGTGTGCAAGTGCACACTTGCATCTTAAGTGCAAGTGTGATTCAAGCGTGATGCAATGAGTCCTTGAACAACAAAGGCCTCATCCCTCCAACACCCGCAAAGCTGCAGGCCCATCCCACACCCCCTTCTGCCTCTCTCCATATATCAAATACATGGGGCATGCTCTGTGATTCTGCAGCCCTGGGAAACTCACCTGTTGCTGCCAAGGCCCACAATTACTGATGAACGTGTGGAGGTGTGGATGCCTCCTTAGTTAAAAGTGAGATTGTCCTCAGGGACATTTGAGGGCCATGGAAAAGAAGCAGCCTGGGTACCATGAGAGGTGCCTCCATGAGCAGCAGGGCGGCCTGGAGCCATGGGAGGGAGGAAGCTGTTGCACCCAGACACATAACTGAGATAATTGGGCAGAGGGCAGGCAGTCACAAGAGGTGGCTTTGGAATAAAGCATCCTCGGGCCAGCTCGGGATGCGTGCATTGAGTTTACCATATTTTCCTCTGGCAAAGCCCTTCTGTGGTGGCTGTCCAGCACGTGGAAGGCCGTGGCTCAGGCGCACAGGGGCTCAGTGTTTTCTGAAGGTTCCCTCCTGGCCGCCCTGCTGCTGATGGCTGCCATGCACTGTTAGCATCATGGCTCCAGGGTGAAGGCGTGGGCTGAGGGCTGCCTGGCACCTGGGCTCAGTGCCTGCCACATGGGTCCAGTTTGCGATCTGGGGCTTGGGAGAGGAACCACTTCATCCTCAGGACAGGAGAGGGGCCCCAGGGTCAGCTGCAAGCTCCATGGCTGCTCACTGTGAGCAGATCCTGGGACCTCAGGGCCCACCGTGGCGTAGTGACGGGCAGAGATGGGCCTGCCGCTGCTCACTGCTTTGGCCATCTCTGCCCTCCCCCAGTAACATCCCCTGGGAGAGGGTGGGCCAGAATGAAGAAGGGAGGAGTGGTTGGCCACATGGCCAACAGCTGGACGGTCAGGGTGGCCAGGGGCTTTGCTGTCCACACTGATTGGAGCAGACCTGAGGCTGACGGGTGCACTACTGTGCTGGGTGAGATTTTCTTAAATACCAGGTGGGATTTCTTTTAAAGTCTCCATGGCTTTCATGGTGAGCTGGGTTTTAAACTCTTTTGGTGCAATGGAAGGTGTGAGGTCTTTCTTTGTATACAGTGGGATTGTTTGGGCTAGATGACTGGAAGAAGGAATGAGTTTATTCTGCTGATTGTTTCTTTTGCTGTGCAGAAACTTTTTAGTTTAAGTCCCAGCTATTTATCATTGTTTTTGTTGCATTTGCTATTGGGTTCTTTGTCATGAAGTCTTTGCCTAAGCCAATGTCTGGAAGAGTTTTTCCAATGCTATTTCCTAGAAATTTTATGGTTTCAGGTCTTAGATTTAAGTCCTTGATCCATCTTGAGTTGATTTTTGGATAAGGGGAGAGATGAGGATCCAGTTTTATTCTTCTACATGTGGCTTGCCAATTATCCCAGCACCATTTTTGACTAGAGTGTCCTTTCCCCACTTTGTTTTTGTTTGCTTTATCGAAGATCAGTTGGCTGTTAAGTAGTTGAGTTTATTTCTGGGTTCTCTATTCTGTTCCATTGGTCTGTGTGCCTATTTTTATACCAGTACCATGCTGTTTTGGTGACTATAGCCTTATAGAATAGTTTGAAGTCAGGTAATGTGATGCCTCCAGGTTGTTCTTTTTGCTTAGTCTTGCTTTGGCTATGCAGGCTCTTTTTTGGTTCCATATGAATTTTAGGATTGTCTTTTCTGGTTCTGTGAAGAATGATGGTGGTATTTTGATGGGGATTGGATTGAATTTGTAGATTGCTTTTGGCAGTACGGTCATTTTCACAATATTGATTCTACCCATCCATGAGCATGGGATGTGTTTCCATTTGTTTGCGTCATCTGTGATTTCTTTCAGCAGTATACAGACAACCCAAAGAGTGAGAAAAAATCTTCATGATCTATATATCCGACAAAAGACTAATATCCAGACTCTACAAAGAACTCACATTAGCAAGAAACAAACAGTCCCATCAAACAATGGGCTAAAGACATGAATAGACAATTCTTGAAAGAAGATATACAAATGGCCAACAAACATATGAAAAAATGCCCAACATCACTAATGATCAGGGAAATGCAAATCGAAACCACAATGTTATACCACCTTACTCCTGCAAGATTGGATATAATCAAAAAATCAAAAAACAGTAGATGCTGGTGTGGATGTGGTGAACAGGGAACACTTCTACACTGCTGGTGGGAGTGCAAACTAGCACAGCCACTATGGAAAACAGTGTGGAGATTCCTTAAAGAACTAAAAGAACTACCATTTGATTCAGCAATCCCACTGCTGGGTATCTACCTGGAGGACAAGAAGTCATTATACGAGAAAGATATTTGCACACACGTTTATAGCAGCACAATTTGCAATTGCAAAAATATGGAACCAACCCAAATGCCCATCAATCAATGAGTAGATAAAGAAATCGTGGCACACACACACACACACACACACACACACACACACCCCATGGAATACTATTCAGCCATAAAAAGGAATGAAATAATGGCATTCACAGCAAGCTGGATGGAACTGGAGACTATTATTCTAAATGAAGTAACTCAGGAATGGAAAACCAAACATCATATGTTCTCACTCATAAGTGGGAGCTGAGCTATGAGGATGTGAAGGCTTAAGAATGACATAAGGACTTTGGAGACTCAGGGAAAAGGGTGGCAGGAGGGTGCACCAAAATCTCACACATCACCATTAGAGAACTTACTCATGTAACTCAACACTGCCTGTTCCCAAAACCTATGGAAAATAAAAATAAATAAAGAAGGAATAAGTTTATTTCATGAACACAATGATCCTTATGAGGGAGGAGTGGGGAGAGGAAGTGAAGCATGACCACTGATGGGATGGGGGGAGGAAGAGGAGGCAGCCGGGATGTGTTGGGGGGAGGAAGGGGAGGCAGCCGGGATGTGTTGGGGGGAGGAAGGGGAGGCAGCCGGGATGTGGTGGGAGGAAGGGGAGGCAGCCGGTGATGTGGGGGGAGGAAGGGGAGGCAGCCGGGATGTGTTGGGGGGAGGAAGGGGAGGCAGCCGGGGATGGGGGGAGGAAGGGGAGGCAGCCGGGATGTTGGGGGAGGAAGGGGAGGCAGCCGGGATGTGTTGGGGGGAGGAAGGGGAGGCAGCCGGGATGTGTTGGGGGGAGGAAGGGGAGGCAGCCGGGATGTTGGGGGAGGAAGGGGAGGCAGCCGGGATGTGGGGGGAGGAAGGGGAGGCAGCCGGGATGTGTTGGGGGGAGGAAGGGGAGGCAGCCGGGATGTTGGGGGAGGAAGGGGAGGCAGCCGGGATGTGGGGGGAGGAAGGGGAGGCAGCCGGGATGTGTTGGGGGGAGGAAGGGGAGGCAGCCGGGATGTTGGGGGAGGAAGGGGAGGCAGCCGGGATGTGGGGGGAGGAAGGGGAGGCAGCCGGGATGTGGGGGGAGGAAGGGGAGGCAGCCGGGATGTGGTGGGAGGAAGGGGAGGCAGCCGGGATGTGGGGGGAGGAAGGGGAGGCATCCGGGATGTGGGGGGAGGAAGGGGAGGCACCCGGGATGTGTTGGGGGGAGGAAGGGGAGGCAGCCGGGTTGTGGGGGGAGGAAGGAGAGGCCTCCGGGATGTGGGGGGAGGAAGGGGAGGCAGCCGGGATGTTGGGGGAGGAAGGGGAGGCAGCCGGGATGTGTTGGGGGGAGGAAGGGGAGGCAGCCGGGATGTGTTGGGGGAGGAAGGGGAGGCAGCCGGGATGCGGAACCCAGGAATGAGGCCAGAGAAGAAGTGGGTCTTCAAGGCTGAGAAGCCCGGCTCCCCTCAAGGACCCAGGAACGCTGCACCCCGCACTGTCACCTTCTACCATCTTCTCCGGCCCTCCCCGCGGCCCCGTTCCCCGTCCCCCACTGCTTCCTTGCTTTCTCGCTTTCTCCCCAGCTCCTCGGTGGTCACGCTTTGCTTCATGTCTCCCACTCCTCTCCCATAAGGAGCGTCCCGCGTTCACGAGATAAACGTCCTTCTTCTTCCAGTCCCCGAGCCCAAGCAACCCCATTCACCTTCACAGAGTCTCAGCAAAATGGTGGGACTGGCAGATGCCAGGCCGGGGCGGGCGAGGGAGGCGTGTGCCTCGGGGAGCCTCTGGTTTCACAGAGCAGCTGGGCCTCGCCCGTGCCTGCTCCCTGCCCCTGGCCCTCCTGGCCACCGCCTTCGCTGTCGGAAGACGGATTCTGAGCACGGACGGCTTCTCCGCATTCCGGGAGCAGGGCTGGGCTTTGCCAGGCTCAGTCCTGGGTAAGCGTCACCCTCGGGCATCTCCCGCCTTAGGACACTGGCGGCCCCCTCTTTCCTACAGAGTCAAACCTGAGTCCCGCCGCCCGTCCCTCGGAGCCTTCGGGAATCTGGACCTCTCCACCTCCTCCCCAGGGAGCCCCCCCGGTGGCCTCACCCGCAGGATCCTTTGCGGGTCCCCTGCCCACATTGCGGAGCTGAAGCCTGATTCTTGCTGCGTCCAGCGCTTCTCCGAGGTCCCCAGTCCTGGCCAGGCAGAGGCTGCCCCACGCTGGGTCTTGAGTTCTGGTGCCTGCGTGCGTGTGTGCTCATGTGCAGGGGACCACGCAAGCCTTACTTCCACGTCCTGTGCCTCACCCGGGCCCAGCAGCCACGGGCACACACTTGGCAAATGCACCGGCTCGAGGGACGGACGGGGGTGTGGGCTGTGCCTCGTTGGTGTCTCGAGGGGAGCAGCTCTGACAGGCGGGAGACACGGCCACGCGGTGCTGCCTGTCAGAGCATGTTCTGGGAGCTGCTCATTGTTCCGGGAAAGGAAAAGAGGCGGACAGGATGCGCAAGCTGTCACTCTCAGACTCTCCTGCGGTTTTGTGGAAGTGCTAGTTATGCTGAATATGTTTTGTTAGTGGTTATGTAGCTGTCACATAAATCCCATTATTTCTTATGACATCATTAGAGACCATTAAAACTGCATTAGCATGTGATGTAATTATGCCAGCAGACCGGCAGTGACCGCAGCCGGGTTTTTACGACGTGATTGTGGCTGTCTGCGGCGGCGGTGATCGATGCCAGGCCGCCTTCCGCGGAATCTCGGGGAGGTGGGCAGTGCTCCTGGGAAAAAGGATGCCAAAGACACATTCCCACGAGCCCCTGAGTCCACAGTGAGACGGGCTCTGTGACAGTTCTCTTCCAGATGGCTTCGGTGGAGCTCCCACATCAGCCACGAGGACCGCCGGGGCATTCGGGGCACGCAGCCTAATTCTGTGATCAATCTTCATGTGCTCTCCTGGTGGGAGAAGCGTTTACTTTCTCATCTGTGTGATTTACTGGATTGATGAATACGGTGTTATTACCGAAGAGGCAGCAGTGGGAATTCTCAACCCTGATGCTTCTTGTTGGGGTCTTCTCTGTGCACGGGGCGCGGGAGGTGCCTGTGCCTGCTCGATCCTGTGACAACCCCAGTGCTGCCCGGGCCCCTCCACCTCCTTCCCCAGTGCCTGCCCCTCTCCCACCCTGCCAGTGGGAGAAGTCCCTGGGGTTTGCCGGGAAACTTCTGGAAAGTATGTTTCAGTTTCCGGGGGCAGAGTTGTGATTGTTTTGCCCCTAGTCTTGTCCCCATGCATAGGGGATTTACAAAGATGTTGTAGGCAGCAGGAATCCTGTGAGGGGTGAGAATGGTCCTTCATTCCCTGGGTTGGCTCTCTGGTTTTCCCTGTGGCCTCGATGACTATAAAGCCCTGGATAATTTTGTCTACACATCAGGGCAGTGCAGATTAACCACTGCAGCGACAGTGCTGTGCGTTAGTAATATCACTCAAAGCCAAGAGCCCCCGCAGTGAGAAACTCCCAGGAGCCCCAGGGGAGGGTCTGGGTAAATGGCATTTGCATCTGGATGTGGTGTATCCACCACCTGCAGACTCCGGCCCTCACGGGCAATGTTGCTACCTGTTTCACCTGTGTTCTGGATTTGCCAAGTGAGGAAGGTGGGGAATGGGGCCTCATGTTATGTAACTCTCCTTCCCAAACGGAGCCCAGGCTTCGTCTTCAGTGCCCTGTCTGAATATTACAAGCAGTTGCAAAGGTGCAAGCTAGTGTCTCGAGACAGTGACATGAGGTTTTCCTGGAAATAAGGAATGTCAAGGAAATGTCACAGTACGTCAAAACTCCCCGTCCCGTCTTTAAGATGAGACAACAAGGGAAGGCCACTGTGGATTTGCAAATAATAATTCTGTTTGAGTGAAAGGTGGCATTTCTCAGGTTAAGTGAATCCCATGATTTGATTAAAGATATTTGTGTTTAAAATATTGGTGGAGCCTTGTTTCCTAGTATGAAATGATATGACCATTTAGGAGGAGAGCAGTTTCCTTATTTTCCTGAGCCTCAGTTTCCCCACAAGGATGGAGGTGGCCTGGGCATGTGGCTGAGACCCGGCTCTTAGAGGCCCCACACATGGTTCATGCTTTGCTGGTACCATCTTGAGACTCTTACAATTCTTCAACAAAGGGCCCCACAAATTATGTATACGGCTGTGAGGCCATGACAGGGTTGGAGAGACTCTAGGAAAAACTAGAATAACGTCTGCTGTGGAGGTTTGCAATACATGTTAGCTGGACAATTGCGCTATTTCATTGCTGTTAGGAAAAAAAACACTCTAATTTCTACTGTTAATGGATTCAGATTGGCAAGAAGAACCCATTCTTTTCTCTAGACTTTTCAATGCACTTCAAGTGTGAAGCATTGGGTAAATGCTGGATTTGGGTACTGGACACCAGGTAGTGAAGAGTTTCCCAGGCAGTTCTGAGTTTTCTTGTAAAGGCACTTTCATCCATAGGACTTGAATCTTTTATCTCCTGGCCTGGTGCGGCGGCTCACGCCTGTAATCCCAGTACTTTGGGGGCTGAACTGGGAGGATCACTGGAGACCAGGAGTTTTGAGACCAGCCAGGGCAACATAGCAAGACCTCGTCTCTGCAAAACCAGAACCAGAAAGTATACACTCCTACGCTCCTTGAAGGCAGGGCCTCAGTCTGTATTGCTCAATCATGCGTCATCAGTGACTAGAGTGTTTCTGGCCCATAACAGGGGCTTATTTGTTGAATGAGTGAATGAATGATTCCACGAAAGAATGGGCAGACTGAATTCAAAGGCACATGGGTTTGACTCTGTTTTTCTCAACTTGCTGTGAGGCCCTGGGCAGATTACTGAAGCCACCTGGCCTCAGTGTGCTCCTCCATGGAGTAGAGACGATAATGTCTACATCAGAGTTGTAGAATTAAATGCCCTGCGTATGCAGATACTTAACACCAAATAAAGGGTAGCTTTCCAGATACATTATTAAAGTAATAAAATGTCTAAGCCAAGAAATATGTAAACACATGAACAAGTTAGATTTATATAGAAATGACACCAAACACTGTGGTAAAATATGCATTTTACTTATGACCTACACCGTCAATACTAGATACCCTGCTTGGCGTTATTCTTATTTTTCTCACCAGGACCAAATAAAAATCACTTCACTCTTCCGAATGTGTCTCTCCAGTCAGAGACGTTGCGCATGAGCTGATTGCAGGAGGCTTTGGGGCAGATGGGCGGGGCAGGTTATTCAGGACTCACCTCCTGCAGGAAAGGCTGAGACCTGCAACCCAGGGCAGGGAGGAATATAAACCTGCCCCAGTTACAGGACCCAGCGGCTCCTCCCACCACGGATGCTGGCCCATGAGTGTGCGTTACACTTCATTTGGGATTGCAAACTGGAGTTGTTTGAAGGCTGGCAGTTGCCTTCGGGAGTTAGCAGCCTGCGTGTCCAGAGAAACAAAAGTAAAACAAGAAACAAAACCAGAGTGAGCCACAGTGCCCAGGAGACCCTGAGGGATGGTGGGGACTGCGCAGTGGAGCCCTCAGGAACACTCAGGGGGAGGAGTTCTCACCTTTCCTGCCTGTCCTACAGCACCGAAGGCTGTGGCCAAGCTGCTGAGGCTTCGGGAAAAAGCCTGGGTCCTAATTCTTGGGTGAATGCTTCTACTTCTAAATGTTAGTCACTAATAATTCAGTCATGTGTTTGTGTAGCTCATTAATCCTTAAGCATCATGAGAGCGAAGCTGCAATAGAAAGCACAGATGGGGGCCGGGAGCAGTGGCTCATGCCTGTAATCCCAGCAGTTTGGGAGGCCGAGGTGGGCGGATCACAAGGTCTGGAGTTCGAGACCAGCCTGGCCAACATAGTGAAACGCCATCTCTATTTTAAAAAAAAAATTAGCTGAGCATGGTGGCAGGTGCCTGTAATCCCAGCTACTGGGGAGGCTGAGGCAGGAGAATCACTTGAACCCGGGAGTCAGAGGTTGCAGTGAGCCGAGATCACGCCATTGCACTGCAGCCTGGGTGACAGTGCGAGACTCCGTCTGAAAACAAAAACAAAAACAAAACAGAAAAAACACAGATGGGGTGGCCCTGGTCCTTCGGGAATGGCGAGCGTTCTGCTGCTCCTGGTGAGATCCGGCCCACCCCTGTGCTGGGGGAACAAGGGTCTTCTCTTGGGACTGGTCATGCCACCCAGCAGGTGTAACAGGAAAGCAGCCTGCAGTAGAACTTCAAAGGAGGCAAATGCTTCTAAAGTTCAAAGGCAAAGCATACATACTGAACAATCTGTTTTCTTCCAAATACTCCATGAGAAAAGTAAGCGGCAAGACATTCCCTGGCACAGAAAGGATTTCCCAAATCCCATGTAATGGCAAAGTAATTGCAAAGAAGATACAATCTGCACAGTGATGCAGTTGCTCAATGCTTTAAGAAAATAAAGCATCATTAATAATTATGTTTTCATTAAGGCTTGCATGATGTTAAATTATCTTGCAATAACTGTGTGTGTCTTTGTTTCCTCATACATTCAAATAAGAATTGGTTCTCTCTTCTTCCTCCTTTGTAAGCTCTTAGGCTAGATATTTTGGGAAGTTATTGCCTCATGTACGAGAGGCAGGAATACACAATTGTGCAGGAAATGTGGTAAAATTAAAAGTGTGTGTAAGGAAAGTAGGTATGCATTATGCTATCCACGTGGAATTCCGGAGTTTTATGTTCCCGATGTCTCCTCTGTAAGAAGACATAGCTGGAATGAGGCATGCAAAGAGAATTCTGTAGCAGCCAGACGTGAGCTCATTTTTTTATTGGTTTTCTGTCGGTAGCTTGGATTAGCCCAGCACCAAGCTGTGGGCTTGCCTAGAGTGAGGGACGCCAGTGAACAAGGAACAAGACTGGAGGAGGCAAGTTATCATCAGGAACAATTCAGGGAGTAAAAGCACAAACAGTGTGGGGGTCGGTCCAGCGACAGAGTCAGGAAAGGACAGTGGTGCAGGCCTACCTGTGGGTCCACAGTGTGGGGGTCGGTCCAGCGGCAGAGTCAGGAAAGGACGGTGCAGGCCTGCGTGTGGGTCTACAGTGTGGGGGTCGGTCCAGCGGCAGAGTCAGGAAAGGACGGTGCAGGCCTGCGTGTGGGTCTACAGTGTGGGGGGTCGGTCCAGCGGCAGAGTCAGGAAAGGACAGAGGTGCAGGCCTGCGTGTGGGTCTATGGTGTGGGGGTCGGTCCAGCGGCAGAGTCAGGAAAGGACAGAGGTGCAGGCCTGCGTGTGGGTCTCACACTTATACTCGTGCCTCGCAGAAGGCTCTCAGCCAAGAACGCCGAAGTTGTGATTCTAGTGGTGGCATTGATATTAGAATTGGACTATTTGGAGCTAGCACCTAAAACTACAAGGGTTTCAACTTATTCATCTATAAAATAGCGATTGCCAAATGAGTTGCCTTAGGTCAAATTTTGTGGTTGTTACCGAGCACCACAGCAGCGTGCTCTCTTGGTTTGCGCCCACCTACTCAAGGCCAGACACAGGGCTGGTTTCTTGGAAGTTCCCCTGTGCCTCTACCTCGAGGCTGAGGGGCTGGCTTTAGGGAGCCCCTAAAACATGTACTGTGTGTAGTGAGCTCTTCCAGGTTTTACCTGGCCTCAAATTATGTTCAGCCAGATATAGTAAGTCTCTTAAATCATTATGATTTTGTTTGATAATTTTGAGACCTTTATTAGCACTGTGTTTCTCTGAACATAATACTGACTAAGAAACAGAATGAGCAATTCACTAAATGTATAGCCCACAAGATGGGAAAGGTTTAATGCAAAATGATTCTTAAGCTATAAACAGTATTTTGAGAAAGTGTCTAATTATGTTTGAATTAATATAAGCAATAAATATATACATATCTCTATCCACCAAACCACCCACCTATCAATTTTTCATCCATCCATCCGTCTACCTCCCCATCCATCCAGCCAGCCATCCACCCATATATCTATCCACTTATCCACCTCTCTACCCATCCATCCATCCTTCTACCCACCCACCCACCCATCTATCCATCCATCCACCCATCCTCCCTCCCACCCACTCACCTACATATATATACACACACACATATATGTATATATATGCACATGTATATATGTATGCATATATATACATATATGTGTGTATATATATATATGCACACATATACATGTATATGTGTATATATATCTCTGCCCTCCCATTCACCCATCTACTCATCCATGTACCCACTCACCCAACCATCTCTCTACCCATCTATCACCTATCCCTCACCCATCCACCCACCCAACCATCTCTCTACCTATCCATCACCTATCCCTCACCCACCCATCTCTCTACCCAACCATCTATCACCTATCCCTCACCCACCCACCCACCCAACCAACCATCTCTCTACCCATCCATCTATCACCGATCCCTCACCCATCCACCCACCCACCCAACCATCTCTCTACCCATCCATCTATCACCTATCCCTCACTCACCCACCCACCCATCTCTCTACCCATCCATCACCTATCCCTCACCCATCCACTCACCCAACCATCTCTCTACCCATCCATCTATCACCTATCCTTCACCCACCCAACCATCTCTCTACCCATCCATCACCTATCTTTCACCCACCCACCCAACCATCTCTCTGCTCATCTATCTATCACCTGTCCCTCACCCATCCACCCACCCAACCAACCATCTCTCTACCCATCCATCACCTATCTCTCACCCACCCACCCACTCACCCAACCATCTCTCTACCCATCCATCTATCACCTATCCCTCACGCACCCATCTATTCATGTTATGGGCTTCACTCCAAATCCAGGTGTCAAATAGATAAAGCACAGGTCAGTCTGTCAAGCCAGCAGAGAGCATGCTAGTAAAATAAACAAACAAAAAACAGTCTACAGAAGTTTTGTTTTTTTCATTTCTAAATAACTTTCAAGAAAATTCACCAGTTGAAAAGAGAAGCATTTACTTTTATGTTGGTTGTAAAGCATCAACATTAAATGATTAACTTTAAAACTATATTTGTTGCCATATATGCCTTGGCTATCTTCTTTTTATCCACAAAAAGTCAAGGGAATCTAGTACCTGAGGCCTGTCTTTATTTAAACGGACTACAAACTTGTTAACTACTGCTTAGGCAGTGTCTATTCAGAAAACTGTAGTCAAATGTGTTACATTTATTGTAGCCCTTAAAGGTTGACTTGATACAAATAAGCCTGTGTTATGTATCGACTGTATAGTCGTTACTATACAGAAATAACAACCCCCAGACTAACCCAACCAAATAGAAGCCTCGGTTCTTATTTAAAACCATTTCCGAAACATGGAAGCTTTTGTCAGAGATTTGTTCATCTTCTTCATTCTCAACCGGACGGTTGGTCTAAGAACAGATGGAGCTCAGTGTTTTCTTTCCTGTGGTTAAAGTGTCATGCCCTGAAAACTAATATTCAGAAAATCACTTTGAGATATATGATTGCTAAGACAACAAATATTAGTACATCAGTATATTGATGTTCTAAAGGCAGATAATTATATGTATTTTTAAATTATTTCACTCATAAAAGTAGGGGAAAAAGAGATTTCCAAATAGTCCTCAGTTAAGAAAAGGCCTTTTACGCAGAACTCTTACACTCAACAGTCTGGTTGATGGAGGGCTGGTATGTTTGTCTCATAAGTCTTGAGTGATAGGAGTATCCTAGAACACAAGCAATAAAATCAGTGTTAAAATGCTAGATGTCACTTCTCTTCTTTGTTGGCATGTTTTATGACCATCAAAAGAAATGAGCAATTATCAATATATAGTAAACTATCAAGTGGAACCACTGAGTGATAAAGAACTCAGGAATAAATGGAATGATATTTAAAATAGAGGTAACTATAGCTAAAATTACAGTGATGAAATGATCTCTTATCTATGTACAACATATATGGTTTCCTTATTTTGGTTAAAGGTAGTTTTAAGTCAGTGAATTCTGTAGAATCTCAGTGATATATTTTTTCATGTTATTTCCAGCCCAATTGGGAGATGACTCCTAGCGGCAATAAATAGCTTTTGTTTCTCCTAATATATTCTTCATAGGACCCATGTGAACACATTGTTCGAGTATCACACCTCTGAGGGCTCTAGGCAGCAGGTGTGTGTGAAGACTCCCTCTTTCATCAGGGGAGGAAGGGTTTGTGTGAAGACTCCCTCTTTCATCAGTGGAAGAAGGATGTGTGTGAAGACTCCCTCTTTTGTCAGGGGAAGAAGGATGTGTGTGAAGACCCCCTCTTTCATCAGGGGAGGAAGGGTTTGTGTGAAGACTCCCTCTTTCGTCAGGGGAGGAAGGGTTTGTGTGAAGACTCCCTCTTTCGTCAGGGGAGGAAGGGTTTGTGTGAAGACTCCCTCTTTCGTCAGGGGAGGAAGGGTTTGTGTGAAGACTCCCTCTTTCGTCAGGGGAAGACAGGTTTGTGTGAAGACTCCCTCTTTCGTCAGGGGAGGAAGGGTTTGTGTGAAGACTCCCTCTTTCATCAGGGGAGGAAGGATGTGTGTGAAGACTCCCTCTTTCGTCAGGGGAAGAAGGATTTGTGTGAACATTCCCCTTTTCATCAGGGGAAGAAGGTTTGTGTGAAGACCCCCTCTTTTGTCAGGGGAGGAAGGATGTGTGTGAAGACCCCCTCTTTCATCAGGGGAAGAAGGTTTGTGTGAAGACTCCCCCTTTCATCAGGGGAAGAAGGTTTGTGTGAAGACTCCCTCTTTCATCAGGGGAAGAAGGTTTGTGTGAAGACTCCCTCTTTCATCAGGGGAAGAAGGTTTGTGTGAAGACTCCCTCTTTCATCAGGGGAAGAAGGTTTGTGTGAAGACTCCCCCTTTCCTCAGGGGAAGAAGGTTTGTGTGAAGACTCCCTCCTTCATCAGGGGAAGAAGGTTTGTGTGAAGACTCCCTCTTTCCTCAGGGGAGGAAGGTTTGTGTGAAGACTCCCCCTTTCCTCAGGGGAAGAAGGTTTGTGTGAAGACTCCCTCTTTCATCAGGGGAAGAAGGTTTGTGTGAAGACTCCTTCCTTCATCAGGGGAAGAAGGTTTGTGTGAAGACTCCCTCTTTCCTCAGGGGAGGAAGGTTTGTGTGAAGACTCCCTCTTTCCTCAGGGGAAGAAGGTTTGTGTGAAGACTCCCCCTTTCCTCAGGGGAAGAAGGATGTGTGTGAAGACTCCCTCTTTCGTCAGGGGAAGAAGGATGTGTGTGAAGACTCCCCCTTTCATCAGGGGAAGAAGGTTTGTGTGAAGACTCCCTCTTTCATCAGGGGAAGAAGGTTTGTGTGAAGACTCCCTCTTTCATCAGGGGAGGAAGGTTTGTGTGAAGACTCCCTCTTTCATCAGGGGAAGAAGGTTTGTGTGAAGACTCCCTCTTTCATCAGGGGAAGAAGGTTTATGTGAAGACTCCCTCTTTCCTCAGGGGAAGAAGGATGTGTGTGAAGACTCCCTCTTTCGTCAGGGGAAGAAGGATGTGTGTGAAGACTCCCCCTTTCATCAGGGGAAGAAGGTTTGTGTGAAGACTCCCTCTTTCATCAGGGGAAGAAGGTTTGTGTGAAGACTCCCTCCTTCATCAGGGGAAGAAGGTTTGTGTGAAGACTCCCTCTTTCATCAGGGGAGGAAGGTTTGTGTGAAGACTCCCTCTTTCATCAGGGGAAGAAGGTTTGTGTGAAGACTCCCTCTTTCATCAGGGGAAGAAGGTTTATGTGAAGACTCCCTCTTTCCTCAGGGGAAGAAGGATGTGTGTGAAGACTCCCTCTTTCGTCAGGGGAAGAAGGATGTGTGTGAAGACTCCCCCTTTCATCAGGGGAAGAAGGTTTGTGTGAAGACTCCCTCTTTCATCAGGGGAAGAAGGTTTGTGTGAAGACTCCCTCTTTCATCAGGGGAGGAAGGTTTGTGTGAAGACTCCCTCTTTCATCAGGGGAAGAAGGTTTGTGTGAAGACTCCCTCTTTCATCAGGGGAAGAAGGGTTTGTGTGAAGACTCCCTCTTTCATCAGGGGAGGAAGGTTTGTGTGAAGACTCCCTCTTTCATCAGGGGAAGAAGGTTTGTGTGAAGACTCCCTCTTTCATCAGGGGAAGAAGGTTTGTGTGAAGACTCCCTCCTTCATCAGGGGAAGAAGGTTTGTGTGAAGACTCCCTCTTTCCTCAGGGGAGGAAGGTTTGTGTGAAGACTCCCTCTTTCCTCAGGGGAAGAAGGTTTGTGTGAAGACTCCCCCTTTCCTCAGGGGAAGAAGGTTTGTGTGAAGACTCCCTCTTTCATCAGGGGAAGAAGGTTTGTGTGAAGACTCCCTCCTTCATCAGGGGAAGAAGGTTTGTGTGAAGACTCCCCCTTTCCTCAGGGGAAGAAGGTTTGTGTGAAGACTCCCTCTTTCATCAGGGGAAGAAGGTTTGTGTGAAGACTCCCTCTTTCATCAGGGGAAGAAGGATGTGTGTGAAGACTCCCTCTTTCATCAGGGGAAGAAGGTTTGTGTGAAGACTCCCTCCTTCATCAGGGGAAGAAGGTTTGTGTGAAGACTCCCTCTTTCATCAGGGGAGGAAGGGTTTGTGTGAAGACTCCCCCTTTCATCAGGGGAAGAAGGATGTGTGTGAAGACTCCCTCTTTCATCAAGGGAAGAAGGTTTGTGTGAAGACTCCCTCCTTCATCAGGGGAAGAAGGTTTGTGTGAAGACTCCCTCCTTCATCAGGGGAGGAAGGTTTGTGTGAAGACTCCCTCCTTCATCAGGGGAGGAAGGTTTGTGTGAAGACTCCCTCCTTCGTCAGGGGAGGAAGCGTTTGCATCTGAGTGGGCAGCATTCCTTTTTGGCATTTCTTCCACCCTAAATAGGAGTCACCTTTCACGGTAAGTGAATTTGACTGTCAAAAGGTGGATGGTTCTCCCAGGAACAGTGACTCAGAAACTCTTCCTGCTCTTGCATCAGACGCTTCTTACCATAGATGTGCCTGGCACGACCATCGGGACGACACTTTCAAGATCTACCCTGACGTGGCCATTTACAGATTCCTCATGAGATCTTCACTGCACGGTCCAGGGTCGGGAAAGAGACAGTCCCCTCCCTTGTATCAACCACGTCATTCCCGAAGGAAAGCAACCAGGCTCCCTGAGAAAGCAGTACAGCGTGCGGGGACTGTGTGAACCCACACAAGCCATAGTCAATTTAGAGAGTGGATTTTATGGAAGAATTTGGAGGAGGAGCAGACCCCTCCTGACTGAGCAGGGCACAGACTGACAGCTTTGGTTCAGAGGGAACCCTGTCGCATGTCAGCTATCCTGCCCGATCCTCCAATGCCCTGCAATGTTTGTCTTGTTCCCCCGATTTTGCAGGGTAAATAATGTAATGTGCAAAATCGCCCCGCGAGGAAGTGGCGGTTAAACAAACAATTGGATCTCAAGCCTTGTAAGCTCCAGTGCTCCCATCCTCTCTACAGTATAAAATTGAAAAATGTGAAGAAGATAATAAGGTTATTGATGTGTGTGAAAGCGCTTCAACACAGATGCTAGGCAGTCGATGATCCTGTTCATTCGCAGATTCTGTATTTGCAAATTAATTTGTAACCCCCAAATCAATGCTTATGCCAAAGTCATTCCTGCACACACACAGAGCCATAAAGTTCAGGTTGCCTGACATGCCTGTGCTCAGGTGGGAGAGGACAGCTCCGCCTTCTCGTTTCAGCTCATACTGTAAAACAAGGCTCCTCTTTATGGTCTATTGAGTGCCACATTTTCCACATTTTTTGTGCTTTTCGTTGGTGGTTTTGTTGTTTAAATGGCCCCAGCACAGTGCTGAGTGCTGACTGGTGTTCCTAGTGTTGTAACTGGCTCAAGTCCAGCTGTTTGCCACTCAGAGGCCGAAAACATGAGAGTGAGGTGTGGGCAGAGGAAAGCAGTTATTAATCAAACGCTGGCAGCTGGGGAATGGCCAGGCTCATGCCTTTAACAGACCATTCCCCCTTTGTGGCTGAGTGAGGGGTTTAAGGAGGAAAAGGCATGGAGCTGTGTGGAGTGGTGCAGGCGGACGCCAGGCTGTGTGTCTGTTCTGATGGTTATCTCATCGTGCAGAGGCCTGGTTTCTATCATTGTGGCTTCAGCCTGGGAGCGGTGGGCTACCTGTTCCTAACTCCCCCTCAGCAGAGGATTCTGCAGCTCAGTCTCTCTGCCTGTTCTGTTTGAAAATTGGCCCCTGGAATTTCTAAGCAGGTCTGTAATTAGATAGGTGAGCACTGTGTAAGGAGCGCCTGGTGGAGAAGGGAGCCACGAAGAATTTCACAGTATGCTTCAAAGCCAAAGCAGGAATGGGAAGGAAGTGCTCTGTGTGTGAGGCCGGGACACGTGGTTACAATGTGCCTGACGGAGAAAACACCCATGTGGATGGGCGTCGTGTGTGTGGATGGGCGTCGTGTATGTGGATGGGCGTCATGGGTGTGGATGGGCATGTGTGGATGGGCGTCGTGGGTGTGGATGGGCGTCGTAGGTGTGGATGGGCGTCGTGGGTGTGGATGGGCGTCATGGGTGTGGATGGGCATCGTGGGTGTGGATGGGCATGTGTGGATGGGCGTCGTGGGTGTGGATGGGCGTCATGGGTGTGGATGGGCATGTGTGGATGGGTGTCGTGGGTGTGGATGGGCGTCGTGGGTGTGGATGGGTATCTGTGTGGATGGGTGTCATGGGTGTGGATGGGCGTCGTGGGTGTGGATGGGTATCTGTGTGGATGGGCGTCGAGGGTGTGGATGGGCGTCGTGGGTGTGGATGGGTATCTGGATGGGCGTCGAGGGTGTGGATGGGCGTGGTGGGTGTGGATGGGCGTCATGGGTGTGGATGGGCATCTGTGTGGATGGGCGTCATGGGTGTGGATGGGCGTCGTGGGTGTGGATGGGTGTCGGAGTGTATGGGCATCCGTGTGGATGGGCGTCGTGGGTGTGGATGGGCGTCATGGGTGTGGATGGGCGTCGTGGGTGTGGATGGGCATGTGTGGATGGGCGTCGTGGGTGTGGATGGGCGTCATGGGTGTGGATGGGCATGTGTGAATGGGCGTCGTGGGTGTGGATGGGCGTCGTGGGTGTGGATGGGTATCTGTGTGGATGGGTGTCATGGGTGTGGATGGGTGTCGTGGGTGTGGATGGGTATCTGTGTGGATGGGCGTCAAGGGTGTGGATGGGCGTCGTGGGTGTGGATGGGTATCTGGATGGGCGTCGAGGGTGTGGATGGGTGTGGTGGGTGTGGATGGGCGTCATGGGTGTGGATGGGTGTGGTGGGTGTGGATGGGCATCTGTGTGGATGGGCGTCATGGGTGTGGATGGGTGTCGTGGGTGTGGATGGGCGTCGTGGGTGTGGATGGGTGTCGGAGTGTATGGGCATCCGTGTGGATGGGCGTCGTGGGTGTGGATGGGCGTCGTGGGTGTGGATGGGCGTCGAGGGTGTGGATGGGCGTGGTGGGTGTGGATGGGCATCGAGGATGTGGATGGGCATCATGGGTGTGGATGGGCATCAAGGATGTGGATGGGCATCGTGGGTGTGGATGGGCATTGTAGGAGTGTATGGGCATCCGTGTGGATGGGCATCGTGGGTGTGGATGAGTGTCGGAGTGTATGGGCATCTGTGTGGATGGGCATCGTGGGTGTGGATGAGTGTCGTGGGTGTGGATGGGCGTGGTGGGTGTGGATGGGCGTCGTGGGTGTGGATGGGCGTCGAGGATGTGGATGAGTGTCGTGGGTGTGGATGGGCGTCCTGGGTGTTTTCTCCCCGAGAGCTGTAATATTAGGTGCAGTACTTGCTCCTAAGAGACTCTGCAGGGCTCTAGGCATCTTTGTTTTACTTTTTATTTCCTGATTAGTACAGAAATTCCCCTTTTGATGCTGGCAATATGCACATGGGATTTATTCAATTTTCCCCAAATGTCTAAAGAGACAGAAAGCTGAACAAGATGGCAGAGACAACCAAGGCTCCCTGGTTAGAAAGAAGTTGGTGGGAAGGCTGACCTCACTCCCTACCCAGAAGCCTCTCACCTGGACCACACAGCACTCAGCCATCTGCCACCTGCACAGCAGACGTGGCGGGCGGGGTGGGGGGTGGTGGGTGGGGTTGGTAACAAATGCCAGGGCAAGTTCTTCTTGTGGGGAGGGATCTCTGCTGCTGATGGTGCTGGGGGCAGAGCCAGCAGCTCAGCTCTGGAGCCCCCAGTGTTGCCCCTGTTTACTGCAGACCCGCTGGGCCTGGCCACCAGAGTTTATTGAAAACCAGGGTCTCCTAGGCCAAAGCAAGTCCAAGAGGACCTGTGGGCCTTGCCACACTCGACAGCTGAGTAAACTGAGGCCCAGCGGAAGGGCCCAGGAGGGCCACAGAACAGTGACTCATGGAGTTAGACCTGTAGTGGGGCCTCGGGATAGAGACTTCTTCCCACGTCAGAGCCTGCACATATTCAAGTTAGGGAAGGTTATGCAGTTGGGGTCACGTTACCGACCCTCTGAGTCTCCTCCGGAGACAGCTCCTCATGCCCCGTCCTCCCACAGGGTTCCTGAGAGCACAAGGGCCAGAGCCAGGGCTCAGTGCACCGTGACCGCAGGCACCTGGGTCTCGCTGGGCCTGACGGCGATGGTCACTGGGTGCTCACCGCCTGCGAGATGTACCCCGAGGGT